>NC_000007.14:117961324-118264354 GCF_000001405.40 Homo sapiens | reverse complement strand
GACTCCATCTTGCCAACTGGCTCCCATTTGTACTCAGCCAGTGGGAGGTGGCAGTGATCAGAGGGTAAGGAGAGAACGATGTCTGTGTATTCCTCACTCTCTATCTAAGATGTGTTTTCTGACAGTGCTTTTATCCCTCTGTTACAGCGGTTCCTGTCCTGCACCCGTTGTCCAAGGACTCCAGCTGTCATTGGACTACTAATGGCATCTCAATATTGCTAGTCTCTAAATTATCCAACTTCCTTGCTGGTTTCCTTAATCCTGACATAAGTCTCTAAATTCTATCTTCCTTTATGTCTCGTGTTATCTAAGTTTGATAGTTTCTTTCTGGGACTTTGATTGTTATAATGAATACTCTATATGTTACACATATTTACATGTGTTTTACCACTCTATTCATGTAATAACTTAGTTTCTTCAAGCTGCAATAGTAGATGAAATTCTCCACAAAAAGCACCTATCAGAAGAGGACCAGTCAGGGAGGCAACTTACCGCCAGCCACCACCAAATATATTACAGTAGCTACAATTCAGTAATTAAAAGATTAACTTCCATATTATCAAGATTAATAGGGGACATGAATAACAAGATCTCTTATGACTTTCTACAATATAAAACATTCACTAACACCAATAAAATTAAACTAATCTCAGCACTAGATCATTTTGCATGAACAGTCATTTCTACTGATGATATGTCTGTCAGATCACTGCGTTATTTTTAATATATAGTAGGACAGGAAATTTATTAGACAGTTTACAGCGCCGACAAGTTCTGCTGATCTCAGCAGTGTTGCCAAGCAAAAAGAAATATTATACGATGGCAGCATTTGTTCTACACACACAAAAAAAAATCTAAGCATATTTCTCCCTTATTTAAATTTGTTCATGGAAACCATTTTCTACAGATAAGTGAACAGTAAAAGTGTTCGCAATGTGCTACTTTATTCCTATCCAGAGCAGACAAAATGAGAACCATGTTTTCATAAATAAAAAGCAACAGACCATGTTATTGCCCTCCTCTTTGAGTCCTCTACCCATGAGTGTATGTGCAGTGGGGGAAGGTTCTGCTTCACACTGGACAATGGAACTCAATATTGATGAAATTTGCTGATGGTCAGTTTTTGGATAAAATGTTTCAGCACAGAACACAAAGGCCATGTTTCCTCTAAATACAGCAGGTTTAATTTGATTTGGCTAGTTAATAATAAATATAATGATTGCAAAAGTAAATCAACTAAGAAAAATACCACAGTACAAGGAACTTATGTACTACGTAATTTCCAACCATGTTCTCCCCAGCGAAGAGTTTAGTTAAAATCTTAGTGCACCAGAAGAGTTGCCAAACACCTTTGGTATGGAATTCAAATTTAAAATAATTTAGTATAGCTTGCTTATATAAAAAATATCTGGATACATTATTAAATCACTTGTAAATGCTTCGATAATTCACAGACAGTATAAACTTAGAGGTAAAAGGAAAAAAAGTTGAGGCATGATTAAGGCACCTAACATTTACCCGTATTCCCTACATAAGTCAAATTCATAGTAAATTCTGAAAGACTGTTTGAATAAGTGATTATGTTACTTCCATTGATATAGGAATTTTTCCCTTATGTGTTAATTAGATGCAAATCTTAGGCAAAACATTTTCCTCACTACCTAGACTTGGCATACACAAATATATTTAAAAGATACCAGTCATCAAGTGGAAATACAGCTGGTGTCCTCCCTACTCTCTATTACAATGCACTGAATTTATGTAAAATAAATAACTCTTTATTAAATGGATTTGGCTACAGTAAATCCTTGAAGAGACTAAAAGGAAAAGCTAAAATAAAATATATGCATTGATGTGTACTTCAGAATTAATAAAAACCATTTTGTGGCTGGGCATGGTGGCTCACACCTGTAATCCCAGAACTTTGGGAGGCTGAGGCAGGCGGATCATAAGGTCAGGAGATCGAGATCATCCTGGTTAACACGGTGAAACTGCATCTCTACTAAACATACAAAAAATCAGCCAAGCGTGGTGGCAGGCACCTGTAGTCTCAGCTACTCGGGAGGCTGAGGCAGGAGAATGGCGTGAACCCAGGAGGCAGAGCTTGCAGTAAGCTGAGATTGCGCCAGTGCACTCCAGCCTGGGTGACAGAGCGAGACTCTGTCTTAAAAACAAACAAAAAAAAATTTGGTAATCTAGATGTAGACTTTAAGAATTTATTTTTAGAGCTGGAAAGCCTAACTTTCCAGCTCAAGATACTCATTGAGCATCTACTATGTAGTCAGATTACATATTAATCTGATTAATAGTGCTAGATACTCTTAGGGACACAAAAATATAAAGCATTACCATTCAAAAAGCTGTCCTTACAGAGAGAAGATATACTCTCATAAAGTTATTAAATATTTGGTAGTATATGACTATGATATGATAGTACATTGCTGTAAGATGATGTCTTAGTTTAGGTTTTCAACCATGCATTCAAATTCTTGACTCAGTATTTTTTTTTTTAAGATACAGAAAATTTTATTGTGGTAATTCAGAGGACCTTGATTAGGCATGGAGATAATAAACAAATTAAGGATATAATTGGAGGAAGTGCCACCTTTACATAATGGCTCTGCAAAGATTATATTCAAATAATTATCCTTCATTTGTAGGCTGATAAAATAATTAAGATAACAAATATGACCCTAAAACTGTTTTAGAAAATTACTACTTTAACAACAATAAAAATCATCCTATTTACAAACAAAAATAAAAATTATTATTACTCCTAGTACCACCATTTGTTGAGCACTTATTTTGGGCCACTCATTGCATCCATCAGGCAATATATACTTTATTCCATTTAATCCTCACCTCAGTACTATGATTTAAGAGATACTATCCTCATTATACAAATGTGGAGCAGTCCCTCTGTTTTCTTTTGTGGAACCACATCTCCTCTATTGTTTATCCGTATGGCTCAGGTAGGGACTTAGTATTAATAGCAACAACACAATACACAAACACACACACTTCCCAGAGTACCAAAGCCCTTCCAACATTGTTCATCTCTCCTGAAGTCTGTCTTTACTTTCTGTCTAGTGAAAATAAACCCTCTTTGTGACTGCTTCTGTTTTTCCAAACTCCCACCTTGAAGATTTTATAGTAATATTTTGATCAAACAGGTAATACCTTTACATAAAGAACATTTCGGCCAGGCACGGTGGCTCACGTCTGTAATCTCAGCACTTTGGGGAGGCCAAGACAGGCAGATCACCTGAGGTCAGGAGTTTGAGACCAGCCTGATAAACATGGCGAAACGCCGTCTCTACTAAAAATACAAAAATTAGCCAGGAGTGGTGGCACATGCCTGTAATCCCATCTATTCAGGAGGCTGAGGCAGGAGAATCGCTTGAACCCGTGAGGTGGAGGTTGCAGTGAGCCAAGATTGTGCCACTGCACTCCAACCTACGCAACAGAGTGAGACTCTGAGAAAGAAAGAAACAGAGAGAGAGAGAGAGAGAGAAAGAAAGAAAGAAAGAGAGAGAGAGAGAGAGAGAGAAAGAAAAGAAAGAAAGAAAGAAAGAAAGAAAGAAAGAAAGAAAGAAAGAAAGAAAAAGAAAGAGAAAGAAAGAGAAAGGAAGGAAACAAGGAAGGAAGGGAGGAAGGGAGGGAGAGAAGGAGGGAGGGAGGGAGGGGAGGAAAAGGGAGGAAGGAAGGAAGGAAGGGCATTTCTACTCTGTCTACTCTGAACACTAACTTTTGAAGTAAAAAAAAAATGTTTTTTTCTGTTTTTAAAAATTTCCTGTAGCTTACATACAACTGCCAGCTATGCCAGCTAGGTATTACTCAAAATTTATATTTATTACTCTTTTGACAATAGCTTGAATTTATATATTGATTTCATTTTTAAATTTTTATTTTCTAATGAACAACAAAAAATAAATAAGGCCCCATTACAGAATGGATTACAAATGTAATATTTAACCTAAATTAATTCTCACAACAGATTATGTCGTCGATAAAAATGAGCCTCAGATAGGTTTGAAAACTTAACCATAGCTTTAGAGTTCAAAAATGGCAGGGGATGAATCCAAATCCATTTTTTAAAGAGAAAACCTGGCATTGTTTCCACCACTCATTTGTGCAGAGTTCGGGCTTTTATCCTATTGAGCTAGGGAGATGAAGCCTGAGAGCCAGACCCAGGTAGTTACGGCAAAGCAGGCAGGTGGCTTTCGCCATAGGGTTGTGTGCTGGCAGGCCCCATAAAAGGATGAGAACAAAATACAAAGATATTCAGAGCCAGTATAACCTAGCGGTTCTTAGGAAAGAATAAACTCAACAGCTTTGAATATGTACGAGAGTTTATAGTCTTACAGCTAGGAAAAATAACACAAAAGGCTCCAGACTTTTCTTTTTTTAAAACTGATATAGAGGTATTCAATACCCGAAAACAATAGGAAATGATTAGTCTCACCTTGGGTTGTTGGTTCCTCAGGCTTAGAATAGTCCCCAAGAATAAGCTCCAAACTGTGAAAGGGAGGGAAACAAGAAAACATTTGGTGCCTGAGGTTTAAAACAGTAGTCAAAGTTGACAGAGTCAAGAAGGTTGGTATTTCCAAATAATGTAAGTTTTATTAGAAAATGAAGTTATGTATCATTCATATACTGAATACTTATATTAGATTTTTCTACACAGCTGAATAATGTGAAAGAAAATTAGAAAAATTAACATTTTACATGCATTAGAATTCACTAAATTTTAGTTAAAACTTCCAGTACAGATTCGAGAGTAAAAGTGTATTCTTATACAATGTATAAATTATAACATATTCAAAAAGATGTAACATTACGTTATGAAATCTATGGCATATTTTCATATTTTCCCTCAAAACTAGCAAAATTCCCAGTGTTAATTTTAGAAAAAATTGTGTATTCTTTTAATTAATCAATACTTATAAATATAAACCATGATGAGTACTATGTAAACTAAATTTTAAATTAATTTGAAAAATACAACTGTATTTCCTGATATGAGCATGAATTATCAGTTTGTGAAACTCAGATGCCACCTATTGTTTGGAAAAATAAACACAACTTTTTTTGAGTTCTATTTTTGCTAACTTACATGTCTCTGGAAAAATATGAATATTGTACCCATAAAAAGTCTGGGCTCTCCAACCATATAGAATAGTTAATTTTCAAGGCCATACGCATATAAAGTAAAGTGCCCCTAAATTTATCTTAGGTTGGAAGAAATAAACTATCCTTAAGTACCCATATCTTCAGAGGAGCAGGTTTTAGCCTAGTAACTTTTTTCATATGTATATAATTTTTAATTAAAATTTTTTACATTAAATTATTGTTAATTTGCATTCAGTTATAAAAAAATACAGAGAAATCCCATTTACTCTTTACCCTGGTTTCACCCATGCAAAATGACTAAAATATCATCATTGACATAGTCAAGATATAGAACATTTTTGTAATCACAAGGATCCCATATGTTGCCTTTTTGTAGCCATCCCTACATCCTTCCTGCCCTGCACTACTTCCTTAACCCTTTGCAACCACTAATCTGTTCTCCATTTCTATAATTTTGTCATTTCAAGAATGTTCTATAGATGGAATCATACAATATAAGAACCTTTGGGTCTTGCTTTTTTCATTAAGTGTAAGTCTCTGGAAATTTACACAGGTCATGGTATGTACCAACAGTTTGTTCTGCTTTATTGCTAAGTAGTATTGTATGATATGGATGTACCACATCCATCTAGGTCATCTGACAACCTAGATGTCCATAAAGGGGTGTAGTAGTATTGTATGATATGGATGTACCACAGTTAAACAAACTTAGGAAAGGATCACAGTTAAACTGTGGCACATCCATATCATACAATACTGCTCCTCCCCTTTAAGGACATTTAGGTTGTTTCTAGATTGTGGATATTACAAATAAAGCTGCTATGAACATTGGTGTACAGTTTTAATTTCCATTTCCCTAATGGCTAATGATGTTGAACATCTTTTCATCTGCTTATTTGCCATATATATATCCTCCTTGGTGATGTGTCTTTTCATTGATTTTGTCCTTTTACTAATTGATTGTTCTTTAAGTTTTGAGTGTCCTCAATATAATTTACATACTAGTCTTTTATCAGATATGTAATTTGCAAATATTTTCTCCTATAATAGATTGTGGCTTGAATTTTTATTCCCTATAACGACGTCTTTCACATAGCAAAAATTTCCAAATTTAATGCAGTCTAATTCACTGAATTTTCCTTTAATGGACCAGGCCTCTGGTGTCAGGTCTAAGACCTCTGGCTTAGCCCAAACCTAAAGATTTTCTCTATGATTTTTTTTTCTAAAAGTTTTACATTTTTATGCTTTATATTTAATTCCATGATCCATTTCTAGTTTATTTGCATACAAAGTGAGACTTAGCTCAAAGTTCATTTTTTGGCCTATGGATGTATGATAGCTCCAGCTCTCTGTTTGTAATCTGTCCTCTATTGAATTGCTTTTCTGTCTTCGTCAAAATTCAAGCATATTTGCATAGGTCTATTTCTGGGTTCTCTCTTCTGTTTCATTAATTTATGTATCTATCCCTCCACGAATACTACTACACAGACTTGCTTACTAGAGCCATATAATGTCTTTGAATCAGGTAGAATGATTCCTTCCACTTTATTCTTTTTTCAAAATTGTTTTAGCTATTCTAGTTCTTTTGCCTTTCCATATAAATTTTAGAATAATCTTGTCTATATCTACAAAATATCTTGCTGGGATATTGATGAGATTGCATTAAACCTACATATCTACTTGAAAAGAATTGTCATCTTCACCATGCTGAGTCTTCCAATCTACAAACACATTATGTCTCTCCATTTATTGAGATGCTGTGTTCCTCTCATCAGCATTTTGTAGTTTTCAGCATATAAGTCCTGTACATGTTTTCATTTACAACTATTTCATAGAAGTGTTTTCTTTATGAAAAAGTATTTTTAATTTTTATGCCCACAGGTTCATTGCTAGTATACAGAAATACAATTAATTTTGTATGTTTAGTTTGTATCTTGCGACTTTGACGAACTCACTTATTAATTCTAGTAGCTGGCTTTTGTTTGTTGGTTTAGGTTCCTTCAGATTTCATATGTAGACAATTATGTCATCTACAAATCAGAACAATTTTATTTTTTTCTTCACAATCTTTATGCCTTTTATTTTCTTTTCATGCCTTTATTATGCTGTCTAGAAATTATATGACCATGTTGACTACGTGAAGCCATCTGAATCTCGAGTTCTCTTTGTGAAAAATATTTATCTACATTTCTTTAGTATGTAGAAGTCTATTTAGTTTATATGTTTCTTCACATGTAGCATAAGAATCTTCAAACAATATACTTCCACATATTTTCTTTCCTGCATTGTCCTTTATTTTTATGCATGTTACATCTCTATATTTACATATGTTATAAACTTTTAAAAGGTAAACTTCTTATTTACTCTCACATTTCCCATTTCTACAATCCTTTCTATTTATTTATTTGTTTTAATTTTTTTTTTTTTTTTGAGACAGAGTTTCACTCTTGTTGCCCAGGCCGGAGTGCAATGGCACGATCTTGGCTCACCGCAACCTCCACCTTCCACCTTCCAGGTTCAAGTGATTCTCCTGCCTCAGCCTCCCAAGTAGCTGGGATTACAGGCATGGACCACATCGCCCGGCTAATTTTGTATTTATAGTAGAGACGGAGTTTCTCCATGTTGGTCAGGCTGGTCTGGAACTCCCGACCTCAGGTGATTCGCCCACCTCCGCCTCCCAAAGTGCTGGGATTACAGACATGAGCCACCGCACCTGGCCTCTACAATCCTTTCTTTGTTCATATCTAACTTTCTATCTCTTGTTATACTCCTGTCTAAAGAACTTCTTTTAACATTTCATGTCTGCTGGAAAGGAGTTATTTCTGCTTTTTGCTGTGTAAAAAAAGACTTTCACCTTCCTTTTTTAGGGATATTTTCACTGGGTATATAATTCTAGGGTTTACTTTTTTTCTTTCAAGCTGTATTATTAAGATGATGCCCTCTATTGTCTTCTGGATTGCATAGTTTCTAAAAAGAACTCTGTTGTAATTTCTTCCTTGGTTACTCTCTAAGTTAACTTTCTTTTTTTTTAGGCTGCCTTCTGCTACACATATAAACCAAGTTGAAAAAATATTTTTGATCTCTAAATTTTCACAAAAGTCAAGTATTCTTAATTATAACCATTCATAAATAGTTTTGACATTCCTGTCATTTCTGATACACAAATCCATTTGAAGTAAATAATTTACCACATAAAATGTACATAAATATCATGTTCACAAAGGTGATGAATTCGTTTTACTCCTGTAAAGAAAATATGCCATTATTTTTAATATTTCTCTGTGTGACAACATAAAGAATCACTGTGCTTCCTGCCTGTTTTTTAAGATATTTCTTTAAATGTCAAACAAGTTGCTTTAAAGTGATAGAAACGGATTCCTTTGGTGGAATTAAGCTTTATTTTCTCACTGACTATACCTCTAAAATTAAGGAAGAACAAATACATTTATTCTTCTGATCCATACTTTTGATATCACACATACAAAGCTCAGGATAGTGTATAAGTCAAGATAGATTGTATTTTGCTATGGCTAAAGAAACTTCAGTGGCTTAAAACAACAAAGATTTATTTATGTCCATGCTAGATGTCCACCGCAGGTTGACTGAAGCTCTGCTCTGTGTCATCTACACTCCAAGATCCTGGTCACAGCAAGTGATCATACCAAACTTCACATCAAGGACATGGCAAGATATTTCTGAAACATACTGCATTCTACTACAGTTAGACATATTACATGTAGACAAAAACTCAAATTTTCAAGTCTGGGTCTTCTCACAGGTATTTAATATAGATTGGTCAATTCTGTGAGGTTTGGTATGTTTTTATATGTAATCATTGACAGTATTACTATTAAAAGGCTCTTTCACTTGCAGCGTCTGAGATTTGGGAACAATGTAAACAAGACTGAGACAGATTCAGTTAACTGAATATCACAACGTATTTTTTTATCTTATTCTATCTATCAGCACTTAGGGAGCTTCTACGCCTGACTCAAAGGAGGAAACGTTCACAAAATTTGAAAAGTGAATGTGTATCTATACTATATACCAGCTGCAATTTCCTTATAATTCTATGCCTTCTATTACCATAACAATTCAGGCTCTTTAATGTATAGATAGAATCACTATTAAGAGAGAGGCCAAAGGAAAGTGTTACTATTTTCCTTTTCTGGTGTATTACCCAAACTGTTGTTTTTTTCTCAGGAATTCTTGATATCCCATTATATATGGGAGCAATTAACTGATAAAATTCCAGTGGCCCGCTTAACTCCCACCTTCCAAGTTCCTATTCTTATACTTTGTCTTCCTTAAGATAATACTTTGATTCTTTAACTATAATAATAGAAATATTATAATACTTATAATTATGTATTTATAAATTACATATTTATATATTTATATTTATAATTTATAAATTTATAATTTATACATATATTAAAATATATATGTAATTTATATATAGTTTATAAATTATATATAAATTATAAATTATAAATATATATTTATAAATATATTATTTATATATTTATACATATATTTTATATATTTATAAATATATAATTTTATATATTTATACATATATATTATATATTTATACATATATAATATTATATATGTATAAATATATAATTTTTATATATTTATAAATATTTATAAAAATTATAATAATAGAAATATTCTATTCAGGGCATCAGAAGACCAACATTTCCCATAAGGCTTCAGGGCTTCTGCTGGCATTTGGATTCTTCAACAATCCCAATAGTTTTGAGTCCCAGAGTAGGTGTGGTTCACTTGACTATGAAGGCTTTCAGTGTACAGCCAAGTCTTTTGAATAAAGTTGGATGATCCTTCTACCAAGTGTGTGCGTATGTGACTAAAAGAAGGGTAGGGTACAGATATCTAAACCTGAAGCAGAAATCAGAAATCCATCGTGACATTCTATCACATCTTAAATTTATCTTACTTAAATAGAAAGGAGAAGCTTCTTACTAACTTTTAAGAAACATGAAAATACACAAGGATGCCTGTAATCCCAGCACTTTGGGAGGCCGAGGCGGGCGGATCACGAGGTCAGGAGATCGAGACCATCCTGGCTAAAACGGTGAAACCCCGTCTCTACTAAAAATACAAAAAATTAGCCGGGCGTAGTGGCGGGCGCCTGTAGTCCCAGCTACTTGGGAGGCTGAGGCAGGAGAATGGCGTGAACCCGGGAGGCGGAGCTTGCAGTGAGCCGAGATCCCGCCACTGCACTCCAGCCTGGGCGACAGAGCGAGACTCCGTCTCAAAAAAAAAAAAAAAAAAAAAAAAAGAAAATACACAAGGATGATTCATAAAACACATGTTCCCCTTCCTTATTGTCTCTGAATGGTCAATCTCCAGAAAGCAGGAAAGAATTCTTACAGTATCATACTTGTAAATAATAGATAATCACTGTAGTCTATTAATCTCATGTGCTTCTAATAAGAAGAAAAATTACACTTGATGTGGATGGCTCAGTTGCATTTTCTCCAGAATCTCCATTATGTATACATTCTTCTCAAAATCCAGCATTAATTCCTCAAATATTTTAGTTACATCGACTACATAGATTTTTATACATATAATTTTTACCTTATTTTTTATTTATGCCTGAATTATCAGGGACATAATCAACATTAAACAAACAAAAAGGAATGCAAACTGTCTCCAGATACACTTCTTGTTGACAATTGAGCAGGTTATTTCAAGGATAAAGGCAGACCTATTTTAATGTGGAGATTGGATCAGTAATCAAAAAGCGTCTCAACAAAGAAAAGCCCAGAGCCAGATGGCTTCACTAGTGAATTCTACTAAACATTTAAACAAGAGTTAGTGTCAGCCTTTCTCAAATTCTTCCCCAAAGTGAAGACAAAGGAGCACTTGCAAACTCATTAAGCCAGCATTCCCTGATATCAAAGACAAACAACACAAGAAAAGAAAACTACAGGTCAACATGTCTGATTAACATAGAGGCAAAAATTCTCCACAAAATACTAGTAAATTTAATTCAGCAGCACATTAAAAGATCATATATCATATCAAGTGGGATTTATTTCTAGGATGCAAGGGTGGTTCCATATCCAAAAATCAGTCAGTATAACCATGCCCATTAACAGAACTAAGAGTAAAACTCCCATGACCCTCATAATAGGTACAGAAAAAGGCTTTTGACAAAATTCAACACCATTTCATGATGAAAACTCTCAACAAACTAGAAATATAAGGAAATTACCTAAATATAATAAAGGCCATATTTGAAAAGCCTATAGCTTACATCATTCCCACTGGTGAAAAACTGAAAGCTATTCCTGTAAGATCAGGATCAAGGAAAGGATTCCCATTTTCAGCACTTCTATTCAATCAAGTACTGAAGTCCTTGACAGAGGAATTATACAATAAGAAAGAAAGAAAAGTCATCCAAATCAGAAAGGAGAAAGTAAAATTATTTGTTTGCAGATGACATAATCTTCTAAATAGAAAACTCTAAAGACTGCAAAGAAACTTTGAATTAATAAATTCAGTGAAGGTGCAGGATGTGAAATCAATATACGAAAAGCAACTACACTTCTGTTTACCAACAACCAGCTACCTGAAAAATAAATTAGGAAAACAATTCCTTTTATAACACCAAAAAGAACAAACTTAGCTAGGGAGGTGAAAGGCTTACTAAAAGCTATAAAACATTGATAAACTCAAAGTTTTATATGTCAGAGTCCTGGCACAGGGTGGTGGACTGTCTGCTCAGGGTCTCAAATCAAGGTGTCCACAAGCTGCTTTCTCAGCTATTGCTCAGAGTTCTCTTCCAAGCTCATATAGGTGCAGAAAAAAATTCAATAATTTGTATCTGCAGGTTTGAGGTCCCCATTTTCTTGCTAGCTATTGCTCATGGGATGCTCTCAGTTCCTAGAAACTACTCTCAGAT
The DNA here is from genome assembly GCF_000001405.40 of Homo sapiens. Classification (NCBI taxonomy): domain Eukaryota; kingdom Metazoa; phylum Chordata; class Mammalia; order Primates; family Hominidae; genus Homo; species Homo sapiens. Next base: position 118,252,281 of record NC_000007.14, on the reverse strand, counting down.
CTCGCCACATGGCCCCCTTCATACTCAAAGCCAGCAAGAGAGTTTCCCTCACCTCAGATCTTTCTTATACTTGGATCTCTGACTTTTGTGTCTGAACTCTGGACCTAGATTTAAAGGGCCCATGTGATTAGATCAGGCCAAAACAGGTTTATCTCCCTTTTGCCATTTAAGTAACATAATTACAGGAGTGACACTTCATCATATTCACAATTTCCAAACACACTCCAAAGAAGAATACATAATGGCATAGGTCACAGGTGGTCATTTTACAATTCTGCCTATCACACAGGGCATGGGGAACCATAAAAGCTAAAGCATAATTTCTCAAAGAAGAAGGTAAGGTAAGAGATTTTCAATGTGTTATCTCTCCAGTTAGCTAAAAAAATCTTATAGACCATAAGATATTGTTTATCTTAGTACTGCCATGCATAATACATGCCTGACATGTAACAGAAACTCAGTATTTGTTGAATGGAACACTTGACTTCCCTTTGTGAATACAGACTTCTAAAGCATGCATTGATTAACCTTACTCTCCAGCACCTTCAATTGCCTTAATTGTTCAAGGCAATCAGGTGTCCTAGATTCCACTTGAAGTTCCCTCTAGTTGAATACACCAGCAAAATCCCAAAGGAAATAGTTCCTAGTAAAAGCAGCATAGCTTCACTCACTATGTCCGTGAATTATGAAAACCCTGAATATGAAAAAATGCAAAAGTAGCAAATCAGTCAACACACATTCACATGTAGTCTAGATGCATAAATTGGTCATGTAACATAGACATTCTTTGGTAATATGTGAACAAGTCCTCTGACTTCTAGCCACTCTTTTTGCTAACTCTACTAAATAAAAATAATGAAGTATAAAAATTGTAAATGCTTCAACCACTGAAAGACACGTATAGTTCACTAAACATTTTATTCATTCATTCAACAAATATTCCATTCAACAAATATTTAATTTTAATACGTGCCTACTAGGTGCTAAGAAATGTAGTAGATATGGGAGAGGATACAAGTTCATTCAAGATAACAATTCTTTTATATATAAATCAGAACTGATTTATAAATCCCTGTGTACTAAAATAGCTTAAAACTTGAAAACTTGGAAAAAAAGTTTTCTCCCTACAAGATATTGTGAAAAGATCAAATTGGAAACTTTATTTTGTAAAACTGAGCAGCATTTAGATTGTCCACTAGATGGCAAATAGTTACACAGGGAAATACCCAATAGAACAAATACTTCATAGAATTATAGATTTTGTGATAAAGAAAAGGCAGGGTTTTTTAACAAATGAAGCAAATGCCAAATAAAATATTCTAAAAGCACCTTAAATCTTAATCTTATCCAGAATAAAATCCTTCGATATTCCTATTACCTTATCATTGCTTATGAATCAAAAACACGGCCAAAAAGAGAAAAAAGACAAGAAATGAAATGTTATATAAAGGAAATCTTTCTTAACTATAGGGATTAAATAAAAGGTGCACAATTATTTTTCAGTCAAATAGGTGTAAATAAGATAAAAATGTGCCATAAGCAACTCTGTGAGTAAAACAGTCTAGATTGTAAAAGACTGTAATCACTTATTAATAATAACTATGTCTAGAAGAGAAATAATCATATGAAGAGGACCTATTCAAATATGTGGTAGTTCACTGAAGGATAAATATATTATTGGGGGTGGAGCTGATTGCTATAAGAAATCACTGAAAAAATTTGTTGAACCAAAGTTAAATCAACTACAAAGTATGTCATACGCAATAAATGCATATGAATGTGTATTTGTAGTCTTCATATTTTAAGTATTAATGAAGGTAATTAAGAAAAAACAGGAAACAGGAAAGGATAGGCCATGCATTTTATACTATTGTCCCAAAAGGAAATCAAATGGCTAATAAACATGAAGATGTTCCCCCACCACTAGTATCCAACTGGTAGACTCTGAAGATTGCTAATACCCAGTACTGCCAGATGAGAAGAGAGGCACAGGCAAGGTTGATGGGTAAGTCAAATTTATTGTCTTAATAAGTATATAAACTGATCCCAAGTTTGTATTTTCTAATGCATCAAAAGAAAATGACAAAATAAATGCAGTAAAGAACAGCAAAGAATCAGCAGAATCAAGATAGGATACTGGCCAGCAAGCAAGAGGGCAAGAAACTTATTTATCATATTTAGCATTAGGAGATCATCTCACCCTAGAAGTCCAAGGCATCCTCTATGATTGAACACAAATGTGTTAATCTAAACTTTTGCTAATATTTAAATAAATCTGTGATGTACACCAGTGTATATAAATATTTGCCTTATTTTCTAGTCATTTTCTTAGAATATATTCCAAGATGTGGAATGGCCAGGTCCACTGGCAATGATATCCTTTTAACAGTACAGTTGCTGATTTACAATAGTCTTGAGTTATCCAACACAAAAGAGTTCATATTTCCAAAAATAGATTCTTCCACAAAAATGTCCTTAGAATTATTTTTGAGATGTTATATCAAATATTAAAAGTTATCATGTTCAAAAATGTAGTGAGTTCTGAGGCAAACAGTGTTGCTAGCTTCTTAGGCAAGCTTTACAGCAAGAGTTTATGTGTTTACTGATTAGATACACTAATGTGGGGAAAATATTTGACTCAGGTTATAAGAGATCCTCTGACCTCTATGTCCACTGCTCCCACATACTGCCTGCCACAATGAACAATCCATATGTGACTTTCAAATGAATAGAACTGACAGCTGTTTTTTGTTAACAATGGTTATAGTCTCATTACAAAAAAAAGGATTATTGTGCATCTTATATCATATGGATCCAGTCGTTTCCATTTAATCTCTTTATTTTTATAGCAGCATAGCCCTATAATACTGCTAATTAAGGTACCAAGTTAGAGTGAACATTGTTTTCATCCTGTGAAATGTCTATGTTTCAAAATATTTCATGTATGTGAGGATGGGGGAGTAAAATCTCAGCCAGATTTTTGAGCCCCTAAGTCTCTTCTCAATAACATTTTAGAATTTTAGGCATTTTTAGAAGATATAGTCTCTTTTTTAGTGTAAGTTTTATTTAAGTCCACATTAAAAATACATTGGCATGGTCTAAACTTTAAACAATTCAACAAGCTGACAGCCAAATCATGAATTAACTCCCATTCACAATTGCCCCCAAAAGAAAAAAATACCTGGGAATATAGCTAACAAGGGAAGTGAACGACATCTACAAAGAGAACTACAAACCACTGCTTGAAGAAATCAAGGATGACATAAACAAATGGAAAAACATTCTATGCTCATGGATAGGAAGAATCAACATCATGAACATGGCCATACTGTCCAAAGTAATTTATAGATTCAATGCTATTCCCATTAAACTACCATTGGCATTCTTCACAGAATTGGAAAAAAACTATTTTAAAATGTATATGGAATCAAAAAAGAGCCCAAATAGCCAAGGCAATCCCAGGCAAAAAGAATGAAGCTGGAGGCATCACACTACCTGACTTTATACTAATAACTGAAAAAGCATGGTACTGGTACAAAAACAGACACATTGACCAATGGAACAGAATGGAGAACCCAGAAATAATACCACACACCTACAACTATCTGATCTTTGACAAACCTGACAAAAAGCAATGAGGAAAAGATTCCCTATTTAATAAATGGTGCTGGGATAACTGGCTAGCCGTATGCAGAAAATTGAAACTGGACCCCTTCCTTACATCATATACAAAAATCAACTCAAGATGGATTAAAGACTTCAATGCAAAACCCAAAACTATAAAAACCATAGAAGAAAACCTAGGCAATACCATTTAGGACATAGGCATGGACAAAAATTTCATGACGAAGATGCCAAAAGTAATTGCAACAAAAGCAAAAACTGACAAATGGGATCTAATTAAACTAAAGAGTTTCTGCACAGCACCTCCCCCGCCCCCACAAAAAAAAACCTATCAAGAGTAAACAGACAATTTACAGAACAGGATAAAATTTTTGCAAACCATGTGTCTGACAAAAACCCAATATCTAGCATTTATAAAAAACTTAAACAATTTTATAAGAGAAAAAAAACAACCACATTAAAAAGTAGGCAAAGGACATGAATACATACTTCTCAAAAGAAGATATACATGCAGCCAACAATCACATGAAAAAAGCTCAATCAAAACCACAGTGAGATAGCATCTCACACCAGTCAGAGTGATTATTATTAAAAAGTCAAAAAATAACAGATGCTGACAAGGTTGTGGAGAAAAAGGAATTCTTTTACACTGGTGTTGAGAGTATAAATTAGTTCAACCATTGTGGGAGACAGTGTGGTGACTCCTCAAAGACCTAAAGACAGAAATACTGTTCAACCCCACAATCCCATTGCTGGTTATATACCCAAAGGAATATAAATCATTCTACTATAAAGACACATGCATGCATATGTTCATTGCAGTGCTATTCACAATAGGAGACATGGAATCAATCCAAATGCCCATCAATGACAGACTGGATAAAGAAAATGTGGTATATATACACCATGGAATACTACGTAGCCATAAAAAAGAACAAGATCATGTCCTTTGCAGTGACATGGATGGAGCTGGAGGCCATAATCTTTAGCAAACTAACCCAGGAACAGAAAACCAAATACTGCATGCCCTCACTTATAAGCAAGAGCTAAATTATGAGAATGCATGGACACATAGAGGGAAACAACACACACTGGGGCCTATCAGATGGTGGATAATGGGAGGGAGAGGATCAGGAAAAATAACTAATGTGAACTAGGCTTTAAGAAATCTCTCAGGAAAAAAAGTCCCTCAGAAAAATAAAACAGAAGCCAGAATTGCTAAATATATTCTCTAGAATGTCCAGTCTTTCACCAAAAAAAAAATTAGACATGCAACTCTGAGAAAATTTGAGCATCAAATTAAGTTACACAATCCACTGAAATACGAAACTACGAATTCAAGTTCATATAAACGAATGGAAAATGTAATGAGGGTCAGGATCTTTACATTGTTTCAAAATACCTCTCCACAAGATACATATTATTACAAACAGAAAAAAAAAAGAGCAACTTTACATTGCAGAAGGCTGGCTGACAATACCACCTTAATCCAGTGATCAAAGTAAACTGCAAATTGAAATGGTGTGGCACAAGAGAGGATGTAACAACACTTCTGAGATAATTTTACGAAACACCCATAACATGGATCCAATCATAAAGAATTACCAAACTCAAAATCAGAACATCCTATCAAACAACTGGCTTATAATTCCTAAAGTGTCAAGGTCATAAAAATGAATGAAATACCAAATATTTATTGAAAAATTAAGGAGAATCAAGAGACATGATAGAGGCAATATTTGATTATTTTGCTATAAAGAACATTATTGGATCATTTGGGAAAATATGAATGAAATCTGAGAAGTGTATGTTAGTATTGTATCAATATTAACCATTCCCCAATTTAGATGGTTATATTGTGATTATGCAGAAGAATGTTCTTGTTCGAGGAAAATACACACAAAAGTCTTAGGGGTGATACAACATAAGGTCGGCAACTCACACAATGGTTCAGAAAAAAAAAATTGTACTGAGAAGACAATTTTTCTCTAAGTTTAAGATTGTTTCAAAATTTAAAATAAAATCAGTAAGTAATCTCCAATCCACTCCACTGCACCTGTGGGTAGCAGAATAATGGCCTGTCAAAGATATCCATATCCTAATGCCCAGAACCTGGGAATATGTTATTTTAAAAGGCAAAAATGATGGAAAGATGTGATTAGATTAAGAGTTTATAACCATCCCCAATTTAGATGGTTATATTGTGATTATGCAGAAGAATCTTCTTGTTCGAGGAAAATACAGACAAAAGTCTTAGGGGTGATACAACATAAGGTCAGCAACTCACACAATGGTTCAGAAAAAAAAATTGTACTGAGAAGATAATTTTTCTCTAAGTTTGAGATTGTTTCAAAATTTAAAATAAAATCAGTAAGTAATCTCCAATCCACTCCACTGCACCTGTGGGTAGCAGAATAATGGCCTGTCAAAGATATCCATATCCTAATGCCCAGAACCTGGGAATATGTTATTTTAAAAGGCAAAAATGATGTAAAGATGTGATTAGATTAAGAGTTTCAAGATGGGAGGCAGGCTATCACGGATTTTCCAAGTGGACTGAATGTAATCACAAGCATCTTTATAAGTGAAAGGAGGAGGCAGGAAAGTCAGAGAAGATTTGAGGACAGAAGCAGAGGTCAGAGTGATATAATTGCTGGGGATCAGGAGCCAAGGATTGTGGGCAGCATTTAGATGCTACAAAAGGCAAGGAAACAAACTCTCCCCCAAAGCCTCCAGAAAGGAACACATCCTGCCAACATCTTGTGGTTACCCCCCTAGATCCACTTTTTACTTCTGACCTCCAAAACTGTAAGATAATCCATTTGTGTTGTTTCAAGTCACTGCATTTGTGGTAGTTTGTTACAGCAACAATAGCAAACTAATAGAACTCCTTAGGAAAGAAATGTCAGGTATTTCTTTCAAAGCAAAAAAGTGATTATGTAAACGTATGATTCATTAAATCTCAGTAAAGACTGCAGAATAAAAGCATCATCTATGTAACACATGAAATGGTTTTCCTTGCAGCTAGTAAAAGAATCTTTTGTGGGGAGAGGCTTTATTTCTAGAGAATGAAAGTGGGTAAGCACACCACAAGTGAGATGCACACTGTTGATCTGACAAGCTGACCCCATGATTTCTGTTATCAGTCATCTTTTTGCTGGGGACAATAAACAGTCTCACAGTATCAGTGGTTTAAATGCCAAACATTTATTTCTTTCTTTTGAGTACTGGCTGTGGCTCTGCTGAGCCCGGCAGGGTTCCTCTTTTCAGCTGGGCTTAATTCAGACATGCCCCATGTGTGTCTCATTGGGAGACCAAGGCTGGAGAAGTAGCTGCTATCTAACATGCTCTCCTTGGGGAGGATGGCAAGAGTGCAAGAGGGTGATGGGCTTCTGATAAGAAAAAAAAAGGCAACGTGTCACTTCCACTTACCTTTGAAAAATTAGAAAAATGTGCCCTTTCTTTGACAGACTTGTGTCAAAGCACATGGTTTAGTCAGCATCACTCCCTCCACGAGGGTGCTCTAAATCTGCACAACTTTATGCCATAACTCTAAGTTGGTTAGGGGAAGAGATCATTCATGAAGAAATGTATTTCTCCTAGCTGTCCACATGAGTGAGAAAAGTAGTCTACTTATATGGTTGCTTAAAGGAAGTGTACATGTTTACCTAAAGTTGGGTATGTATTAAATAGTTGTTTTCTGTTGTTAAACTTCTTAAAGGAAAAGTAAATTTGTTCTGTTTTAGATATTACCAGGCACACTAAAAAGTAATTCACAAGTTGACAATATTCTAAGAATTGAAATACTTGAGAGAATTCACAAAATTGTTCCTAGAGATGTAACAGTAATGGAGAAGCAGAGCTGGCAAAATCAGATCAAATATCTGTGCACTACATCTGCACTACAGCATACCATTTTAGAGTACACATTTTCCCCAAAGAGTAGTCAACACAAATTCTATTATAAAATACGCAAAGTTCTTCATTCCACCTAATTTATTTTTTTTCTATTTTGTGACAAGGTCAGGCTGGAGTACAGTGGCAAAATCACAACTGATTGAGGCCTCAACCTCCTAGGCTCAAGCAATCGTCCCACTTCAGCAGGAGTCTCCTAAGTACGTGAGACTACCAGCATGTGCCACCATGCTTGGCTAATTTTTAAATTTTTTGTAGAGATGGGATGTCATTATGTTGCCCATGCTGGTCTCAAACTCCTGGGCTCCAGTGATCCTCCCACCTCAGCCACTCAAAGTGTTGGGATTACAGGTGTGAGCCAACGTGCCAAGCCTAATTTCTTATTAGAAGTACTATGTCAAAATTCCACCTACCCTTCAGAACATGGTTAAAATCTCATCTACCCCACCAATGTTAACCTTGTGGTAACTTCCTCTCTCCTCTGATTCTTGGGTGTTTAGCTTCTGCCTCTATTATGAACTTTTTATTATGGTTTACTAAGTTTTGATTGGGAGACCTAGAGAAACCCTACTTATTCTATGAGCCCAGCCAAAAAGTTCCTTTTTAGCTGAAATCACCCCTGACCCTCCCTAATCTACGCTAGGTTTACCACTCCCTCCTTTTCTGCTAATGGCAAAGGTACATTACACATGTTCTAACTCTCATAAAGACTGGGAGTGGGGAAACTAAACATTTGTGAGCTCATTTAAGGCAGAGTATATAAAAACATCTTTTTCATCTTTGGTCCCCAGCATATAATATAGAATCTAGATCAGAGTTCTCAGCCGTGAAACTGTTGACATTTGGGGCCAGACAATTACTTGTTGTGGGGACAGTCCCATGCATGACAGGATATTTAGCAGTATTGATTCTCAGTCTTGACAATCAAAAATCTCAGCAGACATTGCCAAATATCCCCTGGGGTCAAAATTGCTCCCAGTTAAGAATCACTGATTGAAACCATAGCAGAAATTAAATGTTTGTTGACTTGAAGTCAGGAATTGTCTGGTTTTTTTCCCCCTCCATTTTAGCTCTTCAATATCACCTAGTGCTAGAAATAAGTGAAACAAACATACTTAAATAAAAGAGTGGTTTAAACAAGTTTCAATTTCAAAGAAAATCTTCCTTCTGAGCCATTAAAAGTAGAGCTTACAAGGATGATATACATTCATTCATGAGAGAAATGACATGGCATATTGGTTTATGGTACAAATTCTGGCATGGGACTGGCTAGGTTCAAATCCAGAGAGCATGGGTTTATACACCAGCTCCCAGTGTTCTAGCTCAGTAACCTCAAGCAAGTCATTGAACCATGTTGCACCTCAATGTTCTCATCTTAAAATGAGGATATAAATACTTCCTACCTCAACAAAACTGTGCAAAGATCATGAGGTAAGACATGTAAAGTTACTGGAACAGGGCCTGACAAGTATCACTTATTATTCAGCAAATTGAATATCTACTATACATCAGGCATTTTACAAGTAGTAGGGAACAAAAAGTTCAAGCCCTCATGGAGTTTTAATTCCAAAATGCAAGAAGAGAGTAGTGCCTTGTAAGTGACAGAATGACAGAGCAGTGACTGAGGTCCCATGAGGAGTTGTCCTAGGCAATAACTAAAGGAAAAAGGGTCTTATAGGGAACTGTTCTGAAGCCAGACCACACTTGATGTGTTTAAGCTATAGCAAAGAGCACAGTGAAAACTGTGGACAATGTATTGTGTTTTCAAGAAGAAAAATGTAAAACTGGAAATTCTCTTTGAGGAAAAAAAAACTAAGCAAATTTTAAAATACTACAAAACATGCCAAAAATTTAACAAATGTTTTGTTTGGGTAATGAGACTTTGAGTGATGCATTTTCTTTTTTCTTTTCTATAATACCCAAGTTTTCCGAATATATATTATAGTACTGTAGTGTTTCTAAAAAATCAAAAAGGTTTTACCAGTGAAAATACTTGTAAATAAAACATAATTTTGATTTATACAGGATTATTTATAATGTTTTCCTTCACTTTGTAGCTGAAATGTATTTTTATTTTATTTAAATGTTTTAATACATGCCTAACACAGTTTCCTCATTATTATTCCATTCAACATTTTGACACAAATTTTTTTCTGCCTATATATTGAACACAAATTTATCTTTTCAGCTGATGGTTCACAATATAGATGTTTATCTTTTAAAATTTCTTCATGTCTTCTAACGTGAAAAAAAAAAAATCCCATCCAATTAACAAACTTTTCTTCAACTGGGTAGTCAGCAAAAATATTATAATAGTTCACTTAACGGTTCTTTCAAAGTACATTTTTCCAATTCAAGGAAGCGGCAAAGAAATTGTAGAAATGGGTTCCATATCTAGGAAACAAATGATATTTATAATGTCTTCACTTACGTCCAAATATTTCCATTTCTACATGTATTTCTTAAATTATATGCCTCAGCTACAACACAATTATAATTTAGCATTTCTATATCTAATAGTAATTTTTAAATAATTAAGTAGTCTCTTTTGAATTTGACAGAAATATAACTTTTTATGTTCACCATTTTTGCAACATCTTTTGGTAATTTTCTTGACACAATAAATCTACGCTTTAAAACATTAATTAAGATTAACATTTCACTATGAACTGTGAACAAACTTGCCAAAATAAAATGAGTGAGCCTGGTTTTAAATGTCTACCCTCAAGAGGCACTCAAAATGTAGCAATGATTTTTCTGTAGTTTCTACTGCTTTAGTTCCCTTAAGAAACGAAGTGTAAATCACAGAAATTCTTCACTTCTTAGAGCTGCACAGACATTTAAAAGAGAGAGAGAGGTGCAGGAGAAGAGGAAATAAGAGTATACATTAAGAGTAATTCAGAGGGCCAGACACAGTGGCTCACGCATGTAATTATAGCACTTTGGGAGGCCGAGGCTGGCGGATCACCTGAGGTCAGGAGTTCGAGACCAGCCTGGCAAACATGGTGAAACCCCATCTCTACTAAAAATACAAAAATTAGTCGGGCATGGTGGTGGAGCCTGTAATCCCAACTACTTGGGAGGCTGAGGCAGGAAAATCGCTTGAACCCGGGAGGCAGAAATTGGAGTGAGCTGAGATTGCATCACTGCACTCTGGCCTGGGTGACAGAGTGAGACTCCACCTCAAAAACAGAAAAAAAAAAAAAAAAAAAAAAAAAAAAGGTAATTCAGAGAAATTCTCCCCTAAGTTTATTCACCTGGAATTGATAGGACCAAACATTGTTGTAAGCATTATCACTATAGATTTGTGGGGATGGGGGATGGAGAGGGCTTGAATAGTTGAGAATTTATATGATCTTCTATTGCCTCCACACTCCTTCTATGTCCTTTTTATTTTCTTCCATTTTACACTGGGGGTGAATTGTAGTGGAGGAGTCTGCTTGCTAGTGAATACAGAGGAGAGTTCTAAAAGTTTTTCTCTCATCCAACAAAAGTCAGTGTAAAACATACTTGTCAATAAAAGCTAATTTTTACAGACCTAAATAACTATATATTCTTTTTTTTTTTTTTTTTTTTTTTTTTGAGACGGAGTCTCGCTCTGTCGCCCAGGCCGGACTGCGGACTGCAGTGGCGCAATCTCGGCTCACTGCAAGCTCCGCCTCCCGGGTTCACGCCATTCTCCTGCCTCAGCCTCCCGAGTAGCTGGGACTACAGGCGCCCGCCACCGCGCCCGGCTAATTTTTTGTATTTTTAGTAGAGACGGGGTTTCACCTTGTTAGCCAGGATGGTCTCGATCTCCTGACCTCATGATCCACCCGCCTCGGCTTCCCAAAGTGCTGGGATTACAGGCGTGAGCCACCGCGCCCGGCCAATAACTATATATTCTTGAAAATGAATAACAAAATTTTATTTTAGTTGATGCACAGTAAATTCAATTCTTTACAAATATTGTTACTTTCTTTAAAATTTTATATAATTAATTCGTATATCTTATATTAACTACTATCAACAGTGCTTAATGTATTTTTACAATAAAATTAAAATTTTTATGATAGTTTTTCATCTATTAAAATATATATGTGCAAAAATTTTGTTTTTTATAGCTAGACATGAGACAATGGGTTAAAAAATGATCTTAATCATTAAGCATATTTTTACATTACATCTTTACATTTTCAGCCAACACAGTGTCAGAATATTTTAATCACAAATATTCACCATGGAATACTATGCAGCCATAAAAAATGATGAGTTCATGTCCTTTGTAGGGAGATGGATGAAATTGGAAAACATCATTCTCAGTAAACTATCGCAAGAACAAAAAACCAAACACCGCATATTCTCACTCATAGGTGGGAATTGAACAATGAGATCACATGGACACAGGAAGGGGAATATCACACTCTGGGGACTGTTGTGAGGTGGGGGGAGGGGGGAAGGATAGCACTGGGAGATATACCTAATGCTAGATGACGAGTTAGTGGGTGCAGTGCACCAGCATGGCACATGTATACATATGTAACTAACCTGCACAATGTGCACATGTACCCTAAAACTTAAAGTATAATAAATAAATAAATAAATAAATAAAAAAGAATAGTTCTTAAAAATATTTGACATTTCAAAATAATACAAAATTTCCATTTTAAAATTAAATGTTACTTAAGAAAGTTGTTTCCTTTCCTAAAAAATTAACAAATAAAAAGCAACAAGAAAAAAACACTAATCCAGTTAGCAATCTTACCTTCCTTTAGTCACATGTAGTGCCAAGAATAAGGTGTCTATTTAGCATGTTTCTTCTTTCCATGGCTCGCAGTGAATTGTGGGTATCTATCTATAAAGGAAATTACGTGTGAATGCCAGCATGCATAGAAATTTAATTCCTAACATATAAGTATCAAATCAAAACCTTAGGTACCAGCCAATGCTGCCCCAAGAATGTAACACACTTGAGGACAAGCTTCCTCTTGAGCCAACTCTGTCAACAGACACCACTTTTATTTCATGTACTCCCATTCTCTGGCACCTCTTTTCTTCCTGCTATCACAAATATGATTTTTTTAAAAGCCACTATCAAGATAGTAAAAATGGCTTTAATTTATAGTTGGTGTATTCATTTGCTAGAGGTGCCATAACAAAACACCACAAATGGGGCAGCTTAAACAGAAACTAATTTTCTCATGGTTCTGTCGGCTGCACATTTATTGAGGTGCCAGTGGGGTAGGCTTTCTCTGAGGTCCTTAAGGGAAAATCTGTCCCAGGCATTTATTTGCCTTTTAGATAACTGTTCTTTAGATTAGAGATCCCCAACCTTTTTGGCACCAGGGACTGACATTGTGGAAGGCAATTTTTCCACAGAAGTAGGGGGACAGGGGTGTTTCAGGATGAAACTGTTCCACCTGATATCATCAAGCACTAGTTAGATTCTCATAAGGAGACCACAAACTAGATCCTTTGCAAAGCGGTTCACAAGAGGGTTTGTGCTCCTATGAGAACCCAAAGCCTCTGCTTATCTGACAGGAGGCGGAGCTCAGGCGGCATTGCTTGCTGGCCTGCAGCTCACCTCCTGCTGTGCTGCCCCATTCCTAACAGGCCAAGGACCAGGTCTGGGCCATGGCCCAGGGGTTAAGGACACCTGCTTTAGGTGACTGCCCTTTAGATGACTGGCCTTTTCATATAAGTCATCCCTCTGAGCATGAGCACCCCTGTGTCTCTCTGCATGTTCTAACCTCCCCTTTTTATAAGGACCCAGGTTAGAAATTAAATTAGGGCCAACCCTATTGGCCTCACTTTAACTTAATCACCCCTTTAAAGGCTCTATCTCCAAAAATGGTCACATTCACAGGTACTAGGCCACGGCTTTCACGTGTGAATTTTAGGGGGAAATTCAGCCCACAGCTCTCAGGTTTAATAGTAAATTAACAAAGTGAAGACAATTAACTCAGTCAGGGACTGAAACACACCCAGTGATGAATATACTTTTGCTCCATGACAGAAAAGAGCCATATGGCTTCTGAATTTTAATGAGAGAAATGAAGAAATGCATGGGTTATGGCTAACCATAAAATAAATACTTAAATATAATTCCTTCATTTGGAAGTGTTTCACTAATTTTTTAAAACTATGAGGAATATTGTCTATGCTTCCACTTTACTAAGCCATAGAATCTACATAGAGAGCCAACAAATGATGTTATGAAGCAGCACATTCTTAAGTACGTTACATAGGCAACAGCTACTTGAGCAACAAAAGTCACAATTACAGAAAGCTTAGTTCCCACTGCAAAGAGGGGCAAATACTGTGAAAGGACAAGATTGTAGTTTTGAAGAGTCACTTGCAATTGTTATTAAATGTTGATCATTTCCACATCCCAGAGGTAATTGCTTAATCATTAGGAAGTTGCTTTTCTTCCCTCTCACCTCTTTGAAAAAAAAGAAAAAAAAATGTAATTCTCTTACAATTTTCGACATTGAAAATATGAATCTATTAAGAGGACAAAAACTTCATGGTCAATATGTTTGTATTTTAAAATTAATGATGGAGCAATCTACAAAAAGAATTTTCTGTTCTAAAAGCCATTTGGGGGAGATAAAGGAAGATTGTAAGATTTCCTTCTCATCAAACTATCCAATAATGCCTTCATGAGACTTGCTTACATATATGTAAATAAGTATTTTAAATATACAAGTTCTGTTTTTGACCAATAGATACATTACTAAACAGATACATGTGTCTTCTAGTTTCATATACCTAAGCTTTTTAAGTGATGGAAAAAAATCATACATAAAAGAAACATTAGGGATCACTTTTGTAGAGTGAAGAATCCTTTTATAGTTTGGATATTCACCAATAATTTACATGTTTATTTCATTAAGATTTTATGCATATGGTCTGCTTAAACCAAAGTAAAACAAAGTACACGTTCTGTATTACGAAGATGAAAATATTATATTTACTCAATTATGGTTCATGCATTTAATAGAATAAAAATTCTTTTGTGTCTAAAGTTAAATTAAGACTAAACATCTGTATGTATATGTGATTATTTTTCTTCCCTCCCACCTATGCTTTTCATATGGAATTAATGATTAAAAAGTATTCCTAAAATGTGAATAAAGCAGTGGAAGAAGAATAATAAAAACTGAAAAAATACCTACTTATAATTTTAAATTGCTCTTAAAATAAAATTATAGAGAAAATACCTTGTATGTTATTTAACTTCATTAAGCTGTAAATTAAGTTAGCTACAAATTATCTATAAGTTAAATTCATAAGCTATAAATTAAATTTTTGTACATCGTATCTAATTTTCTCATTAACTATTAAAAATCAGAACTTTGTATTCATACATGAAAATAGTTTTTCTTTTGGGTGTAAATAGAGTGTACTTTAGAATTCTGAACACTTACCAAACTAAGGTTAGCTAATGAAATGTTAACAATAATATTCAAAACATGAATACAATCCATATATTAATAATATCTAAAGGCAATGAAAGGCTTTGTGTGAATGAATCATCTTTTGTCCAACTCTATCACCTATATGTTTTATTAATGGCTATGTTACAAGTGTCTAAATCCCTACCCTGGCACACTTCCAATGCTCCTGCCTCTGGTAGTTTATTTGCATATTCAGCCCATCTGTAGCCCTTATATTGATTGAACCCACAAACAGAGAAAATCAAGAATCCCTGCACAGATTTGTATGTGGTTACCCCTACTGTTGAGCCTATTCCAGCCTTGTACTTTGGGGCTTAGGCTTTGATCCTTATAATCAAACCCCATACAGTTGTTAAAAGACATGCAGTATCACTTACGCAGTAAAACCATGGAAATAAACATATTCCTCAGCTGTGAATCCACAATACCTTCGTAACATAATTCCACACCTTGCTGAAGAAGAAGCTTTACTAAACATGGTGGTTCACCACTGACAGCAAGAATAAGGGCTGTTCTGGAGCAAGAGATAGAAATGAATGCCCATGTAAAGATCTTAAACATGCCTAATTTTAAAAATTCAGTCTTCTCAATTTACTACTCAAATGTAGGGCCTCTATCAGAAAGAGTCAAAGCAACAATGTAAAAAATACAGCAGATCTGCTCAAAAAAGTGTGCCAGTCACAGATCATATCATGGAGTCTAAACATGAACAGTACCTAGGAAGCAGCTAGCTCAATCATTTTCAATCTCTTCTTCCTGGAAGCCTAGTGTTTTCAAAAATATGTCTCAAAATTCCATGAAGGAATGTGTCTTGGGACTTTGGGTCCCCTGACCCCATTTAACTACAACAGTTGGTCATCTATGTAAGAGTCTAATGTTAAATTCTAATAATAAATGATAAATAATAATAATAACCAGTTAATACCTGGCCCAACTGTTTGATTTTACAAAGGGAAAAATAAATCCTAAAAGTTTAGGTAATCTGTCCAAAAGCATGTGAGCATACATCCTACGGGTCTTATGGTTCTATATTTTCCCAATATCATATATATTGTGTTTTGTGGACACACACACACACACACACACACACACATACGCACACACACAATCCTATCAGGTAGCTTTAGTTATGTGCTATCTTATTTATTAATTATACCTTTGATAATTATCTGAAGCATTCACATCAGCCCCTTTCTCCAGAAGAAATTTTACCATTTTTGGATTATTGTTAATAACGGCAACTAATAGTGGAGTATACCCATCCTGAAAAAAATATTTAAAAATGATTAAAATATTGTAGCAAATTTTCATGCTCTTTAGATTTAAGTTCAACTTAAAATATGTGTGCATAAGAACTTCTGAATATACACTTTAACTCTTAAAAGATTTTAATACATAAAAAAATGTGATTTCAAAGACCAAGAAAACAAATCAGGGTTGAGCCAGACAAAAAAATTTAAGTTCCTGTTTTAGGCTTAATTCAAATTGTAGGTAAGAGCAGCCTAGAATAAGTAAGTGATGAGCACTTAGCATTTAATGTAAGCATTGCATACTGTCAATTCACATTTCATAATATTGTCACATTCAGATTTCCACTGGGTTTCACTTAAACTTCCAAGGCTGGCACTTATTTTGGCTGTGGACAAAATATCAGTAAAGTATCAATACGCTTTTTTTTTTTTTTTTTTTTTTGAGACAGAGTCTTGCTCTGTTGCCCAGGCTGGAGTGCAGTGGCGCAATCTTGGCTCACTGCAAGCCCCGCCTCCCGGGTTCACGCCATTCTCCTGCCTCAGCCTCCCGAGCAGCTGGGACTACAGGCGCCTACCACGACGACCAGCTAATTTTTTGTATTTTTAGTAGAGACGGGGTTTCACCACGTTAGCCAGGATGGTCTCGATCTCCTGACCTCGTGATCCACCCACCTCGGCCTCCCAAAGTGCTGGGATTACAGGCGTGAGCCACCATGCCCGGCTCAATACACTTTTTAAAAAAATTCATCGGCTATTCATAATGCCTCAATAGAAGAGTTAGATTAATTTTAATATTGTGTCATTTGCTATTTCAACCCTGTTATTATTATTCATGAGTATATCAATAAAATAGAAAAAAGGTGGGTTTTATGATTTTTATCAATACCCAGTTATAAGAGAATTAAATATTCCTCATTTGTTATGGCCTGTTAAACAATTATAGTTGTTAAATATAGTGTTTCTTTGGAGGTCAGGATTACAATCTGCAATAAAATATAGAAAGAGTTCAAGAGAAGAAATATTTTATCAGTTTTTGATAATCTCTTCTCTTTCTCCCCAATTTTAGTTTGGAAAATTCATGCTTTATATAACATATATTTCAACATAGATGAATTATCTGAAATATGCTCTTCAGTTGCTTTCTAAAATACAGGATTTTTTTCTTTAATAGAAAACTACCTTATTTTTCGCTTCAAGATCAGCTTCGTATTCAAGCAGTTTTTCAACTAATGACAAACTTTGACCACAAACAGCATAGTGAAGAACAGTATTATAACGAATATCCCTCAGATCTGGGTCTGCACCAAAGTTTAGAAGAATAGTAGCACAATCCTCATTTTGACACTGTACTGCCTGTTAATGCAACAAGAGTAGATGAGTAACCAATTTACTACTTGGGATATGATAAATTAATGTTTGATACTATGTTTTAAAACATGAAAAATCAACAAAAATTAACTAGGAGAACTCAAACACATTCCAATTGAAAAAGAAAAACTATGGCATACCTTAATCAATGGGGATTTGTTTTCACTATCCCGGACATTTATTTTGCATTGTTGCTCAATTAGGAAAAGTACAACATCTGTATGTCCATTAGCACAGGCTAGGTGCAAAGGTGTTCTATGTCAATAAAACAAAACACAAAGTTAGAGATAAGTCTTCGTTTGAGAAGTTACTTGTTTTACCCAAAAACAAGCCAGATTGTACATTGGTAAGGTACTTGCTTCATGCACATATTTCTATTTAAACAAATGTACATTAATTACAATTACATTTTATTGAACTTTCAGGGCTGCGCAAGTGTGTTGAAGATTAAATATTTAACTGATTTCACTTCAAGGAAAATTTAACTATAATGAGATGAAAATAGATTTTTTAAAAAATACCAAAATGATGTCTGGGCCTTGGAAAAGATAATAAAGTTAGGTATCACCATAAAATTTAGAAATTATATTTAAAACCTGAAATACATCTAATAGGTAACAGGAGGAAAGGATATTACTTAATCAATGACATGCTGTACCTAATTGTGTGTTTTTCTTTATTTACTCAGTGATTAAAGTTGGCATTTGTTTCTGAGAAGTAAAAGGTGAATGCCTAAGTACTCTCTAAGTTGTAGATCTTAACCCTATTTTAAGTTATTACACTAATTTCTACTTCTAAAGAACCCTATTCTAGGTAGCCTACCGGAAACCAGACACACATTCATGAATTATGACAGAAGACTAATTAGATCCATTTAAATTTTGCAGTTTTTAGCCTGGACTGGCCCTCAATAAACATTTATCTACTTCTAAGGTGATATCATTATAGCCTTGTTTTTAGATAATTTTATAATACCAAGGCCACATATAAATAATCCATGTTCCAAACAAGAAACTTAAATATATTTTCCTTGTTTCACTTTAGCTCCTCAGAAGTACTCTATGGGTACCTAAATAAACCTGCTATTGACACACAGGAGTAGCAAAAAGGTGAACCTCAAAAATAAGATAACTACTTAAAAATAAGGCAATTTTCAAAAAGATAAACAAACAAAACCTATACACAATAACTTACCATCTATGGCAATAAACCAAGAAAATATAAAAACAGTTCAAAAAATTGGAGAAAGCTAAAATTCTAATTAAGTTTACCTGAATGTAATCTCTGGAAGGCAAGACTGTAATACAACTACAATATAAAAAGCCAAATTTTAACCAATTATATTATTATTTAGCTAAAGAGAGAGCACAGTCAGGAAGAAGACAGTCAGCTAACATAACAGAATAAAACCAGAAGTTATCCATAATTAATTAACATACTACATGGAAAAGACAATCTGAATTTAAGGAACGAACAAAGAAGTACTTTGTTGTAGGACAAAAATGATTCATCAAACAACATGGTCTAAATTATGTTTCCCTCAAAACTATCCACCTTTACTTTAC
Organism: Homo sapiens; assembly: GCF_000001405.40. Taxonomy (NCBI): domain Eukaryota; kingdom Metazoa; phylum Chordata; class Mammalia; order Primates; family Hominidae; genus Homo; species Homo sapiens. The sequence continues at coordinate 118,233,120 of NC_000007.14, read as the reverse complement.
TGTGATTCCATCCTTACCAAGCAAATTTCTGATGACTAATTTCTCAGTAATCCTGATACAATGAAGCACTAATTAAGCTTTCTGTTCACATTTACAGTTTGGCTTAAGGATGAAATTCCTTATGTAATAGGAGTTTTCAGAGCCCTCAATCCAAACATAACACAGGGCTAAATAGCTTTAAGCCCACCAAAGATAATCCCTTGCAGTAGATAGCAAATCCTGGCAAACATTTTGATGTGTCTCCCTCATCTGCTATTACACATATCTTGAGAATTTAGTTCCAAGGAACTTTGGTGGTTTCCACCCAATTTTTAGATCTGCCTCTCCCTCCAACTCCAATTTTTTACCTAATTTAAAATAAACGCATAAAATTACACACACACACACACACACACACACAAACACACTGCTCTTACTAAGAGAAAGTAAATGGATTCCCAATAGGTCCTCCACAAATGGCTGCTGCACCCTGCTGTATACCTCGCTCTTCCACCAACTGAATCTAAAACCTTCAGTAACAAATCTCATAAAAAAATTTCATGGCTCATATTAAGCTCCAAGAACTTAGGAAATCAGCCACAAATTCAATAAAATAAAATAGCCATGAAAGATTCCACTTTCAAAGGAGGTGTTGAACAATACAGCCTGGGGTCATTTGTACAAAATCTGAAAACAAGAACTAATCTAGCTTTGAGCATGCACAAAACACTGAAAAGTTCACAATATTCACTCAAACCGTCAATCTTGCAAAGATTTTCACTTAGAATATTTGTCATCCTTTTAAAGCAGTCATCTTAGTTTAAAAAAAAACCAAAATGTTTTAAAAAACATACAGATTTAACATTTACATTCATTTTATTTTAAATTTTAGATTTAAGTGTCCTTAAATTTTAGAGCTCACAATTGGAGCAAGCAGCAAAACAAACAAACAAACAAAAAAAAAATTTGTTGTGGCCACTTATCTATATGTTTACACATATAATGTAAATGCTTCGAGGCCAATAGGAATGCTTTTCCACTTAATGTCAAAAACAGAGGCCATTCTATTTTTTGAAAGAGTTGAATGCAAAAAGTATATTTACAGATATCTTAGAGAAACATTTTAAAATCAATATTATTCCATTTGTCAAAAATCCTTAACTTTCATGAATACATTATACTCCCAATTTAAGACTTTAGTTTATATTGTTACTTCTTAACTCATGGTACTTAATCTAACCAGAAATCTAAATTCCTGTGAAGCTTAGTACTGGTTTCTAGGTTTTCAGGCTAACCGATGTCATTTTGTTTCATTCAAGTTCTATTTTCTCCCAGACTCTCACTCTCTCATATATCGATGGAAAAATTGTCAGCATAGACTGTGGACAGGTGATGAATGATCAGATACCAGAAATTTCAAATTGAACTTTAGCAAAAGGGATGACTGAGATGAGCGTCAAGGCTGAAAGATTACTTTGAAAGCTGAAGTGAAAAGTGTTATCTGCTAGACAGAGTACAGGGCCAGGGCATAGCTGTAGCCTTCAATTGAATCTCATGATGAGAATGCCCTTTTTAAGTGACATTCTTGGGCTCCTGATAACTTAGAGTTCAGGGTGAGTGAAGGAGAAGTAACCAAGGAAGCTAACTCACACTAGGTCATTTATTTTCATCTCTAGGCTGGGCACTTTCGATGTAATCTAGATTTGAGTAGTATGGTTGAAGGTATTAATTTAGAATTGGGCCTCCACTCACCAAGTTATGTATAGATCTTAAGGGCTTTTTTATTAAAAACCATAAAAGTGATTTTATAGCAGGAGAGACATTAAACATCTCCAATTCATTTTCAAACTTATTAGGCACACTGCTCTTGAAATAAAAACAAAAATAGAAGCTAACTACACAGAGCACATTAACAGGGAGCTATTCCGATTTAATAAGATGCCTGCAACAGAGCTTTGCAGATCTTTGTTTAAAAAACACTAATCGAGTAGTAGCTCTAGTTTGAAAGATGAGACTGAAGGTATCTCTGCATGATACAGATGTAGAGAAGGCCTCAAACTCAGATCTTGACTCTCAGAACAATGTTTTTCCTGCTAGGCCACTGTGGCTTCCTGAACAATCTGCTTATGCTATTTCCTCTGTCCCTTTTTTTCTTTTTTACCAGAAATTCCAATTTTCAGTATCATTTTTTTTACTAGAAAACATATCTAAAAATATCACTTCCATTAGGCCATTAATATGCACATATGCTTACATGAGGTTTCAGAGACCTTAAGCACAATGCTTCCAAAATGATTCTGTGAAACATTTGATAAAACATTGTAATTTACCTTATTAAAAATTCAAACAAAACAAATAGTTCCCAATGACCATCTCACTCTATCTACTTTCCTCTGCCCACATTTCATCTCTCTTGGAAATAGCAATTTAAGTATATGTCCTTTAATATTTTATCTTTCTCATTTTCAGTATCTCTCTCTCTCTCTCTCTACACACACACACACACACGTTCAAACAGAAATATACAATTTGAGATTTTTTTCATTCAGCTTTATCAAGTTGTAATTTATAATAAAATTAAAGTGTACAACTTTATGAATTTTGACTAGTCAATTTATAGTCAATTCTTTGCAGTCAATTCTTTCCCCTCCCCCCATATCTAAAACCACTGGTAACTATTAATTTACATTATGTCACTATCCTTTTTTTTTAGATTCGGGGTGTACATATGCAGGTTTGTTACATGGGTATCTTGCATAATGCTGTGCTTCTGCTGAACTCATTACCCAAATAGTGAACATAGCATCTAATAGGTAGTTTTTCAACTCTCATGCCCATCCCACCATTCCCCCATTTGGAGTCCCTAGTGTCTATTATTTCCACCTTTATGTCCATGTGATAGAGATAATTTCATATCCTCTTTGTCAATTTGGATGCCTTTTATTTCTTTTGACTGATTTTTCTGGCTAGGATTTCCAGTACTATGTTGGATAGGAGTGGTGAGAGCAGACATCTTTGTCTTATTTCAGTTCTTAGGAGGAATGCTTTCAACTTTTCCACATTCAGTATGATGTTGGCTGTGTGTTTGTCATAGATGTCCCTTATTATTTTGAGGTACGTTCCTTCGATGCCTAGTTTGTTGAGGGTTTTTATCATGAAGGGATGTTGGATTTTATCAATGTTTTTCCTACAACTATTGAGATGATCATCTGGTTTTTGCTTTTAATTCTGTTTATGTGGTGAATCACATTTATTGATTTGCATATGTTGAACCATCCTTGTACACCTGGAGTAAAACCCACTTGATTGTGTTGAATTATCGTTTTGATGTACTACTGGATTTGGTTTGCTAGTATTTTGTTGATGATTTCTGTGTCTATGTTCATAGGAATATTGGACTGTAGTTTTCTTTTTTTGTTGCTTCCTGTATGCTACAGTGCTTTTACCTTTCCTAGAATTTCATGTAAATGGAGTCATTTGTGTCTGGTTTCTTTCAGTTAGCATGACACTTTCAAGATTCACCCATATTTTTGCATATATCCATAATTCATTGCATTTATTGCTGAATAGTATCCTTAAGTTCTCCCATTTATATGTGTATATATGTATGTATTCATCCTTTCATTCATTTATTTTAAAAATATTAAGCGCTCACTATGGCTAGGCAGGGTTCTAGGTGATGAGGATATATCAGCAAACAAAACATATGTGAATACCTGCTTTTATAAATCATACATGTTAGTAGAAGAGGTAAACAACAAACAATTTAAAAGATAAAAAGTACATAAGACAATATTAAGTTCTAAAGAGAAAAGCAGGGAAGAAGGGTAGGAAATGTCAGTGAGGAGAAAGGGTACAACTGTAGGTAAAGAGTAGCCAGGGAAGCCCTCACTAGTAAGGTAACAGTTGAATAACACCTAAAGGAAGTGAAAGAGCAAGTCATATGACTATCTGAGGGAAAAGCACCCCAGGCAGAGGGACCAGCTAGTCCAAAAACCCTAAATGCATGTCTTGCATTTCTGTGGAACAGTAAGAAGGCCAGTGTAGCTGGATGTAAATGAATGAAAGGAAGAGTTGTAGGAGGTAAGATCAGACAAGTAACAGGGTGAAGATGAAGATCATATAGGGTGGTATGAGACACTGGATGGATCCGGCTTTTACCCCTAGTAAGATGGAAAGTGATTGGAAGTTACGAAAACAAGGAATAATACCATTTGACATACATTACACAGGATCATTCTGACTGCTGTGTTGAGAATAAGCTGAAAAGGGAAAAGTGTAGTTAAGTGGCCACTGTAGTAATTCTAGGTAAGACATAATGGTGGCTTTGACTATGGTAGTACTTATAAAGGTGGCAAGAAATGCTTGGATGTTAGATTTATTTTGAAGGAGGAGCCAACAAGATTTGCTGTTTAATCAAATGGATGTGAAGGAATTAGAGGAATCAAAAATATTCTAGAATTTCAGCCTTAAGCAATTGAAAGACAACATTTGGCATTTATCGAAAAAGAAAAGGCAGGTCAGAAGTAGAATAACAGGATCTTAGTTTGGGAATGTTTGAGACCTCAGTTTGAGAAAGCTAAGTAGTGATGTGATGGAGCTAGTGGTTCTTACAAGCTAACTGTTAAATTTTCAGGAATTTTGCAAGCCAGTTGATATCCCATTGGTAGCTTAAAATTGGCCACAATTTATAAACTGTATGAATCAGGGTTTTCCCTCTTTCCCTCCCCTACCCATTAAGGGCCTGTTATTAAACATGTATTAGCACACCAGTGAATATTATATATCTAAGTATAAATATAGGCAGCAAGAGGTCTGGTTGGCTGGAGATTAAAAGTTGGAAGGCACTGGAATATATATATTTAAAGCTAATCTCTCTTCACCAGGAGAGTGAAGATAAAAGTAGAGAGAGAATCATTTCTGGTGGAATTCCTTACGTGTTTACAAGTCAGGAAGATGAAGAGAAACCAGCAAAAGAGTCTCAAAAGAAGTGTCCACAGAATTAGGAGAAATGCCAGATGGCCCCAGTGTTCTGAAAGACAATATTTCAAATACCACTGATATGGCAAATAAAATACTTTGCTGACAGGCCAGCAAGGTAAGACTAAAAACTGACCCCTGAATGAAGTCACATTGAAGTTATCGATTACCTTATAAAGTCATTCAGCGGAGTGGTGTAGGATAAAAGCCATCTAGAAGATTGGACAACACTGTTTTTGTTAAAAAAAAAAAAAAGACATAATACTATCAATAAGCTAAATACAAATCCTTTTCCTAACTGTATAGTTTTCACTTACCCACCTGTGATGAAAGATGATGCTTTTCATACCCTATGACTTGAAAACTCCCAAAAATATTTTAAGGCAGCCACTGATAGTACATATTTACTGTTACTAATGCCAAACACCTAACTTTGTTTCTTAATATGTATTAATTTTCGCAGCAAGTGGTTGTTAATGGGTTTGTTTGAAGATATTATGTAATTGAGGAAATTTTTCATAAGTGATCCACATTAAAAAGATTAACCAGAGTGATGTCAGCAATATGACAGAGTAGGAAACCCCGAAGTACCCTTCCTCACAACAAACACACCAATTCAGCAACAGCGTAAGGACAAACTCCCTTTGTGAAAACTCAGAAACTAATTGGAAGTCTCCTGCACCCTGAGCGAATACAAAACCAGAGGCACTAGAACTAATAGAGAGATTCAGAACACCCTCTTGCTGAAGATTCTGCCTCCAACACAGTGCCATATGATAAGAAAGAGACCCACTACCTCCCAGCTTTACCCAAGAGAGCAAAGGAGGTGGCTTGCCAGCACCCCAGCTTCCCCATAAACAATATGAATACATGTTAATTATGACAACAACAAAGTTTGGGGGGAGATAAAATTTAGAATTTTTATATGCTATTGAACTTCAATTGTTAGCAACTTAAAATAAACTGCTATGAGCTATTTTATGTAAGTCCCAAAGTAACCACAAAAAAAAATCTGTAGAAGTTACACAAAAAAGAAAGAAAGGAACCAAAGCACATCAGTATCAAAGCACAAAATCAAGAAAATACAAAGGAAGACAGTAAGAAAGAAAAAGACAAAGGAACTATAAGAGTAACATGAAAGCTAACAAAATAGCAATAGTAAAACTTTCCCTATCTATAAATACTTTAAGTGTAAATAGATTAAGCTCTGTAATCAAACAGTGGCTGAATAGATAAAACACAAGATGCAACTACAGTTGACTCTTGAACAGCAGGTGTTTGAACTGTGTAGGTTCACTTATACATAGATTTTTTTCAATAGCTATATAAGAAAAATTTTGGAAATTTGCAACAATTTGAAAAAACTAGCAGATGAAACATGTAGCCTAAAAATATTGAAAAATTAAGAAAAGGTTACGTATGCCATGAATGCATAAAATATATGTAGATATCAGTCTATTTTATCATTTACTACCAAAAAATACCAGAGACACTGTGATCAACCCCTCTTCTTCCTCCTCCTCCATCTACTCAATGTGAAGAAAACAGGATGAAGAACTTTATGATGATCCACTTCAACTTAACAGTAAATATATTTTCTCTTCCTTATAATTTTCCTAATAACATTTTTTTCTTTTGCTAACTTTATTGTAAGAATATAGTGGATAACACATATTACATACAAAATATATGTTAACTGTTTATGCTGTTGGTAACACTTCCAATCAATAGTAGGCTATTTATAGTTAAGTTCTGGGGGAGTCAAAAGTTATTAGCAAATTTTTACTTCACAGGGGGTTGACTCCCCACCCCAACCCCTACATTGTTCAAGGGTTAAGTGTATATGCTCTCTATGAGAAACTCACTTTAGATTAAAGAAGAATTTGATTAAACAGCGAGTTCAAATGCCTGTTTTGAAGCAGCCATTGTGCTCTCAAGTATGCCAAGACAGAGCCTAAAACTACACTTGTTATAAAGCTAAACTGGGTATGAAGCTATCTGGGGAGTCCCTCTGCTTGTTAACCCCAGCTCAACAGCAACTCTGAGTTTGGAGATTCTCAAAGTCTCTTTTAAATTGTAACCAAAGTAAGGACAGTGGTTTAACAGAGTTCATATAGCTGATTGTGCTGCATCAAGGCCCCAGGGGGCTACAAGGGACCTTTGTGACTTGACAAGTTCAATGGTAATGAGTGTGGTTAATGAATAGTACGGCTTATTCATCATATTATCCCAGAATCTGACACGTTTATACAGTTGTTACACATATTTGCAGCATATATTTGGTGAGAAAATGGAATCAGATTTAAGAAAATTGGTGATAAGTAATGGGTAGCAATGAAGGGAGAAAAAAAATCATCCTCTGTCCAAATAAGTTTGTTAAGTATCAATAAACTCAGCAAGCTTCTTCTTCAAAAAATTTAAAAGTTACTTGTTTTGATGTTTCCAAGTGTTAAAATCTAACTAACCAATGTTCCAGGGGGTCGTCTCTACTCTTTTCCTATTCTCCCATTAGCAAAATTGTACATCTTAGTGCCTGGGGACGATCTATTACCAAGAAGCAAAACAGTAAGGTGGGGAAAAGATGGACTGCCAGTGGAGACTAAGCCAGTCAGAGGAGAGGATGGATTCAGGAAGGGTAGAAAATATTCAAGCAAGCAATTTTTTTTTTTTTTTTTGAGATGAGTCTTGCTCTGTTACTCAGGCTGGAATGCAGTGGCCCGATCTCGGCTCACTGCAACCTCCGCCTTCCGGGTTCAAGTGATTCTCCTACCTCAGCCTCCTGAGTAGCTGGGATTACAGGCGTCCGCCACCACGCCCCACTAATTTTTGCATTTTTGGTTAGAGACGGGGTTTCGCCATGTTGGCCAGGCTGGTCTCAAACTCCTGACCTCAGGAGACCCACCCGCCTCGGCCTCCCAGAGTGCTAGGATTACAGACGTGAGCAACCACGCCCGGCCCAGCATTTTTTTTTTAAATTAAATAAAAAGCCGAAAGTTGGAGTGGGACCCTCTGCCAATGGTTACCAGACAATCTCTCTTCTTTGGGAAACCCGGAGTGACAATCAGTGTCAAACAGCCCCCACTTGTCTTATTTCTGGTTGAACGACCCAGGCCCCAACCCGTCCTCCCGCGCTGGCTCTTCAGTCTGGTCACCTGTATTTTTTGTCCTGCATATTTACATCATATTTCTTGATCTGAAGGTATTCCTTCAGCTTCTTCAAATCCCCGACTGAAGCAGCTCTGTGAAGTTTCTTTAAATCCTTTTCTCGAAGGTTGTAGCCCTGGCTGCGGGTCTCATTCTTCCTCTTCCAGAAGCTGAAAAGCTTATTCATGGCGGTGCAGGCTGCAGCCTTTCCCTCAGACCAGGATGTTTCTTGAACTCCTAGCCGTCCGCCCTGCCCCTCTGCCCTGGCATCCGGCCGGCAGCCCTCTCCAGTACCTGACGAAAGTGGAAATGCTGGAAGGGCCTCGCGCAGCCGGCCGTTATGGCAGTTACGGCCGTTATGGCTGTTAAGGTCGTTATGGTCCGGTCCTAGGGGCTCGCAGACCTGCATTCTCACCTAGGACTTGGGCCTGACGGCCACACCTGCAGTCTTCCTATTAGATCATGAACCTTGGAATAGAAACTTACCAGCTTTCTTACAAATAGCCTCTTCTCCTTCAAAAGCAGATCTAAGGGCTTGAACTCTTGCAAACTAATGCCTACCTTCCTTGTGATGGGGATGGGGAGGGGTGGATCTCTTCCAGTGATCTTCCCTCCAACCTACTCCCAGCCTCTCACCTCCCTGGCCACATGCGACAAATTGTCTTTATAATAACTGCAATTCCTCAATAATCTCAATTTCATACACACTTTTTAACACCACTTCTCATATTCCAGCTCACTTTGTCTGGTCACAAAACTCCAAAAGTCCTTTGAAAATCTAACTCACTGCACCTACAGTCCATTAGTCTCATATCCTTTCCCTGGCCTGGACCCCCACACCCTGTGTCCTCACTTCACTACTTAACTAAATTCCACGGTCAATCGTCATAATCACTCCCATGCAGATACCTTCACTAAGTTTTTCCCCATTCCTTTTCTTACCTATCTGTGCCTAAACCAAAACCCTCATTAAATCTAAACTCTTTGCTCTGCCCTAAGCCACAAAATGTGACCAAAGGAAAAAACACAGTCCTGCCATCATCTTTCATTTCCAGTTCAGGAAAATCCACCTCAAAAGGTCTGTTATTCTTCCTCTCTCTTCACACCTCCTTGGCTCATGGCCCTTTTTCCTGATCCATTGAGAAAAAGATCCAATCAAAAGAGAAACTGTACCAGCTCCCACGATATCTACCCACTTACCTGCACCTTGAAAAAAAAAAAAAAAAAAAACTTTACCTTTCTCTTGTTCATGTAGATGATATGTTCATGTTCCTAGCAAAGGCCAGCACCATTCTTGCATGTACTAGACCCCATCCTCTCTAGCCTATCCAAAAACATTATTCAGTAAATCCTTCTTCCCTGCTTTCATATGTATCTTTAAAGTTTCCCTCTCTGTTAACCAATTCTTACTAGCTTAAATACATACTAGTATTTGCCTCCTACTAAGAAAACAAACAGGAAGATTGACCACATCTCCCCCTGAAACCATCACCGCAATTGCTCTCTTTTGTGGCAAAATTCCTCAGTAGGATTGTCTAAAATGTTATAATCTCTGCTACAATTTTTCTCCCTCTGTTCTCACTTAAAGCAGTTCCCATCATCACCTTTTTGCTCCCATCACTCAAATGACACTACTTTTAAGCCAGATTGATGATGATGTCTATCACATGAAAGCTAATGGTCATTTCTGAGTTTTCATGTAAATACAGCAGCATTTGACACAGCTGACCATTGCTAACTCCTTGAAACACTTTTTATTTTTTTGGTTTGGCTTCCAAGATACCACACTTGTCTCGTTTGATTCCTACCTCTTTAAACATTTTTTTCAATCCAATTTGTTGGCTCCTCTTTATCTTCAATTATTGGAGAGCCCCAGAATCAATCCACCAACAGCTTTTTTTATTCTTTATAAATCCTTGGAGGCATTCTCAAATTTTATCTTTTATACCTACATTTTGACAGCCAGCAAATCCTGTCAATTGTAAATACAAAATATATTCAGAATTTTTTTATCGTATCTGTATTCCCTGCTGGGTTATCACAGTCTTATGACTTTAAATGGCATCTATATGCTACTGACACTCAAATTGAGAGTTCTAGTCTGGTTCCTCTCCTGAACTCCCAACTGGTATGTCCACTTGCCTATTCAATACCTGAATTTGGGTTGTTTATATTATAGACTCAATAAACATCTCACCCTTAACATGTCTAAACTGGTCTCCTCACATTCCACTCTCTTACTGTCTTTCCTACTTGAGATCGAGTAACCCTATTCTTCCAGTTGATCAAGGCAAAAGCTTTGATGTCATCCTTGACTCTTCTCTTTCTCAAAGGCCACATCTAATCAGTTAGCAAACCCTGACTGCACTATTTCCAAAATATAAACAGAATTTGACCACTCCTGTCAATGTATCCCAGACCAACATCATCTGTCTCATTTGCATTACCTTTCTTTAATATTTTACACTAGAATCCTGACTGATCTTCATGCTTCTGCCCTCATACACTGCCCTTGCCCTGGTCTATTCTCAACCTAGCCACCTGAATTATCCAGTTAACATACTGTCTGATGAAGTTACTTATTTGCAAAAAACTCTCCAATCATTTCTCAAATTCCTAACAGTAAGAGCTAAATTTCTTATACTGATCCACATGGCACTATGCAATCTGCGACCCCAATCCCATATGCCCTGCCTCCACTTTTACTTTTCTGACCTCAAGTTCTTCTTACCCAAACTCAAATTGCTTCAGCCACAGTGATTTATTTATTTCCCAGCACACTAGGGATGTTCCTGTCTCAGGGACCCTGACCTTATTGCTCCCCTTTCCTGGAATGCTGGTCCTGACACAATAATATAAGCTCTGAGAAGGCAGCCATTTTTGTATGCTTTACTCCAGGCTACTTCTCAACTCGCAGAACAGGGCTTGGCACATTAAGTGCTCAGTAAATGTATGTCAAATGAACGGATAAGTATATGAAAAATAACCTCTGTTTCTATTTGCCTTTTGAATTCTTGGATGCAATTTTGGGCACAGAACTTTTCCTATGCTCAAACTTTTCCTACTATGGAACAAAGCTAAAAACCAGGCTGTAGTATTTAATAAGAAATTTGAGGGTGCCAGATGCAATGAGACTACAGAACTTAATGTAAAACTGGCCCATCAAACATGCCTACTTTCCAAGACCCCAGACTCCAGTCCATCTCCATAAGCACCTCCAGAAGGCAGCGTCCTGGCCATGGGAGCGTGCCAGTTCCTATTCTACCCTTAGGTGCTCCTGAGAGCAGGAATCTTTAAAGAGCAGTGCATAACACTCAAGTGATAAAAAAAAAAAAAAAAACAAAAAAAAAAAAAACAGTGATCTGCTGGGTGGGGAAAAAAGTACCAGAACTTCTTCATACCTATTTTTACATCTTCCCTTGAAAATAATTTTATATGCTCTAGAATAGACATGATATGTTAGTGTACCGACACACGAACTCATATATTTAGTATGTAAATCAAAAAAATACAATCACGTGCCTCATGACATTTCAGTCAACAAGGGACTGCATATACAATTACAGGCCCATATGATTGTAATGGAGCTGAAAAATTTCTGTGGCCTGCTGATGTCTTGGATGTCTTGATGATCCTGACCCTCTGTAGGCCTGGGCTAATGTGCACATTAACAAGAAAGTTTAAAAAAAATAAAAATAGAAAAAAGCTTGTAGAATGAGGATGTAAAAAAAGAAAATATTTTTGTTCGGCTGTACAATGTATATTTTAAGCTAAGTGTTATTACAAAACAGTCAAAATGTCAAAAAACTTAAGTTTATAAAGTAAAAAAAATGACAGTATGCTAAGGTCAATTTATTACTGAAGAAAGAAAAATGTTTTTCTATAAATTTAGTGTAACCTAAGTGCACAGTGCTTATAATTCAATCCTTCATTTCCTCTTCCAGGATAAGTCTTTTATTTGGATAATTGCTTTTTAAAAATCCACTATGTTTAGGGCAATATACCCTCTGCCTGACAGAACAAGTCATCAGAACACAGCAGTCCAACATCCATATGAGGTATATAAAGACATATGGAAGGATTATTTCCCTCAGGAGCTCCCTTCCATCTATTCTATTTGGAAATAGTCTCTCCTATTTCTGCTACCTTAATTTAGTCTCTTTATCACTTGCCTAGGTTACTTCTGTGACCTTTTAAATAGCTTCTGTACCTTCACTTTAAATACCATTCAAACAGTGGTGGGCTGGAGGTGACTCATAGCACACCCAGGGTCAGATTGCTAAATATACAAGAACTTTTGGAAGCTTACACTCAGAAATGGGAGTATTTACATAACGAAAACTGGCAGCCAGGCACGGTGGCTCACACCTGTCATCCCAGCACTTTGGGAGGCCAAGGTGGGCAGATCACGAGGTCAGGAGATGGAGACTATCCTGGCTAACATGGTGAAACCCCATCTCTACTAAAAATAGAAAAAAATTAGCCAGGTGTGGTGGCGGGTGCCTGTAATCCCAGCTACTTGGGAGGCTGAGGCAGGAGAATGGCGTGAACCGGGAGGCGGAGCTTGCAGTGAGCCGAGATCATGCCACTGCACTCCAGCCTGGGCGACAGAACAAGACTCAGTCTCAAAAAAAAAAAAAAAACAAGAAAATTGGTAAGAACTACAAATCAGGGCTTAATTTCAATATCAACTGTTAGAGTATCCAAGCAAGAATTATGAAAAAAATAGATACTGAATAAAAGTGGCAATGAGGTATGTGTGTTTACAGTCATAAATGGCTGTTTTTCACATTTGTTTATGGTTACTATTTTTGTCTTTTTTCCATCAATTTTCCTACTTCTATAATTAACATTAATACTCATATACAAAATTTTCCTGAAAGTTTAGTATAAAGAAACTGTTCTTGGGAAGTACAGGAACAGAAATCTCATACACCTAAAGATTATATCTCTTTTGTTATAATATTAGTAGCTTTTTTGAATTACTTGAAAATGTATAATTCCTTTTTCAAATTAAAGAATGTGTTTTTAGTATACCCTGTAGATTTTGCGAAGATTAAAATTGAGTCCTACTTAAGAAAATTGAAAATTAAAAATAGCAAAATTGTGAGATATTTCTACACCAAAATTATTACCTTTCTTTCTGAATTTTCCTTAAAAATAGTCCCCCAAGGGCCTTTATCCATTAATTCTTTCATTCATACATACCTCAGAGGTGAATTGAGCCCTACTGTGACATTTACCCCCATTTCTCAGGACCATCCAGCTATAAACAATTTTTATCTACTTCTGGTCAGTGTGATTGAAAAATGTGAAAATATTAGTACTAAATGCCAATTGAAGGTTTCTCTGTTTCTCTTCAAAGTAGAGCATTTCTGAATAAAGGCTATTGTACTAGTCAATCTTTCAAAGCTCCATTTACAATATAATTAAATTCTAGGTGAGTCGTTGAAAATATCTGATGTGTGTATATTTTGTGAAATTTTTCCTCTACTGAGTTTAAATGTCACTTGGCTATAATGATAGTTCCTTGATCCACTGACACTTCCATCCTTGCGGATCACTATTTCTTATCTTCTCTATCTACCTATCTCCTACTCTGATGACTTTGTATTTCACTGACGCAAAAAGCCAGCAGAAGGCAACTTACACAGGCTTCCTGGACCACACTGACCCTCTTGCCTGCACCTTGCCCATTGTTCCTTTTTTCCTCTTACTGTGGATGAAATGCTCCTGCTCCTAAGTAGGCCAACCCTTGGGAAACAGGTCATCACCTCTTAAGTTCTGAAGGATATTGCTCCACTAATTCTCCCTTTTCTGATTTCAATACGATGTTTTCTTTTTCCTTTATTCAACAGATACTATAATTTCTCAGTGCTTTATAGTGTGCTTATGCACACACGCGCACACACACACACACACACACAGACGCACAGCTGCTGCCTAGATCTCATTTTCTCTTAGCACAAAAATTCCTTAATGGAGTTGTGTGGAATGATTTTTCTAGTTTTTCTCCTCGCATTCTTTCTCAAACCTGCTTCCACCAGATGTCTGTTCCTTCTCTTTGGGAAGATAACACCTCTATCCTATAGGACCGCCCATCAGAACCTAGAGCCCAGGAGATCTACATTTATGTGAGAGGTACACAGACATATAGAAGGGTTATTGCCTTCTATCACTAATGAGCTGTTTTTTTATCTTTTCCCTTTTCCCCTTGTCTCCCATTCCTGTTGCCTTAGTCTAGGCTCTTCTTTGTTCCTTAAACTATTGCAAGAGACATCTAAATGATCACTGAGCCGCAACTTTTATGACTACTCTTGCCCATCCTCCACACTGCTGTCAGCAATAACTTTATTAAAAACTTTGGTGAAAACTTTCCAATAGATCTTCACTTCCTACAACTCAAAATATAAACATTAGCCTGATGTAACATAGAGCAATTGCGCCAAGCCCTGTAACACACGGCCTTGAAATAACACAGAAGAGATAGAGCTGGTTTGGAATATTTTTCAGATAATTTATTGAGCTCTTGATGTCTGCTTATCTTATAGGACCAGGCTGTGCCTAACTGAGAGAAGAAACCTTCTAGATAATTATTAAATAGATACTTCTTTCAAAACATGAATCAAATTGTGTCACTCTCCTTGCTTAAAACTCTACATTGTTTCTTCATGGAGAAAAATGAAAAATTCTTAGCAAGTATATTTAAGCTTCTACATGATCTATGTTCTGAGTATATCTTTAAACCATTCTCCCTTGCTCATTTGTGCTCATGCCACAAACCATTTGTGATCTCAGGGGTCTCACACATGTTATTCTCTCTGCCTGGGACACATTTTAGCTTCAGTTTTGTACCATGAGTGTTTTCTCCTCCGTGGTTTAAAAGTGTACATGTAAGAAGCAGCAGCTTTTCCTGGAGGAGGAGAGAATTTTGATTTAGATTATTCCATCCATAACAGTTGGCAGCAGTCAGTCTAAAGTGAGGACTAAAAATGAAATCCTAATCTCCACAACTGACTGAATGGACCCAAGGGGACCCCAGAAAAACCTTAAAAACTGGGCTCCCAGCCATGACAGTACAGGAGGCTCAACATGCCTCATTATACCGCCTCCCTTTTGTGGTGCAGACACAATAACTGATCAGCATTAATGTCAAAATAGAGATCATAAGAATGACATAATGGGTTCTTTGTAGCAATAAGATATCAAATTGGATAAGACACCTAAGCAATAAGATATTTATGTCCTGTTTTTAATTGGGTATCTTATTGCTACAGAGTCATGCCAGGCAAGGGTTAAGTGACACACCCCTACACCTAAAGAATAACTCTGTTCTGTCATGAGGTTTTTTTTTCCTCTAGCAGCTAAACAAGCACTGACCTCAAGACAAGCAATATTCAAACAATTGCATTTCACCAGCCAACAGACACTGAATAACTGACCCCTCTGTTCCACAAGCCATAACCTCTGCTTTGATTGGACAAGAGACTGATTTCAGTAACTTTCTTCTGATAAGAGATCACTGACCATAGACTGGCTCTGGCCAGTTTACAGAGGCTCTGTGCTTGAGTGCCTTTATATCCCTGCTTCACCTTTTGACTTATGGGCCTAACTGTAATGCATTTAAATGCAAAGTGAATATGGAATGCATGTAGCATGCATGTATGCTCATCATTCATGTGACCTCTTTTATGATTATTCACAGCTCTTCCTATAACCTGTTAAATATGTAATCTTTAGCCAACCCGTGCAACATAAAGTTCCTGCCCCAACACTTCCTCCTTCAAAGTGCCTGCTAACAGTCTTTGCTAAAGGCTAGGCTTCCCAGCCTGTCAGAATGGCCGGCCACCTTATAGGCTGCAACCTTTTATAAAAAATAAAGTCTCCTTTCTTAATTTATACATTTGTGATTCTCATGTTGACAAAAGTGATGCTTGGACACTTTGTACCTCAGGTACCCGATCTGATGGTTGACCTGCTCCAAACACAGATTCTACAATGTGCCCCACTCCCAATCCCCTGCCAGGTGGAAAATCAGAAACAGAACTCAAATTCAAGATCTCAGGACAAAAAAATTGACACCTCATCCAGTTTTTTTGGTGACCAAAAACAAAGTCTGTCCAAACAGGATGCCAGCCTGGTACATTCACTGGTCTGTGAGACCAGCTTAAATACCAGGCTTATAAAACACTGGATATGTTTTATCTTGTGATTCTCCTTCTCATGACAAACAACACTTTAGATAGCACAATGCAAAATGAAAGCCCAAAAATAGAGCAAGAAGGGACAAAAGAGAATGGCCTGATTTCACCAAAGATGCCAAACAAATGAGACTCAGTAGCAAAATCCAGATACCAAATTAAGAAACCAAGAAAATCGAAGAAAAAATAGTAGAGGAACTGAACACACACACATAAAGCATAATGCAGACTTGTGCTGACTTAGTCACATCAGCAAAGACCCAACAAGCCATGAAAAGCAAGGTGCAAGGAGTCTCCACGGGAACCACTGGTTGAAAGATGGGGTCTGCAGTAATAGGCGGTATAGACCAAATCTTGCTGTTGGTCTAGGGAACCTGTTCACATAAAGATAACCCAAATGAGAATAACCAGAACCTATTTTTTCAGAGTTTGCATAGCAAGGGAGTCAGCCATCATTACTTGCATCTGACAGAGACTCAAAGGCAAAAAGGAAAATGAAAAAACTTTAATGGTGAAAAAAAGAAAAGGCTTCTGGTTTGCTCTGATTGGGGGTTGTTGGCTGACTAGAAATGGGGCAACTTATGTGATTGGTTTGAGGATCTATTTGGTTTTCTCTGGTTGGTTCTGGTTGGAGTGAGGCAAAATACTGGCAGTCACTGACCATTCTGGGCTGATGGCTGCAGAGGCTGTGGGTCAGAGTTCTACTTTCATACATGGTCTGGCCATTGTCTATTTGTACATTCACTCTCTGACACATATTCTATTATTATATCTTTGCCTCCTGATTTTTAAGTTTTAAATCTTCAGAAAATGTGTCTATTTAATGAGTTATTATTAAAGTTTTTAAATTATTTTTTCTGTCATGTACAAACATTATAAGAGAAAAATTCTCCATATTGTATGCCTCCTTAATATATTTACTATTTCCATTGATAATCTTAGTAACAGAATGAAAATGATATAGTAGATTCAAATTCCTACTTAGCCACTTAGAAGCATAATAATTTTCAAGCTTCTTAACTGCTAGGGTTTGAATGCATCTCCTCCAAAGTTTATGTTGAAACTCACTTCCCAACCCAGCAGTATTAAGAGGGGCCTTTTGGAGGTGATTAGGCTATGAAGGCTCTGCCCTCATGGATGAGATTACTGCCTTATAGAAGGTCTGGAGATAACTATCTTGGCCCTTTTAACTCTTTCTTTCTGTCTGTCATGTGAGGATACAGTATTTGTCCCCTCTAGAGGACACAGTGTTTAAGACATCATCTTGAAAGCAGACACTGGGCTCTCAGCAGACACCAAAACTGCTGGCACCTTGATCTTGGAATTCCCAGCCTCTAGAACTGTAAGAAATAAATTTCTATTGTTTATAAATTATCCAGTCTCAAGGAATTTTGTCATAGCAGCACAAACAGACTAAGACATTAACCATAGCTCCATTTCGTTCGATGTAATATAAAGATGATGTACTGGTCACTTCCCAGGACCGACCTCATAAAGGAGAACCTTTTCTCCTTTACCCTATGTGTATACTACTTCAGAATCCTTGGAACCATGTATCTTTGATATAAATTGCACTCATTGGCTACACATTTGATTCCTTCAAATCTTTTAAGTGTATCTCTATGATTGAATTCATGACACTCATTTGACATTAGGGTTAAAATTTAAAGGTAAGGTTTTATGGAATGAGACAGAGCCAGAAGAGGACAGGAGGAGTGATTCTGCTGAATACCTTTTTTTCTTTACATCTAGACTGCGTACTTTTCTTCTTTCTTATAAGTTTCCCTTGGAGATGTGCTGCCACACTCTCTGAAAACACAGCTGGGACATGGGTTGCTGAATGGGCTCTCAATCATTAATCATCCCCTTTACCTTCAAGAAACATATGCGGAAGAGCCCAGAGGGAAGTGGGAAGAGAATATGCTCCGGAACTGAGGTAGCTGCTATTAAAGTGGGATAAGGAGACTCTTAAAAAAACAATTGTTAAGTGCAAGATGCCAGGGGAAGCTTACTGGGACGAGACTTTCAGGGTCCTGGCGCCCTGGTCGGCACGGGCCAGATCCTGTGCAAGCCTGCTTGTCCACAGGCACCGCCTTCCTTTGAACGCCTCAGCATCTGCTCTACCTCCAGACCTAGCAAAGACCACCACCGCTAGAGCCGGCGTGCTTGGTCTGCGCATGCGCGCTGGGTCTGCGCCCACCAAAAGGACGCGCGCATGGGCAAACCTGCCATTTACGGAGTTGGGCGTGGCGTCCTTGCCCGCCTCAGAAGTCATGATTTGTAAGCAGCAGGGCTTTGCTGCGGCGGGGCCACGGCGAGACCTGCTTCTTTGACCCAGCGCTAGTGTAAGGGTTCCTGCGAAAAGCAGAGAAGAGAGTTGTGCGTCTGGACTTGTCCGCGGTATCCTGAACCCTCTCCCCAGAGAGATGAAATGGTTTGTTCTCCCGTAGAATAAAGGGACAGTGGCCCCCGGCTCCTCTGGGGCTAGAGGAGAGGCCTCTCAGGGCGCTGGCTAGAGACGAGGGATGGGAACCGTGCCCCATGACAGAGCTCGGGAAAATCCACCGGGGTGCCGCGTGGGAAACGTGGCGAAAGTGCAGCACAGTGTTTTGATGAGGATCTATGGGCTCAACCTAGGAGTCAAAAAGGACAGGTAACAGGACGGCGCAGACAGGCCCCGTGGAGCTGAGCCCAGGACGGATTCTAGGAGAGGCGCACTCCGACCTCGACTCCATCGCTGCGGAGCTGGTCAAGTCCTCAAGTTCTGAGAGGCCTGTTCTGTCCTTCTAAGGCTCCTTCAGTCAGGGACACCGAAGCACCTAAAACAGTAACTGCACACAGAGTCCAGGCCAAGTGTGCCTGTCAGTCTTTCATGAATCAAATCTTTTAAAACAGCACAAGGGATTGGGGGCGGGTGGGGAACAGGGGGTTCGGGGGACAACACACCTTTATCTGGATCCTTGTCTTTTCACAACTCACCATTATAGGCCACTTGATTGACAACTTTAAAGTGGTTTCATTAAATATAAATACCAATAGAAATAAAGTATATACACCATCATTTCCATTTTAGTAGACACATTTCTGATGATCAAATATTAGCATATTGTAGAAAAGTATGTAATAAGAGAAAAAACTCCCATAACATATTCACTTATGAATTAAGAATATTTTTGATGAAGTCAACATACTTTTTTGTTTTTTTGTTTGTTTTGAGACTGAGCCTCACTCTGTCGCCAGGCTGGGGTGCAGTGGTGCGATCTCGTCTCACTGCAACCTCCAACTCCTGGGTTCAAGGCTGACGTTCGAGTGCCTCAGCCTCCCGAGTAGCTGGGATTACATGTAAGCCCCATCACACCCAATTAATTTTTGTATTTTAAATAGAGATGGGGTTTCACCATGTTGGCCAGGATGGTCTCGATCTCCTGACCTCGTGATCCGCCCGCCTCGGCCTCCCAAAGTGCTGGGATTGCAGGCGTGAGCCACCGTGCCCAGCCAATAGACAATTTTTAAAGCAGTTTTAAATTCACAGCAAAATTGAAAAGAAGATACAAAGATTTTGCATATCCTGCTTGGTCTCACACATGCATAGCCTACCCTATTATCACCCCAGCAGAGTTGTACATTTGTTAGTTGATTAACCTACATTGAGACATCACTATCACCCGAAAGCCCATAGTTTACATTAGGGTTCCTCTTGGTCTTGTACATTCTATGGGTTTGGACAAATGTGTAATGATGAGTCCCCCATTATTATAGTGTCATATAGAATAGTTTCACTGCCCTAAAAATTCTCTCTACTTTGCCCTTTAATCTCTCCCTCTCCAGCCACTGGCAACCACTGATCGTACTGTCTCCAGGCCTTTGCCTTTTCCCGAATGTCATATACTGCAGTTGGAATCATACATTATGGAACCTTTCAAACTGGCTTCTTTCACTTAGTAATATGCATTGAAGTTTTCTCCATGTCTGTATTAGGCCGTTCTTGCACTGCTATGAAGAAATACCTGAGACTAGGTTATTTTAAGAAAAGGGGTTTAATTGGCTCACAGTTCTACAGGATTTACAGGGAGCATACCAGCGTCTGCTTCTGGGGAGGCCTCAGGAAGCTTCCAGTCACGGCAGAAGGCAAAGGGGGAGTAGGCATATCACATGGCAAAAGCAGGAGCAAGAGAGAGAGAGAAGGGAGGTGCCACCCACTTTTAAACAACCAGGTCTCATGAGAACTCACTCACTGTCACCAGGATAGCACCAAGAGGATGGTGCTAAACCTTTCACGAGAAATCCACCCTCATGATCTAATAACCTCCCAGCAGGCCCCCCCTCCAGTACTGGGGATTACAATTCGACATGAGATTTGGGCAGGGACAAATATCCAAACTGTATCACTAGCCATGTTTTCATGGCTTGAGAGCTCATTTCTTTTTAGTAGTCAATAATATTTCATTATCTGGATGTGCCACAGCTTAAGTATACACTCGTGTCAATGCACATTTTGGTTGCTTCCAAGTTTTGGCAATTGTGAATAAGGCTGCTATAGAAACCTGTGTGCATGAAATTATAAACCACAAACAATAGACTACCTAATAAGCAATGTTAGGATTTACAACATTTTGTGAAAACTGCAGAACTTTGAAATGATAAAACCTATGTTAAAATAGACAATGGGTTTTATTTGGGATTCTAGAATAGTTTCAGTAATAAAGCTCAAGAGCAAATTCTTCTGTTACTTCACTATCTCACAAAATAGTAGTAAATGTTACCTCGTTAAATCCTTGCAACAACTGTTGTAAGTTAAGAAGGACAGATAAGATCCACACCTGATGGAAGACATTGAGCCTAAGAGAAAGTACTTAACCAAGAAAATACAGCTACGTGTAACAGCCAGGGCAAGAACTACTAAACTCTTTTGACTTCAGGACTCTTTCCATCACATCATGCCACCTCCAGTTAAAGAGTTGTACCAACCTCAATTTAGGATTACTCAGCCATAATTTTTCAATTACATACTAATATAAAACTCATACAGCTCAGAAATTTGAAGTGGATAGATATATACTAATTTTATATAATTATTAATATAGTTATGAGCTGCTATCTCTTCTACGGTCAGAAATGAGTATTATGTAATATGGTTGCTACTTTATATTAATATCAGTATTAAAATAGTAATGTTACTTATCACACTTTTTGTTTACTTAGCAATCACCAAGTAATTTCTCAGGAAAAATAAGAGACCCAAATGTTCTTTTTCTCAGATACAGCAATCCGGTTAAAACTTCTGATAGATTTTCTTTTGGTAGTCCTGTTAAAGAGGAAAGTAAGATTATGAAAGTTTTGACAATGAAAGAGCATTTTAAAAATCATTATGTAAATTTATTAGTTTATCTGAAAATTCAAGAATTTTGGATTATTTAAGAAGTGATTTGTCAAATTATGAAATAATATCTGAAGCCAGACTTTCTTTTGTAATGGTTGAAGTGAGTATGCTTGGAAGATGGTACAACTTTTGTGCTTTTTGAGGGTATTTTTTAGTTTTCAATTAACATTATAATTACATATATTTATGGGGTACAGTGTGATGTTTTGATGCATGTATTTATGTGGAATGCTCAAATCAGAGTAATTAACATATCTGCCACCACAAATATTATCATTTATTTCTGGTGAGAACATTTAAAATCTTCTTTTAGCCATTTTGAAGTATAAAATACATTATTATTAACTATGGTCATCATACTGTGTAAAAGATTACCAGAATTTATTCCTCCTGTCCAACTGGAACTTTATACACTGACCAACATCTCCCCTTTTTCTCTCTACCTCCCAACCACCATGAGCATTTGGTAAGCACTATTCACCCTCTACTTCTGTGAGTTCCAATTTTTTACATGCCACTTATATGTGAGATCATACAATATTTGTCCCTTTGTGCCTAGCTTATCTCACTTAGCAAATGCCCTCTAGGTTGTTGCAAATGACATTTAATTTTTTAAACTATTTGTTATATTTATAAATAGTTTAAAATTATATTTATATTTATAAATTATATTTATATTTCTAAATAGTTGTAAAAATTAATTTCCAGTGTTGTTTCCTGCTTTTTGAAGCCTGGATAGTATTCCGTTGTGTATATATACCACATTTAGGAGAAAGTTTTAAGTTCTAAAGTTCACTATGTTCAAGAAGCCCATACAGTACCGTTATATAAGTAAAAAGCAAATTAAGTATAATATTTGTTTTTACTTAAATTAAGTAAATTATTTTAAGTACATATATACTTTAAAATAATTAAGTATATTATTTGTTTCTCTATACTTATAACATTGGATTTGTTACAAAATGGATCTACTGCTTTTACAATTGAATTATTACTAATAACCATTAAATATGATATAATGATTTATTCATAATAAAAATGCTTGTCTATTTAAACTAGGACTGTAAACAAACAGAAGACAATATAAACTACAATAAGAAATGTCAGATTTAAAAAAAAAAGACATGTCAGGTTTAGACAGTGTACACTAATACCAAATTATATTTTCAGTTTACTCTTGTGGATTCTTATAGAAATTAAAAGCATTTTTTTACTGAAAATCACAAGTTATTTTACACATGGTTGTATTAACAGTCTACCAATATCCTTTCCCTTTCATAAGTTGAAAGGAATGATATATGTTGACTCCCATTAGAACAAAATACTTTTATTTCATCTGTTGGCTAATTGTCATGATTTACTAATTTTGTTACAACAAAGATACTTTATTGGCATTAGCCAGAAGATTTGCATTTGTGTAATAAACATACGAAGAGACCATCGCTGGACTCTACTCAAAGTTTTAATAGATGTACAAAAATGCATCACAAAAACAAAAATATAATAGTACAGTGAAAATTGTTTCCCTTTAGATGTGGTGACTTTTGTAGTGCATGACCTGAACAACTGCATGAGGCCACCATGAGTTTAGTCTACATTTAGTGAAACTTCTATGAGTCAGGCATTTTGCTAGATGCCAGAAATGCAAACATGAAATAGGTGTAGTTCTGATCTTCAAGGTACGCATACAGAACAGTTAGTTTTAATGGTTTTTCAAAAATCTTTTCTAAGGAAAATATTAATTTCATTCACTTATTCATTCAACAAGTAATTATTGAGTATCTTTCAGGGGTACTAGGGTATGCCCTAATATTGGGAAATAAAACATATTTTCTTACCTAAATATACTTTTAAAATTACTTTATATGTTACATATGCTTCTACTTTGAGGGTGGTATCTATGGTCCCTTACTTAAATCTTTAATTATATTCAATTTTCAAGGCAGCTAAGTTTTGTTACAATATACCATAATAGACTAATCAGCAAATAGCTTTTTAAATAGTTTAAAAAATTAAATGCCAATTTAATGGATTGTAGCCATTCGAGTTTGTTTGTTTGTTTTTTGGCATAGGTCTTGTCATAATGCTTGATAAAGCATGATTATGGAAAGGGTTAGAAAAGTGACATCCTATGATGCTAACTCTTTGAACCATCATGCTATAAGAAGTAGTCCAGACAGCTTCTCTGCCACCTAGAAGAGAGAATCCCAGGAGATCACCACTTAAAACAAGAATCACAAACACTTTATTAGAAATAGAGTTCAGGGCTGGGTGTGGTGGCTCACACCTGTAATCCCAGCAGTTTGGGAGGCCAAGGCAGGCGGATGACCTGAGGTCAGGAGTTTGAGACCAGTCTGGCCAACATGACAAAGCCCCATCTCTACTAAAAATGCAAAAATTAGCTGGGCATGGTGGTGCATGTCTGTAATCCCAGCTACTCGGGAGGCTGAGGCAGGAGAATCGCTTGAACCCTGGAGGCAGAGGTTTCAGTGAGCTGAGATCTCGCCATTGCACTCCAGCCTGGGCGACAAGAGCAGGACTCCATCTCAAAAAAAAAAAAAAAAAAAAGAGAGAGACAGTTTTGCTTACATGAGATGAACAAACTTTTATCCCACTGGAGAAAGGGACAACTGATGACACACTCTGGAAGCTTGAACATGTTGATATGAGTTGCATCTCCAGATGGTACCACTCTGGCACATGCCTCCACTTTCTCAGTGGTTCCTTTTCAACTTAATTCACGGAGTATAACCTCCAAGTCGTTTAGAATAGATGAATTCTTAACATGGAACTTTTTCATTTATTCTTTCCAAGAGAACAGAAATGGCCACGTTTGCAGGATTCAGTCAAAGGATAGATAAAATGGCTAGGGCTAAACGAATTTATTAGCATCTTCCTGAGAAGAAGAATAGGGAGAATAAGTAAGTACATTGGTCTCTCTTGCACATATCTCCCCTGGCAGCTTGAAAATTTTTGCAAGGGTCGTTATCTCTTACCTGTTTTCTATCATCTGCTATCTTGCAAAATACAGTGCCTCTAGGCCTTACAATGGATGCTTTGTGCTATACTCAATGGTGTCTACCAATATTCCCTCATTGGACTAAAGAATTAAAGAGCAAAATAAGTATGCTCTCTGACCCTACTGGAATAAACTCAGAAACATCATGCTATTTAAATTTGTCATTCTCCAAGTGTGACACCAATTCTGTTCATGATGATATTTTCTGTTAGTTTGATAGGGTCAAGTTAGGATTATGATAACTGTAATTCACTTTTAGGTATCAAATTTTCATAAATCACATTCTCCCTTGCATATGATGATGTGCCACGTGAGATATTTTAATGCATTAATTGCCTACCAAGAGTATAATGAATATTCATTCTGGATATTGTTCAATTATGTTCCAAAGGGGTACTTTGTAGCAAAGCCTCAGAACATTATATTTTCAATGTTATTATATATTTGTTTATTGTTTAATTGAATTCCTTATACTTTTTAGTAATGGATGAGAATTCTGAAGAATAGTCTTTACGCTGGTAGAATTTTATGATTCTTTTATTATCTTTTAAATAAGAGAGTTGGGAGAGATGGAACTAATATTTATTCAGTGTTTTACTCTGGGTTAGACACCATATTATGTGCTGAGCATATCTTCTCTGCATAATTATAATGACTCTGCAAGGTTGCCATGCTGTCATTTTCTTGTTTTTACTAATCACAAAACTATGGTTCAGAGAGATTAATTGGCCCAGGATCCTACAGTTAAAAAAAGTGGTTAAACCATAATTTAACTCCAAGCCTGCCAGGCTCCCAAACGCATTCTCTTTCCTCTCCCCATAGTGTTTTTACAGCAATACTATCAAAATATGGGATCCAATAAGATCCACTTGAAGAAGTCAGATTTAGTTGTGTTTTCACTCCAGTTGAAATTTATTTTTGAGAAGACTCATTAGGCCTAGAGTTTCTTCTAGTTGAAGTAATAATACTTGTTTTCCTCATCAAGTGTTTGAAGGCAGATCTCAGTTAACCATGGCCCCAGGACCATAGATGAGTTGATTGGCTTCTTTATCTTCATGAAATTGACATAAGCAGTACCTACTCTGGCAGGTCTGTTCTTCTAGAAATTACTTTACAATACATATTTTGCAACACAATGTACAATGCAAATATGCTATGCATATGGACTATGTTATACTAATTAGATTCAGCATCTATTTAGAGAGTGTTTCTAATTGGTTTCTCTACTTGGGAAAATAAGTCGAGGGTAAGAAGTCTTACTGTGAATTTAAATCAAATTAATTGTAGCCTTTTATATCAGTTATGCCTAATAAAATGTTATTTTCTTGAATTAATTAATTACAGCAGTAATCATGAATTCTCCCTGGTACCTCTCAGCTCCAAAGCTTATATATATATATATATATATATATATATATATATATATATATATATATATATATATATATAATATGTAATAATATATAACCTAAAAATTATATATAATATATGTAATATTATATATAAACATGTGTAATATATATAAAGCTAATATATATTAGTAATTATACATATATATAGAAAGAACTCTGTGTATCTAAAGAGAGATAACTTTTTCTCTATCTTCATTACTGGTTCTATACTTCGAATGAACAAAATCTTAGAAATATTGGTTATCTTGTAAGACGAATTTAAATTATCTACCCCAGACCAATATTACAAAGGGATTTCGCTATACTTCCTAAATATATTCATTAAGAGTGTGGTAAAAATTTTTCATCCAAATCCCAGAATGCATGCTCTCCTAAAATAATTCCAGAAGCAGTAGCTCTTGATAACCACAATCTAGAGCTTCCCAACCTCAGGAATTTTTGTTTTATTTTTATCCTTATACACATTTTATATCTCCTGCAGTATTATAAGCTGTTTGAGATCAGGAGTCATATTTGTAGATTTCCTGGAGCACCTAGAATAATGTCTAGCACATAAAAGGCATTAAAATGCAATGTTACAATAATGCAATCAGCATAATATGCCTAGCAATTAGTATTTTTGAATTTCTAAATGTATGGCATACATTTATAGTCCCTATTGATGTTTATGATGTGTAAGTTCAATTGAGTTATGTTAAAGAACTATAAATAAAAAAGAAGAACACAGTATGTTCTCTGATATCTTCTAATTGTAAGCTTATACAGGGAATTTTAGACCATAATTTCTCATTTTTTAACCCATGCCCATGTATCATTAAATATATATTTCAAACCGTATATAGAGAGAAGTATCAGATTTTATTAATTTATCTATTTTTGCACCTCTCTCTCTTCCTCTGTCCAGTAATCTACAGCTGTCAGGTAGTAGTAATAAGCATATTAAACTGCATGACAATTTATAGTTATAAAATTAAGCTATTAATATTTATTACAGTAAGTGTTTATAAATAATTGTAAAATAATATACACAAATTTAATTATAAATGTCTATGAAAAAAGTTTCTGATATGTCTTTTCATAGACTTTACTATTCTTATCTTTTTCTCTTACTTCCTTGGCTTAAGCTCATACCTAATTGGTTTGTCCTGTCACACCTCTGTCTCTACCACTCCTTCCTTCCTCTTTTTCACTCACTTCTCTTGCTCCTCTTTCTCTCTCTCTTCTTTTTCTTTGATAATTATTACAAGCAAAATGTCCACCTTACAGAATCCATTTATTCAATGTCTAACTCTTTCAGTTCATCTCCTTTTTTTCATCTCCATTGTCACTGTATTTATTTACAGCTTTCTACTTAGTAGCTATGTGTAAGTGCAGACACTCTCCCATTGCCCCCACAGTGTGTGTGTGTGCTATTTTTTTTTTTTCTTTTTCTCGGAAGGACCTGAACTTACACAATCATTTTTCTTTAGTTTTTTAAACAAACCAAAGCAACCTGTACCGTTTATAATTTCACTTATCTAAATGACCTGCTACTAATAATTACGTTTAACTAATTCTTTCCACAAAAGATCATTTGGATGGCATGAAACTGGCATTTCAATATATAATGAATTAGATTCATTTCCAAAAACTAATATTTGTCAATACTACTCTATATGGTAACCTAATGAATACCCTATTCTATGTATAGTCATAAAATAGGGGGAAGGAATGTAATCTTTTGTAGATTATGTACATTTAATCTCATTTAATCCACACCCTAGCCTTATAAAAATGAGTTAGTAATATACAGAATGTGGAATTGATCTCAAATATGTCTGACCCCAAACCTGTACTCTTTGAATTAGATCACATAGCATAGATGAATATTATTGTTATTTGGCCCAATTTGATACTCATTATTCTTAATATTTTTCCAGAACATACCAAAACTAAGTTTAACAAATGAATAACTACTGTTCAGCTGTATAGGAAAATAAAGTATTTTAAATCTGTCAGTTGAGTTCTGTAATAATTTGAAATTTAAATTTTGTATCCTTTTTTTTAAATTTTAGATTCAGGGGATACATGTGCATGTTTATTACATGGGTATATTGTGTAAAGGTGGAGATGGGGTTTCTAGTGTACCCATCACTCATAGAGTGAACATTACCCAATAGGTAATTTTTCAACCCTGAGCCTCCTCTTATACTCCCCCCATTGTAGTCCCAGGTGTCTATTATTTCCATTTTTGTGTCCATGTGTACACATTGTTTAGCTCCCACTGATAAGTGAGAAAATGTGATAGTTGATTTTCTCTTTCCAAGTTAGTTCACTTAGGATAATGGGCTGTAGCTCCATCCATGTTGCTGCAAAGGACATGATTTAATTCTTTTTTATGGCTTCATAGTATTCCATTATATATATATATAATATTATATATTATATATATTTAAATATTTTATATATTATATATCATGGAATGTGTGTATATATATACACACACATTATATATACACTCTATATATACACTATATACAATGTGTAAACAGTAAATGTTATTGTGTATATATACAAAAATGTTACATATGTGTGTATGTGTGTGTATATGTATATGTATATATGAAATATTTCCTTTATCAAATCAACCACTCATGGACACTTAGGTTGGTTCTATGACTTTGCTACTGTGAATCGTGCAATGATAAGCATACACATGCAGGTGTCTTGTTTATAGTTTCATATGCTTTATTTTTTACTGTAGTAAATGAAAAATATAGCCCCATCAAACCAGAAAATTGAATCTTGCTTGAGGACAATAATTAAAATTCTTCTTAAATCATCAAAGTCCAGGGCTTCCTTCAAATGTAAACTTTTCTTTTTTAAAAAAGTGTGTCCTTGCTATTTTTACATACCATCCGTTATCCCCATAATTACATATCACCCTTAAAATATGGCAAGAATCTCAGAAAAAAACATGGACATTCTTAGTAGCCTCTGTAAAATAATTTATTTTTAGGTGTAATAATTAACAGCAATATATCTATAGTATTAAAATTTACAAATCATTGTTAGAACTGAGCAATTCATAGGTAACCAATAAGGGAGGAAAGGAATTAGAAAGCAACCAAGAAAAACAGCTGTAAGAATATGGAGATATTCTTCATATGCAATAAGGTGGCAAATTTATTCAAAAAAGCATGATAAATATAAAGGATGAGTATATTATAATATACATGTGCACATATTAAATGTTTGAAATCACAAATTATGATTTATTTTCTCAACTAAACTGTTACTATAGAATCATAAAAAGGAAGAGAATCTTGATGATTTTTCCATTAGAGTATACCATGTTAGATCTGGCAGATGACTTTTCACTTTTTATAGTGCTCCAAAAATTGGTACACTTCCCTTTGCCTTTTGGAGACATCACTGACTTTGATATTCAGAGTGGTAAAATCATGATATAAAAATTCTTGCCCATTGAAACTCAATTATCCTATTTACTTGATTTTTAGTCCCTTTCTTCATTTTCCTTATTTAGATATTAATCTCTACTAAACAACCATTACTCTATTTAAAAAATTTAAGTCTACAGCTTGAATAATCACAGCTCTATTAATATTGGATATTAGGACCTCCCCGCAATTTTTACTCCTATATGATATCAGAAATATTAGTATCTTCTTCAAGGGAAATGGGAAAATTATGTGAGTTTTAAAAGGGGTTTATATTTCTTTCTTAAATTAGTATTCAGAGTGCCCCATAATTCTGTTCTCATATAAGCATTTCTCCTGTACAATTTAAAATCTGTTTTTTGAGATTAATTTTTTAAATGAGTCTTCTTAGAACATCTTGCTTTGGAGTTTGGGAGTTAAATCCTTTCATTAAATGTTTAAAAAGAATATATATTCTGATGTCTTGGGATAGAACGTTCTATAAATGGCAGTTAGGTCAAGATGGATGAAAGTATTGTTCATGTCTTCTATATCCCTACTGATTTAAGGCTACAGTTTTTAAAGACTGATAGGGAGGGACTTGACGCCAGAATCCTGAAGGATAAAGTAAGGTAAAAAAGTGTGTAGAAAGACAGTATAGATCAGTGCTTCTCAAACTTTAATGTGCATATGACTCACCTGGGGAATTTATTAAAATTCATATTCTGCATTTTATATCAGAGATAAAAAAGAATTCTGTTTGGGCATAGAAGTTGTTTTCACCTGCCTCTGAGATACTTGCTTCTATACTAGCACAATGGCAGCATTGTTGGTTGTTCACCCCATCCCCATTCTTCTCTTTTTCCTAACAGCAACCCTTTTTTTATTTGGAGTGGCAAAATGTCACTATAAAAGGAAAAAAATCCCTCACCTTCCTAGCCTCCCTTGTAGTTAGGGTAACCATATGACAAAGATCTGGCCAATGGCATTCAAGCAGTATATTTTGCCAGTATAGTCTGCTGGTTATAGTTGGGAAAGCATTTATTTTTCCCATATGATAATCTCACTTTCCTATTTCATCTTTCTTTATTCTAATTAGATGGAAAATATGAGTCACGAGATGACAGGCAAATTATTAGAACAAAAGGATGGCAAAGAGAAAATAGTGGCCTGGGTACTGGGTCACTTCTTTGAGTAGGTGCCCCAGTCTGAACTGCCTTGCTTTTCACTTTTCTGTTCTTTTCTCTCGAGATAAATGAACTCCTCCTGCCTGTTAAAGCCACTGGCAGTCAGAGTTTCCAGTGCTTATAGCCAAATACCATTCTAACTGATGTACTCACCAATAATAATCGTAACTTCCTTTCATATGACACTTCATGGTTTCTTCATCAGCATTATGTGTGACACAAGCAAAAACAAAAACAAAAAAACTGCCAATGTATCTATTTCAAGACATCCCCAGAATTCTGTTATTAAATAGCATTGATGAGGCAGTCAGCCAGAATGTTTAAGCTGTCCTAAATTACTGCCTCCTCTGTGTTTAGGGAGTCTGCTCTTGGTCTTACAAGTCCAAAAGCAGAATATTACAAATTCACATAGAAGTGATCAGGATCTAGAGACTTGATTTATGCCATGCAGATTCACAGGGCATTTGTTTATAAAATTTGTGCTGGAAGATTACTTGTGAACTAGGGCCAAACCCTTAATTATGACTAGGGAAACCCAGAAGATAAAGTTGCATTAAAAGCCTGCTTGATGGAAACAGAAACATACAAAAGATGGCCTTACAGGGAAAAAGTTAAAGTGTTACCACAAATGTATACATGAAATGACCAATAATTTTATTTTATATTTCAAATAACTAGAATTGTACAGAGTTTAATTTTACAGCTTTAGGGCAAGGATAAACTCATTTTTATTTTTGCAGTAAAAGGTATAAATATTGAAAATTATGTAGGTTTAAAACTTTACTATGATATAGACACATTCTCAAATTAATGAATTTTACTGAGCTTTTTATATCAAACTTACTGATATTTAATGCAAAATAATAAATATTGAGATTCTTGGTTGTACATTATAAAATGCATCACAGAGCGATTTATTGATGCAAAGGAACCGTTTTGGCTCATGTAAGTGAAAAGTCTAGGAGTCACATCTTTAGGCATCGCTGGATCCAGGTGCTGAAATGATGTCATCAGGCCCAAAATGTCTCTTTATTGCTTGATTCTGCTTTCCTGAGTTGGTATCAACTAGGAGACTCTCTCTACATGCTCCATGGCAGCTCCAGGCTCACACATACTTAGTATTAAGATTTTCTCCTCTTCTTTAATATAAAGGAAATTCAGCTAGATGATCTTTAGTTCAAAATTCTGTGATATATAAATAACTCGAAATAACTGCTAACAGTTAATGAAACATCTGATTCAGTAAAGATAATGGTTATTTACAATTGAGTATTGCATATTAAAAAGTTCATTAAAGGTTTATTTTTATAGTTATTTCAAATTTGCCTTTTGCATTTTTAGTAACTATGAGTGATACAAGCAAAACTACAACCTAGCACAAGTTGAAGTATCACAAATTTCAAGTCAATTGCTACCAAATTAGATTTTAATATAATTTAGATACTAATATTAGTGTATATGTGAAAAGTGTTTGCTAATGGGAAATTTAGCCCATTAATTGTCAATCAACAGTCAAGATTTAGAAACCTCCTTTTTTACAAGAAACAAGTAGAAACTGGGATGGGAGAATAACATTAGCAATTGCAAACCTCAGTTCGTTCCATTAAAATGTTGATTGCCTTGGGAATAGATGCTGTCACAGGAGAAAAAAGTGTAAATTCAAACACTTAAGGAATAAACTCTTATAAAGTACAATGTGATTTATCAATTAATTAAATTTGAATTCCATGGAATGAAATATAAGTCAACAAGTATGACAGTTTGCTTGTTTATTATGGAAGAATCATTAATAATTTGATAATTAAATGGTCCTGAATGGTTAGCCATGTTCTCCGCATTTAAATAAATAGTATAAACATAAATGAAAATATTAAAGTAATTTCAACGTGATAGAGACCACTTATTTTTAGTTCAGGTAGAGTTCCAACCTAATGGTAATTAAGATTCCAGATCCGAAAGATGTCATGTGAATATTGCTCTGAAAAACCAAAATTAAAGCTTTCTTAAAGATGCTGTGTAGGGCTGAGAGGTTTTTCACTTGTACCAGTGAGAGCTGCATCATTAATAGTCTTCAAATTCAGCAAGTTCTGCCTCTAGAGAGCACCAGAGCAGCTACTTATGATTTGTTTCATGACTCTGAAACTATTACTCCCTCCA
The DNA here is from genome assembly GCF_000001405.40 of Homo sapiens. Taxonomy (NCBI): domain Eukaryota; kingdom Metazoa; phylum Chordata; class Mammalia; order Primates; family Hominidae; genus Homo; species Homo sapiens. The sequence continues at coordinate 118,200,242 of NC_000007.14, read as the reverse complement.
ATGGCTCTACAAAGCCAATATAATGTGCACTTGGATACCTAGTCCCTCATGGCTACTGCACAATGCTTAGGTTGTTTATATTTGGAAGTCAGAAAAACATGTTGCTTGAAAGGCATTAAGATGCATGGGGTCACTTAAAGCTATTGACTATATTTTCATTCTCTGTTGGCACTTAGGGAAGGCATTTCCAGATAAATGTCTTCGGTATGGCTAGTCATTAGTTCTCTAATCTGTAATTTAGACACTGCTGTCAAACTAAAACATCCAGTCCTTTGTTAAGCTCTGTTTTTTATCACTTGCCCTAAGCTATGAGCAAAATGCCTACATTGACAATAACACATTTATTAAATTGCTATATCAACGTATTCACCACTCAGTCCAGCCTAGTGTTGCTATTAAACTTTAGATGTCTCTCCTATGGGCTCTCATATCACCCAATACATATCTTCACCATGTCAGTATTTACTTGCTGGGGAGGTGGCCTTACCCTACACTTGAATTTCTCAAAGCCTGTCTTAAAGACTAGTATCTTTTAAGTCTTTGGTTACATCTAAGTTCCCAGCACTTAGCAGTGTCTGGCATTTGGTAACTCTCATTGTTGAACAGATTGTTGCAAAGTTACTTGTTTTCCTTCCATGGCACCAACCTTAAAGGTTAGAATCACCATTCCAAAATTTCCTTTCCATAAATTTATGTACATCTTTTGAAACTCTGTACTTCCAGCCTTTATCATATCTGAAAATCTGACATGAAAATGTGTCAGCTCAGTTTAATTACTGCAATAGCTTCCTAACTTGAAACAATTTGCCTCCAGTTTCTCCTTCAGGTTACCAATTCTGTTCAATGCATCCAAATTCATGTTCCCTTAAACGTCTTAGATTTTTAATCCCCTAAAATCAACTTGCTGCTCTAAGAATAAAGTATTAACTTTGCACTAGTATTGAAGGCCATCTCTTCCCTTCTCACTAATTTTCAATGAAAATTTTATTTAGATAGTGAGTTGGGGGTCCCCAAGATCATACTGAGGTTCATTGATACACTTGGAATCATAGGACTCAGAAAAGCTGCTATGCTCCCAGTTGCAGATTATAGTGAGAGGATATAGATTAAAATCAGTAAATGGAAAAGGTGTGCAGGGTGAAAATCAGGAGAAACCAGGCACAAACTTCAAGATGTCCTCTCCCAGTGGAGCTGCACAGACAGCACCTAGTTCAGCAACGGTGTTTACCAACACATGCAAAGTATTGCTAATAAGCTCTCTTGAGCCTTGGTGTTCAGGGTTTTTATGAGGGTTCAGTCACATAAATATTCAGTTCCCTCATAACTGACCTTAGCTCCTGAATCTCGTTTCCCAGAGCTTAAACTGTAACAGCAAGGCCTATGGTCTCAGGCATACAAAAGCACTCTTAACAGGTAAGACATCCCAAGGACTCAAGAGATTTTCTTCCAGGAACTGGTGAAGGACAGGTCCTTTCTTTGCAATAAAAAGGATTTGAGCCTTTACTGTACAGAGAGGTCAGTCTACTCCTTATTACTCAACCACATCTTACTCCTTCTTGCCTTCCTGTCTGCCAATTTGAAGTTTTCCTAACCATCTATGGAAATCCTTACTATCCTTAGGGTCAAGCACAAGTCATCCATTTCCATGAAGATTCTCCTCCAATCTCTCCCATATTGCTATGCATAGAGGAAAATGCATCTTTGCCATGCATGGGAAGCTTTTATATATTGCCTTCAAACACCAGTTTACCGGGCATGTCATCTCTGTTACTGTCATGCAGTAAATACTCAGGAAATGAAGGATTACTAATGAGTTGTTAAGGTTTATTCTTCTTTCTTTAATGTAGAATTTCATTTGACCTAAAATTATCCTTCCAATCTTCATAGAATATTTGGTTTTAATATACAAAATTAAATATGCAAGCTCTTATCCATTCTTCATTTCAGATCTCTGGCATATTCTCATTTCTCATTTATCTTTTCACACCAAAGAAATCTAACCTTTTTATAACTTAATCACTTTGACTCTGGTTGCTCCTTTCTGTACTTTCTCTGCCTCGTGTTACTTTTAAAAATTTGATCAAATTTTTAATTTTAAAATATGTGATTAAAAACATCACATTACCTTTGCACCAGGGAAGCATACTTTCATTTACAATAAATTTCCAGTCCTGTCCAGAATTTTCATAGTTTTTCTTTTCACCAAAATTATCAGGGAATGCTATCAATTACTTCTTAGTACTTTTCCTAGGCCACAATAAATAATTTGGAGTCCATCATTCAATATCAGGATAATTGTTAGCTATCATTAATATTGACAAATTAGTATGTTCTAGGGAGTGCTAACTGCTTATCTTAATCTTGACAGTACAAGGAAGCAGGTACTCATTTTCATAGCAACTAAGACATGGTAAGATTAATATGCTAAGCTCTGCAAACTAAGTATGACTCCAGAGTCTGTGCCTTTCACTGCCATGCTACACTGGACTAGCCCAAGACCCTAATCAACAATTTCCTTTTAAAAATCATACCTCCTATGAGTGTGAATTGAAGTGTCTCTGTAATTAGCAGAATCACAATTAAAATAAAGCTTATCCAAGTCAGATTCAGAGAGCTATTTTTTAAAATAAAAATTTAAATTTTAAAATAAAAAATTTAACTTTTAACTATCATTGTGATCACTTTCAGGGCATTTATTTTAAAATGTGAAATAAGCCATAGTGCAGCATTTTCTGGCAACTTGTATCAGTTAATGAGTTTTCTAGAGTATGATTTATTATAATCATTTTGTTGATATGAGATGAAACATGATAGCTTGTGCATATTTTCATATATCAAACAGAAACATATTAGTTTCCTGCCTGTTCCCCACCCCAACACACACTAGTTTTTAATACAAGACACAATGTATTGTGTCCCTGGAGTTGTCTCCCCACCCACCCTGACTCCTGGATTCTTTTTAACGTATTTCAAATGTAATAACAATTTGGTACCATACTAATTATATGGCATTTGTAAAGCCAGTATATGTGGAAAAAAAAAAAAAACCTACATAATAGCAAAATATATGCAGTGTAATTGAACATTACCCTAAAGAGAAGAGAGAAAGCGTATCATATCCTTGTAGGGACATTGATGGGAATTTGATACCAGTTGTAGCAATGCTTGATCTGTGCCATTTCTAACAAGTAATACTCTGTAAAATAAAAGGACTTAGGCTGGGCGTGGTGGTTCATGCCTGTAATTCCAGCACTTTGGGACGCCGAAGTGGGCAGATCACGAGGTCAGGAGATCAAGACCATCCTGGCCAACATGGTGAAACCCCGTCTCTACTAAAACAAAAAAATTAGCCAGGTGTGGTGGCGCGTGCCTGTAGTCCCAGCTACTCGGGAGGCTAAGGCAGGGGAATCGCTTGAACCCAGGATGCGGAGGTTGTAGTGAGCCAAGATTGCACCACTGCACTCCAGCCTGGCGAAAGAGCAAGAAGTGTCTCAAAAATAAATAAATAAATAAATAAATAAATAAATAAATAAATAAATAAAAATTAAAGGACTTAAAAAAAAAGAAACATTAAAAAAAGAAGGAAATGAAAAGGCATAACAAAAAACTAACACAAAAATTGAGTTAAAAAAAAACTTAATGCCAAAACCAAGAAGAGGTCGGAAAGGTATCTGGAAGAACAATTCTCAGCTCCTTCATTCCCCAGATGATGCCAGTAAGTAGGAGATGGCATACTGTTAACTAATGAAAGAAATTCTCCTGGTGAAGTCCTATTTCGCCTTTATCCTTAGAATTATGCAACCTACAGACTTAGCAATCTTAAAAGAAAAAAAATAGATGGGGAAAATAATTGACTTGAATTATATTTATTTTAAAAAGACTGTTTCTAGTTGTTTTGAATGAATCCAGAACCCATAAATTATATCCCAGAATACTGAAAGAATCTGATGAAATAACACGACCTTCGACAGTAAATCTGAGTCAAGATGATTTGGTTGAGGTAGATACAGACAGATAGAAGCTTCACAAGCACAAGAATACTGTTCCCTGGCCTATCCACAGCTTTGAGCATACTGCCTGGCATGTATTAATGGCTTGATAAGTGTCCCTGACAAAATTCCAAAATCTATTTTTTTGAAGTTTGTGGACAGGTAGAAAAGAAAGCAATGGCCACTAGGAGGCAGCATCGATTTATGAAGACTAAGCACGTCTCATGGTTTCCCACTATACAGAGGAATGAAGATCACATCAAAGCATCTGACCAAATCTCACATCAATAATCCCTATAAACAGGATGGAGCATAAGTACTAGATATCTCACAATTAAATGAATTTGTCGCTAGTTTAATGGGAGCACTATGCTATTTAATGGGTATCAATCTAAATGGAGATAGCTTTACCTTATCAACATTTTTTTCAGTATTACATGTAGACAGAAAGGAATTTTTATCAAATTTGCCCATGACTTAAAACTGAGATTCACAGCCCAAGTTTTTTTAAACCCAAAATAAGTAAAATTTAATTTAATAAAATTAAATCTATATGAGGTAATGACTATACAAGTACAGAATGGAGAGGTTCCTCTTTACATGTGAAAGACCTTTGAGTTTACACTTTCAAACTCCTTGAGTCAAGAATATTCGCTGACATAGAAACAAATTTTATTGTACATTTCTTAATACTGTAAACTTACACGTACTTCCCACATAACCTCAATTCCTCATCTATTCTCTTGTAGAGATATGGTAGTCAGTGGGACAGACGCTTAAAAAGCTGACAAGACCTATATTTTTAACTTTTATACATTGGCCTTTGACTACCTGGAATAGTATTAAATAGCTGTTTACGGTTATGTCCTCAAAATCATACCAAATGTTTAAAATGCAGTCTAATGCTACTTTTTACAACCCAAGAAGATAGCTGTTATTATCCTTATCTTGAATAAGATCCTGTGTTTGAAATCAATTCTGTGGGGTTAGAGACTCATCCCAGCAGGTAAGTGCTAGGTCTTTTAATAATTCCACCACTTTCCTTCGCTGTTTAGTGACTATTCCTTTTTGCTCCATTACACAGCTGCTGAACCACAACGAGTAGGGCCCAAGAAAATTTTTAAAGCACCTTAGGTAATTGTAATGAAAACGGCCCACAATGCAGGTTTGGGAACTGCGTTAGATCATCTGAATATTTCTCATCAGGCTTCTGATAGATGCTTGATAGCAGATTTTAAGACTATACTTTCTGATAACAGGCAGTATTGTATAAAAAGCTGAAAGACCTAGTTGAATTTGAGCACTGTTACTTACTAGTGCTACCTCTTACAAGTCACTTGACCCTGCTGAGCCTCAATTTTCCCATATATAAAATGATCATTGTAAGCACTCAGCACCAGGCCTGGCACATGATATGCACTCAATAAATACTACCTACTAATTTTGAAGATGAAGGCCCAGAATATACTAACTATATTGTCAGTTAAGAGTTGCCTTACAACCCTGGCTACTAAATTGTCTGGTTCACATGCCATTACAAAGGGCCTTTACTTTCTCATTCCCATGATGAATCTCAGGTTACACGGCTGAGGAAAATGTTGACATCGTTATTCTGTATTTGCATTAAATACCATTTAAAAGTTGTTTTTATCATACTTATATCTCACATTATTACCTTAAAAATTCCGAAGGATGTTATAAAGTTGTTAAACAGGATGTTTAAGCAAATATTAGTAAAACTTTCTCTCTTGCTCTTCTGGGATCAAGATTTGTAATATTTAGCCAAAACTGTCAGCATGTGAGGCCAAGTTACCAAAGTGCTTTGACATAAAAGCAATGTTATTTTAAACTATTAGTTTAGATAGTATCTTGTCAGTTAAAAAAAAAAAAGTCCCTTTTGCAGTTAATTGCCCTTTCCAAATAACTTTAATGAAAATATCTTGCCAAGAAACATCTCTTTGATTCATTAAGCTGGGTTTAGATTGTGCCTGAGTCACAAAGCACAGAGGTAATTACAGGTTGAAATTGATTTGCGCCTCTTTATAAATAAGAACTGATTATAGAATAAATGTCTCATTAAATATAAAATATTGACACTGTATATTAATTATGTTACTACTCATGGTTGTGGCTCCCTTACAATTCTCATGCAAAAATAAATCCAATTTTAATCGGTTGTGAGAAAACAGTCCACCATGTGCTTGTATCCAGGAATAAAGAATTACATAGATTATCTGGCATATTGTCATCACATCCTCTGTAACTATTCATAAAAACAATAATTCACATTTTGGGAATGCTTTTTCCAACATCAATCAGGAAAATACAGCTTTATAAGGTGTTTCAGATTGCAAGAATACATCACATTAGAAACCCATTATCATGAGGGACAGGACTGGTTTTTATTTGTTTATGTGTAATGTGTTGATATGCCAAGTATTTTGAGAAAAGATCTGACTCTGGACTTCATTTGTACTGTTAGAATGCATTTTTCTTAGCAACTGAACAATGTGTATTCTTATTTAATTTTTGGAATTACTTTACCAATTCAAAATGCCATATACTACAATATTTCATTCACAGTCCCTAAATTTGCCTGTTTGCCTTACCCACTTTCCATCATTTTATTAATAAATTGATTATAAAACATTATACTACAAGTCAAGTACTTATGAATAGCCAATACTAGCTAACTTCTCTAATTCTCCCAGAGACAGCCCTTAACATCAACCAAATAATTCTAGAGAATAGTGCTTCTCCCCTTATAAGGCTGATTTGAGTGAAGATATTTTCCTCCCCCAAAAAGCTATTATGTTTAATAAGTATGAAGTTTAAAATATTTTAAAATATGAATGAAACCCACCTCTAAACTCTCTATAAGGATCTATTCCAGAATTTATACAAATTGTTCATTTTTTCTTATTGAACTTGTATTAAGCCAAGGGTCAGCAACTATGCCTTCAAGCCCAATCCAACCCCCACCTCCATTTTTATAAATGAAGTTTTACTGGAAGACAGCCACTATTCATTTATGTATTATCTATGGTTATTTGTAGGCCACAATAGCAGAGGTGAGTAGCTGTGACAGACCACATGGCCTTCAAAGCCTAAAAGACTATCTGGATCTTCATAGAAAAAGCTTGCCAACTACTATTTTTAAGCACTTTCATAAAAACAAAACAAATAAACTATTTAAATTTGTTTCAATTACAAGGATGTAAATATTTTTCTATGTTCTTCTCATCACAAAGACACACACTTGGGCCTATACATGAGTTGATCAGAAATTTTATGGACTAGCCTGAATATCTAAACACTACTTACATTGTTTCTTTCAATTATTTAAAAAACTGAGTTGACGTCTTCTGAAATCAGGTTTATGGATAATGAATCATGGAAAATTGCTGACAATAATAGCTAGCACTACTTCAATACAAACTTAGAGTTTATTTACTCACATTTATAAACTAACTTTAACATTAGAAATTCTCCAATTCTTAAAAATTAAAAATTGAAGACTACATGGAATCAATTTTTTTCAAATATACTGTCTGTAAAATTCAACATTAATGTGTTCATATTACTTTCATACCTAACCAATTGGGCATCAAGAGACTTTACTAATCATCTCTGTCAATTCTACCATTCCTAGTCATTCTTAATATTCAAGTTAGAATTTTGGGCCAATCTATCAAAACCTTGTTAGCATTTTTGCTTTTCTCAAGCAAACACATTTTTACCTACCCACACCTCTCAGTGCTAGGGAGCAACTTTTAGAAGCACTAGCAAACTACCACCAGTGGAATCGGATAAATGCCAATGATTCAGATAACTCCAGCAAAGATTTACCCTCCTGTGATTTTCCTAAACATCAGGGAAAGAAAACACATATATCCTGTATTACTGTTACTTGAATGCCTGATTTATATAGCACACTAATTTCTCTTTTCCACTAGTTTCCATAAATACTAAAGTATCAAAAAGTACTACTTTTTTCTAAAAGTTTTCAAAATGCCCATTATATTTTCACACTATTTAATAAAAAAAAGAAACCAAGCTACCAAACTTATATTTAGGCAAAAAAAAAGGTTTTTTTTTCAATAAAATGTAGAAATATTTTAATTTACATATTACAATGAATCAATAAGGAGTCAAAATCCAGTGACACACTCATAAAAACTCCATATATCATCCTCAGAATAATCAGTTTCTGTACAAAGATTTACAGATGTCCAAGTATGTAGTTTTTCCTCAGTGTGCTACAGAATTTAAAGGTTCTGCTCGAATATTCCCCAAATCAAGCGCAGAATCTGTTTCTTCATCGATTTCTCCAATGACTGCACTAAAAAAGTCAGAGTTAAAACAATCACATTTCTGAAATAAATTACATGTGTTTCAAAAATCTTACTAATCAAATCAAAGCACTGAGTACCATTCTTCCAAAAAATAAAACTGAGAGAGCACAGTAAAAAGAATTAAGGTAAAAAGCAAACAACATTGGCGTGAGTCAGTGAACTGCATATTTAAGTCACAAAACTCAAGAAATAATTTGAAGGCACATTATTACAGGAACCAATATTAAAGGACACATTGTACACAGTGATTGTATCATGAATCTTTAAAGGAAACAGACACACAAGGATAGACACAGTAAAAAACCCTCAAACTTCCAAACCATATTTCAATTCAATTCTAGGACTGTATTAAAAATAAATTTCACAAAATCACTCCTAAAATAATTAGCAAGTAAAAATATCAATCATTTGAGTAACTTTGATGAATTAAATCAATGATATAGACAACAGCGATTAGATTGTTTTCCTAAGTTTTCAGTTAAATCCAAAGCCAGTTCTTCATATACAAAAATAATAGTAGGAACAAGTACTTTGGTATCTAACAAATCATTTTTGACGTGATTGGCTCAGGTTAAAAGCTAGAAAATTTTTTCTTGTTCAACACTAACATAGTATCTATAACTTTAAATTCATTAATACCACGCTAGATAACCAACCCATAGCCCTCTAACTGGAAATATTCAATGTTATCACTCAGACCACAAGATGTCTATGAAATATTATTTTTAAAAAGTATTGGTTGGGTTTACATTTGTTTGGTTTTAATGAGAGTAAATTCTTTTTTTTTTTTTTTGAGATAGAGTTTCGCTCTTGTTGCACAGGCTGGAGTGCAGTGGCACGATCTTGACTCACTCCAACCTCTACTTACCAGGTTCAAGCGATTCTCATGCTTCAGCCTCCCGAGTAGCTGGGATTACAGGCGCATGCCACCACACCCGGCTAATTTTTGTATTTTTAGTAGAGACAGGGTTTCACCACGTTGGCTAGGCAGGTCTCGAACCTCTGACCTCTGGTAATTCGCCAGCCTCAGCCTCCCAAAGTGCTGGGACTACAGGTGTGAGCCACTGTGCCCGGCCAAATTCTAAAGACGAATACTAGTAATAAGGGATTTGCCAAATTTTGCTTTAAAGTATATAAAGTCTTAAATCATCTAATAAATGAAAAATATGAAACTCTGGCAGAATGAATTAAGTTTTCTCAAACTAAAGGCCTCAATTCCACTCTTAAATATTCTTAAATTTTAAATGATAATATTCAGTATCATTTAAAATCCCTATGGTAAGCAGGGAAATGCTGATACATTTTTAAAAACCAGCTCTCTGGAAAAAAAGCGGGAGACTGATTTGCTGCATTTACTAATATCCATTGTGCAAACACTCCCACCACGGCCAATTTCAAGCTACTAACAAGACATCAATTAACCAGCTTGTAAAATTCCTTAAAATATAACAATATGCTTTCATGGGCCAGTAGAAGCTGGCTCTAGCACAAGACTTTTTTCACTGAAGTTCAAGAAAAAAAAATTGTTTTAAGTAGGAGAAACCTTAAAATCAATTACTATGCACAGCTCCAATATAAACAGTGTTGTTCTGATCCAGAGACCTGGGCCCTATCTGCTCTGTCTCTCTCTCATTACTTACAGCTCACCTTGTAACTCCACCTAAAAGTCATCTCTAAAATATTTTATAAACTCTTGATTTTTGATTACAGATCAAATTATTTATTCATCTAAAGGTGATGCTAACATAAACAACTTAAATGAGTAAATTATTCCTGCACTTTTTAAGTTATTCCAGGGGACAGTTAGTCCCCTAGAATTTGTTAAATGTTCTAGCTTAAAATTGCTAATGTATCTTTTGCTTCTTTCCAACTATATTTTGATTCAGTGTAGTACTCACTAGAAAACTGATTTGGCATTCTTCTAGCCTCTATAACTATACTAATACTGGCCACATGTAACTATTAAAATTAATTACAATTAAATAAAATTTAAAATTCAGTTCCTCTGTCACATCAGCCACTTTTCTTTTTTTTTTCAAGATGGAGTTTCACTCTTTTTGCCCAGGCTGGAGTGCAAAGGCGCAACCTTGGCTCACTGCAACCTCCATCTACCAGGTTCAAGAAATTCTTCTGCCTCAGCCTCCCAAGTAGCTGGGATTACAGGCATGCACCACCACACCAGGCTAATTTTTCTATTTTAAGGAGAGACGGGGTTTCACTATGCTGGCCAGGCTGGTCTTGAACTCCTGGGCTCAGGTGATCCACCCACCTTGGCCTCTCAAAGTGCTGAGATTATAGGCATGAGCCACGGCACGTGAACCACATTAGCCACTTTTCTTTTTTATTTTTTGACACGGAGTTTTGCTCTTGTTGCCCAGGCTGGAATGCAGTGCTGCGATCTCGGCTCACTGCAACTTCCACCTCCCAGGCGAATTCTCCTGACTCAGCCTCCCGAGTAGCTGGGATTACAGGCTTGCGCCACCACGCCTGGCTAATTTTTATATTTTTAGTAAAGACGCGGTTTCACCACATTGGCCAAGTTGGTCTCGAACTCCTGACCTCAAGTGATCCACCCGCCTCCACCTCCCAAAGTGCTGGGATTACATGCTTGAACCACTGTGCCCGGCCTTTTTTTTTTTGAATTGGTGTCTCAATCTGTCACCCAGGCTGGAGTGCAGTAGGGTGATCTCGGCTCACTGCAACCTCTACCTCCTGGGTTCAAGTGATTCTCCCACCTCAGCCTCCCAAGTAGCTGGAACTACAGGCGCACGCCACCAAGCCTGGCTAATTTTTGTATTTTTAGTAGAGACAGTGTTTTGCCATGTTGGCGAGGCCGGTCTTGAACTCCTGACCTGATCCACTTGCCTCAGACTCCCAAAGTGCTGGGATTACAGGCACCATGCCTGGCCAATTACTCTTGAACTTTTATATCTGTCTGTCCCAAGTAAACTGAGGCCACAGGGACATCTTAAGTGTGTCAATGATACTAAAAAATTAAAAGAAAATGAATAACGAGTAAGTACTTATTTATAAATACACCTATGTTATTGAGCATGAATTAATATTGTTCAAATCAGAGATTTCAAAACATTTTTCAAACTTTGGCCTTGGACTCTAGAAATATGTTCCTCTAAAATTCTGGGTATTTGAAAGAACGTTTTAAGAAGTCTCTCTAATGAAGTATTTAATATAAGGCAGAGCCCTTTCTGGACTCTACCCAGGCTACTTAACTAGTAGAAAAATGGGCAAATCTCAGGTAAAAGTTTAATTTGTAGAGAGACAGCTTTGGTTGAAACCTAAAGAAGTGCTGACATAAAATGTATACATATGCCTTATTTTACACAAACATAAGAAAAGGTATATTTACGAAAGAAATGAATGCAAGATTCTATTAACTATGTATGGACAATACAGTAGGGTATTTTGGGGAAAGCCTCTTCTCCATAAAGTAAGGCAGTATCATTTATAATTTTAACAGATATATTTTACTTACACGTTGTCACCTCTTACAATGTATAATCCTAGTACCACTTGTTCTACCCCCTGTGAAGAGCTGAATACTCGTTCATGGCTTTCATCCAAAATCAAATTAATGGTCTGGTCAAAACCTTTCAGTGTTCCCTGTAAAGAAAATATTCAGGAGAAAAAGAGAAATATTCTGGTTTACCTGAAAGTGTAAATTTAACCTCACAGTCATTTTAGTTGCCAGGTATTCCAATACAAGTACCTATACGACGGCAAATAAAATGCCTTTTTTATAACCAACAGTATTCGAGGGTACACAATTTACCTCTTGGTTATTTGGCTGGGGTGGGGGGACCTGCACCACACATCTCACTCATATGTAGAGTTGACAGCAGTTGCAAAGGACACCTATGTACTAATGTGACTATCTCCAAGTAAGTAGCATAAAAGCTTATGTAGACCAGCAGCTAAAGGTATAAACTAAGACAAAGGATATTTAAGGGAAAATGATAGCCAAATATACATAAATAAGGAAGAACCATACATACCAACTACAGCAATGTAATAGTATCACTATATGCTATATGCCAGCACTAGGCAGTGTGCTAAACACACTGTACACATTTTCTCAACTCATCTCTACCCTTTGATTTAGTACTATAATTAGCCCCATTTCAAAGAAGAAACTGAGGCACAGAATGGTGTGTCTTATGATCACATGGGTAGTAAGTGGCAGAGCCAGGAGATGAACCACAAAAGGCTAGCTCCTGAGCCAGACCACTAAACCATAACATTCTATACTATTATACACAAGTAAATATAATTTGCCATTTTTCAGATTCAAATCAGTCCCATAAATATACTAAAAATTTAACTAGTAGTTACATGTAACACCTAATGAGTACATACTAGTTACCAGTGTTCTGTGTGTCTCACATGTATTGTTTAATGTGTATCATATGGATTTATTGTTTAATTCTCCCAGTAAGGTAGATACAAATGTGACTATACTAATTAAAACCAGAACTTGAAGGAAATAATCAGGGAGAGTTTTATGAAAGCTTAGTATTGAATAAAAGAAGACATGGGTCTAGCATAACAGAGTAACTCACATGGTATTCAAGTTTCTGAAGAAATATCAACTAACATTGGTTTTGATGGTTAAACCTCTCAAGTTCTTAAACTGTTTTATCTTCTGAAAGTCAAAATATATAAAATGAGAATGAAATAAAAAAGAGAATGAAATAAAATGAGAATGAAATCTGTAACTTGGAAGAGAAACAAAATATGGAGTATTTATTGAACTAGTTAGCAAATGGTTGTTATCATAAACATCCATTCATAACTTCTTGACTTCATTTTACACATTATCCCATCAAATAAATTATGTGTCAAAGAAATACAGAACTACTGAACTTTAGAACTTAAGATGCTTTTTATATCACTTTCATTCTTCTTTAAAATTAAAAATAATTTCTCAGTTTATTATCTACCCTGTCAACAAAAATAAGAAAATTTAAACTTAAGGTTTTCACCAAATTAAAAAAAAATGCAAATATCTATTAACAGCAATAGGCTTCCTGAAGTGTTGAAATTAAAATATGTCAAACTGTCCATATTTGAAAAAATACAATGTGAGGTGCCTAAGCAAACATCATTGCTTCCTTAAGAAAGAAGCCAGGCAACTGGCCTTGGCTTTGATGTCAAACCAAATTTAAATCCCAGTTTGGTTCTGTCACTTGCTACCCTTGTGACTCTGAGAAAGTGAGTCACCTTCTCTGAACTTGTTTCCTAATCTAGAATACAGGGGTACTTATTCTTCATAAGTTTTTACTGTACATTAAATAATGTAACATATATGCACCTGGCACATGATATAAATTTAGTAAAGGACAAAGCTAGAACTTTGACTAATAATAGTCACTAAGGACCCAGTGAAAAAAAATCACAAGGCTTAAAAAGAAAATGAACAAAAGCAAAACTGAAGAATGGAAAAATAAGGGATCAAATTATTTAAAGAAACTAGGTAAGGTTAGAAAATAGAGAAAGTTCAGTAGCCTTAAAATTCTTTTGAAAGCATTCAAAGTATGAATTGTAAGTGAAGAAATAACCAAGTACCCAAAAATCTTGAGATGAATTCCTCAGATCAAATTCCAAATACAAGTATCACTATAGGAACGTTTTATCTTAGTTATATGACATAAATTAGCAAGGGAGAAACAACTTCAAGGAACAAGCCAATTTTACATATATATGTGTATATATAGAGAGTCAATCATCATAATGTGTCCTACAGAAGACATGTCACACAACCTAAAAACAAAGAATATTAAGATTGTATACAAGCCTTAAATGTTATCTAGATATTAATAGTATCTAAATCATTAAAAAGTTACTAAGCATATGCAAAATTTCAAAAAAATTCTGATTCATGTGGTGCTGAATGGGGAAGGAAATAAAAATGGAAGAAGAAAAGTAAGTTTAATAAAGGTCTACAGACTAGGAGCTCTCTGAGGGCAGAATCTATTATTCTAGCTCCGAGAAACCTTGTAGGTAACACACAATGTTTATTAGTGAGGAAAACATGGATTGACAGCAAAGTGATAAAGAGCTGAATTATAATAAAATTGCACTACGGGTGTAATGTGCTGTCTAGGCATTAGAGATTAGAGGTTTCACATAAAACTTGCAACCAATAAACCTACAGGAAAGCAGAGAATGAAAATTCCAAAGACTTACCACAATCATTCTCCCATCTGATGTAATAACGGCAACAGTTCCTGATAACTGAATCAAAGAAAGTGTTTCTTAGGGAATGCAAATTGAAAACAGACTCTGGCAAGGGAATGATTTGAATTTTTAGAATAAATATGACAACTAGGTATAAGTATTCAACACAGCCACTAAGTTCACTACATAAAAACGTTAAAAGTTTCTTAGACGCCAAGGCAGGAGGATCACTTGAGGTGAGACCAGCTTGGGCAACACAGCGATACCCCCATCTCTATTACCCTGGCCTGGTGACCTATAGTCCCAGCTACTCAGGAGGCAGAGGCAGAGGCAGGAGGATTGCTTGGGCTCAGGAGTTCAAGGTTGCATTGAGCCATGATCAAGCCACTGCACTCCAGCCTGGGCAACAGAGTGAGACCCTCGACTCAAAAAAAGAAAAAAAAAAAAAAACTTAAAAAAAGCTTCTGTTTTTGTCTTTGTGATAATTACATGATTAAAAAAGGGAAAAAATAGAAAAAGAAAACCTCTTTCTGTATGTGATCGGTGTATCTTATCTCAAAATATCCTGGATTTTTGACACTTTTCTACTAGGAAGGTTACCAATCTATTATTTCAGGCAGGATATTTCGTTTCTTAGGCCTGTTTATTTCTAAAATGAAAAGTGGATGAGTACTAAATTAATCGATGTTGGACGATTTTCCAGCATGTTAAAAAACTGTCTTCCAGGACAGGCTTCTGTAATTCAAAAGTAAAGAAACTATATAAGCAGTGTCACAGGGTACCAATAACGCATCATTAAAAGCATTCGGTATTTAATTTTTGTCACCCAGTTTGTACCTGAGCTTAACGTAGTGTTTTTGTCCTAAGACTTTAAAACGGTAACACTTGTAAAGTCTATTTTAAGACTTCCCATGGGGTTGTTACTTGCTCCTCACTATAATCCATTACAACAGCAACCATTTTTTTTCATTCTACCAACAAGTTGGGACTTCAAGTGGTAAAGGGACAGAAACAGTCTGTGAACCATCGTTAAACTTTTTGCTATCCTCGAACGAGCAAATTATGTGAATAAAACAAGTACAAAGATTTGCAAAACTGTTGTCGCCGCCAGGACGACTGTTCATCTTATTCACAAACTTTAACACTTATGCCATAGGGAAATAGTAAGTAAGAATCAAGAGCGTACATTTTTTTTAAGACAGAAAAGTTCGGAATAATCACACTGGGTTTTTATTTGGGTTTTGCAGGCAAAATGGAAAGGACCCCTGGGCCCGCAGCAGCGGGAAGGCTCGAGGCGCCGCCGGCGAACTCTGGGTCGTTCCGGGGCCCTCATCTCCTCGCCCGCCCCCAGGATCCCGCCGAGGCCAGGCCTCCCAACCTCCCACCGATCCCCGACCGCGGCCTCTCCGCGACCCCGGCTCACGCCCGCGGCGGCCAGCTTGAGGATACGGTTGATGTAGTTCTCCAAAGCGGACGTCATGCTGTTCGGCCCGGCGGTTCCGGGTAACGCAGCGGTGCCGACAGCAAGCAGAACTGAAAGGGCGCGCCAGAACCCGGCAGCGGATAGCGCCTGCGGGTCGCAGCAAATATCGTGAGAGTTGCTGCTCCGCAGCCCTGTGAGTCGGAAATTGGGACGAACTGGCCAACCAAACAGAAGCCGCACAGCGGTGACGAGAGAGTGCGCGTGCGCAGTGTGTTTTCTCTGTAATTCTGGGCCGTGTTCCGGAAGCCTCGTAAGACAAAAGCGAACGAGAGGCGGAAAAAAGGAAGACGCTTCCTGAAGTTGGGGGTATGAGACAGAAGTTGGGGGTATGAGACAGAAGTTGGGGGAGAGTGGGTTTCCAATCCGAGTAAAAGGCAGTGTGGTGGAAGTTAACAAGAGAAAATGTTGAGACGAGGTAGAGCAGGCAGGAATAAACGAAGTAAGGTGTTTTTATTAGGAGTGAAGGAGAGAGACGAGTGCTGTTGTGTGAAACGTAGGTGCGGGTAGTTGAATCCCTAGTTTTCTGCAGCAGAAGCCGAAAATAACGCTAAAAATAAGTTCAGTTGCCCGGGACAGAGTTGCGCACGTTATAACCACACGGTGTACGCCTCTTAAGAACTCAGCAGTGAAATACACTTTCGTATGTTCTGCTTTTGTCTCTAAAAGTGTTCCAAAATGGAGGTGTTTTTACTTTTTAAAGAAACTAAATGCAAATAGGCAAAGGTGTGTGACCATCCCTTAGAAAACGAATGTCCACGCTTCTGCCACGCCAGGATGGTCTACCTTTCTTCAGGGTGAAATTAGTAAGTAAAAGGCTGCTGCAGCACCGAGAAAGGACCGATGCAGGAAGGATGCAGGAAGGCACCAAACTTGGTTCTAATCTTGGCTCTGCTAACAAATTGGTGTCATTGCACAGGTCACTTCAATTCTTCTGGGCCTCAGTTTCGTTAGATAGTCCCATAGGTATCATTTCAGATATTTCCCAATGCGATACTGTTCCCACTTCATTTACTGTTGCCCTAACTTGAGAGAGCTTGAAGTTAGAAAGAGATTTATACACAAAACACCAGCAGGAGCGATTTCCCTTTTTTGCAAAATATCTTTATAATTTCAGTTAAACATGTATTTTCTTAAGATTTGTGGCTTTGTAATAACTCTTGCAATGTCAGCAGTTTTCCTCGGAAAAGGAAGCATTTCTTAATTAGAGCATACCCACAAGATACTCCCAAATAGTTAATATTTTATATTCTGGAACTTATTCCTATCTGTTTGAAATCAAATGTAGTCAGGAATTAGATTGTGAATGTCTCATATTCTCAGGGTAACAAATGAAAGTGTCTTCCGCTAATGAAAGAACAAAGATAATTGTGTGATTTGCAAATGTTAGGTGTTGAACCAAAACCCAAAGACTAATTAATGATTAACGAGGTGTTAGGAGTTTTGTTAAAAAAAGAAATTGCTGGGCATGTTGGTGGGTTCCTGTAACCCCAGCTACTCTGGAGGGTGAGGCAGGAGAATTGCTTCAACCCGGGAGGCGGAGGTTACAGTGAGCTGAGATCACGCCATTCCACTCCAGCCTGGGCGACAAAAGCGAAACTCCATTTCAAAAACAAACAAACAAAAAAACCTCTGTGTGATCTTATAAAAATGAGGCCGGGTGCAGTTGCTAACATCTGTAATCCCAGCACTTTGGGAGGCCAAAGCGGGTGGATCACAAGGTCAAGAGATCAACACCATCCTGGCCAACGTGGTGAAACCCCCTCTCTACTAAAATACAAAGATTAGCCAGCATGGTGGCGGGCACCTGTAGTCCCATATACCAGGGAGGCAGAGGCAGGAGAACCACTAGAACCTGGGAGGTGAAGTTTGCGGTGAGCGAAGATTGTGCCACTGCATTCCAGCCTGGGCGACAGAGCGATACTCCATCTCAAAAAAAAAAAAAAAAAATGAATACTCCCTATGGCTTTTCATCCCTTAGAGTGTGCTTTTGTAAGTCTATTGCCCTGTGTAGTTGTCATTAAATTAATATGCCAGATAAATAACAGATGAACAGTGTTTATGGAGCATCACAAAATCTCTTTGGCTGGAAACTTTTTTACATGTGTCTTAAAATCGCTATATTTTCTGTAGTCTGTAAGGATCACAGATGTAGCGAGAAAACCTATGGATAAATAAAAGTCGGTTTACTAAGACAAAATGAATTACATCTGGATGCAAACATTACATATGTGATTTATCTATATTAGCCATGTACCCTTGGGAGTACATGAATGTAGAAACCTTAGCATCTCATAAAGAAGAATTACATTAAAGCTCCAATAAGGGAAAACTGATACACATAAACATCTGACTACTAAAAAATTAAGAGTTAACAGTGAAACTTGCCCCTTAAGTCGAAACCTCTCAAAGTAATGCTCATTTAAATGACATTATATCACTGATAAAGTATCAACCAAAGTATGCTTGTAATAGATAATTTTATTCCATTACTTCTGAATCTAAATCTTGAGCAGAAAACCTTAACCTAAAGGATCAGACTTCTAGTAGAATCCTAGGAAACTGAATTTGCGCTTCTCTGAATAGTTTATGGAAAACTATCACAATAGCAGTTTTTTAAAATAAAATAATATTTTTAACCTTATGTGATGAGAACTTTTATTTCCTTTTACGCGTTTATGCTTTACTTCCCTACAAGTTGCAAAGGTGTTAACCAATCAGTAATATATATTGAATAGATCTAACTAGAGTTCTCCTAGGCAGAAAAGGACATAAGTAGATCATGCGTCTCTACTTACAAGGAAATTCCTGAATAGTTACAGACCTTTACTTATAAAAATGAAATAATTATTGCATGAAAAAAATGAATATTCCAAATTACAAATAAAGGTAATTGATAGTCTTCATTTAACACTATAAATTACAAAGTGCTTTACTTACTTTTTTCATTTAGGGTAATAAAGACAGGTAGATTTAACTCCATTACTTAAGGGATGGAAAAGATCAAATATAAGTGATTTGTTAATTGAGAAGCAGTTTAGGATCATTATTAAGAACACTGACTCATGAACTGCCTGAATTTTTATTTGTTTGACTTTGAGCATACTTAACCTTCTGTGCCTGTTTCCCCATCTGTAAAATGAGGAAAACTACACAAAACTACATCTAATTGTTGAGGAACTAAAAGTAATACTTGAAGAGCCTGATATATAATGAGTACTCATTGTTATTCAAGGACATAGACTATACCATAAATAACCTTTTTTTTTTTTTTAAAGTCCCAAAGCTTATTCCAATACGGTGTTTTGTTCATGGCCATTTTTTATGATTGGATAGATTCAGCTGTGCACATTTTAAGTGCTTAAGGAAGGGAAAGATGGATATGAGTTCAAATCTTGGGAGGTTTTACAAAACAGGTAAGACTTAAATCAGTGCTTGAGAAGAAGTGCAAATACACTTTAGGAAAATGACCTGACATTAATTTTTTTTTTTTTTTTTTGAGATGGAGTCTCGTTTTGTTACCCAGGCTGGAGTGCAGTGGTGCGATCTAGGCTCACTGCAACCTCTGCCTCCCGGGTTCAAGCGATTCTCCTGCCTCAGACTCCCGAGTAGCTGGGATTACAGACATGCACCACCACGTTTGGCTAATTTTTGTATTTTTAGTAGAGACGGGGTTTCACCATGTTGGCCAGGCTGGTCTCAAAATCCCAACCTCAGGTGATCCGCCCACGTCGGCCTCCCAAAGTGCTGGGATTACAGGCGTGAATCATCACGCTTGGTCCTGACATTAATATTTAGCGGAGGTAAAAACTGAAGATAAAAAGGCCAGCAGGAGTTCAGATATGCGTTTCTGATTTGTAGCAGTAAGAATGGAGAGGCATATTCTGTGCTCACAGAGGTTAATAAGTAATAAAAGAATGGAGAGGCAGAAAAAAAGTGATTTGAAGACAGAGCTTAAGAAAGGTGATGAGGCCAGACCCAGTGGCTCACGTGTAATTTCAGCACTATGGGAGCCTGAGGTAGGAAGATTGCTTGAGTCCAGGAGTTTGAGGCTAGCCTGGGCAAAATGGCAAAACCCCATCTCCACCAAAAAAAAAAAAAATTAGCTGAGCATGGTGTCATGCACATGTAGTGCCAGCTACTTGGGAGGCTGAGGCAGGAGGATAGCTTGAGCCAGGGAGGTTGAGGCTGCAGAGAGCCATGTTGGAGCTACTGCCCTCCAGCTTGAGCAATAGAGTGAAACCCTATCTAAAAATGGAAAAGAAAAGAAATGAGGCAGACAGCAAATCCTAGGTGGCATAGTAATGGTGGTTGGTGAATCAGAGGTTAGCAAGATTAGGGAGACACAGGAAAAGGCAAGACTGCTTGTTAACAAAGTAGATGGGGCCAATCTGTAGAACTGTGTAAACATGATACACTTTGCTCACTAGCCAATGGCAAGGCCACGGAACATACTGGTGATACTTACACGGGCATATACTTTACCTTAAAGATCTGGAGAACCGGTATATCTCAGGAGGCCCTCTGTTTCACCTCATAAGGGGCAATATATATTAATAAAATACTTACGTATGCTTTTATGCATTCTTTATGGTATTTTTAAAATTGATTTTTATTATTAAAATTTTTAGACCAGGTGCAGTGGCTCACACCTGTATTCCCAGCACTTTGGGAGGCCAAGGTGGGCAGATTGCTTGAGCCCAGGAGGTTAAGACCAACCTGGGAAACATGGGGAAAAACCCATCTCTACTAAAAATACAAAAATTAGCTGTGCATGGTGGCCCACACCTGTATTCACAGCTACTTGGAAGTCTGCAGTGGGAGGATCACTTAAGCCCAGTGAGCCGTGATCATGCTACTGCACTCCAGTCTGGGCGACAGACTGAGACTGGTCTCAAAAAAAAAAAAAGAAAAAAAATTTTTTTTTTTTTACCAGCCATTTTTTACTCCCCAAATCCTGCTCTCCCTTTACATTATTTTTATTTTGGAAACTGGGCTGCTATAACAAAATACATTAGACTTGGTAATTTATAAACAACAAAAATTTATTTTTTACAGTTCTGGAGGCTGAGAAATCCAAGATCAAAGCAACAGTAGACTCTGTGTCTGATGAGGGCCTGTTCCTTATAGATGACACTTTCTTGCTGCATCCTCACATGGCAGAAGGGGGCAAGGCTGCTCCGTTCAACCTCTTCAGTAAGGGCACTAATCCTGTTCATGAGGGCAGAGTCCTTATGACTTACTTCCCAAAAGACCCCATCTCTTAATGCTATCATATTGGATATTAGGTTCCAACATATGAATTTTGGAGGACACCAGTATCCAGACCACAGCAGAAGCCAAAAAATGACAAAACATTCTGGCTATAATATGCTGTGTATAATACATTCCTGAAAATCTTCACATTTTAAGAAAATGGCTCACTTAAAATAAGAGCCTAAGGAAAAAATAAGTCTGGGAAAGCCCTCTCAAACTCTGAACAACTGAGCGGTGGTTCCCAAACTTTGCTACTTACTGATATGATCTTTAAAAACTGATAGCTGGCTCCCACACTCAAGACATTCTGAGTTAAATAGAATGAGGTTCAGCTGGGCCTCAGTATTCTAAAACATCCGTAGTTAACTAATAAACAACAAAGTCTGGCAACCACTGAACTGTAGTATTAACAGACAATAACAACCGAAATGAAAATAGTAGTTCATTTAGAAGGACGTGTAAAACTCCTAACAAATAAAGCAATGTTATATTAACTTAAAGAGTTTTACCTTTTTAAAAAAGTTGAAGGTTGCTTAAAGAATGACAGTTTACAGAAGGGTAGACACTGATGAGTGATGGAAACAAGGGCGGGAGATCATCAGAAGTAGCAGATGGAGAAGCAGTTGCAAACTTTGCAGGAAATGTGGAGTTGCCAGAGATGGATGGCTCTGACTCGTTGTCTGATGTCGCTTTTGCCCAAAGATGTGAGGGAGCTGCAAAATAAGCACTATCAAAATGGAGCATATGGCTGAACCAAGCCCAGGGAAGAATGGGGTCCCACACCGTGAAAGGTCATCATTTGAGTGCTATACTCCCCCAGGCCTGGTTCAATCACAAAACTAAGTGCAATAATTGTACTTCAGCTATTGTGTCTTTGTACTACAAAGCATTAAAGTGCTATGAAAAATTATGTATGAACCAACCCACTTTCCCTATTATTCTAACATTACTCTCCTGTTTAACAATCTCATGTGACCTCATGTGTACTATAAAAAACAGTACTCGGCTGGGTGTAGTGGCTCATGCCTTTAACCCCAGCACTTTGGAAGGCCAAGGCAGGCAGATTACTTGAGCTCAGGAGTTCCAGACCAGCCTGGGCAATGTGGTGAAATCCTGTCACTACAAAAAATTAGCCAGGCGTGATGATGCGCACCTGTAGTCCCAGCTACTCAGGAGGCTGAAGTGGGAGGATTCCTTGAGACCAGGAGGCAAAGATTGCAGTAAGCCAAGATCTTCTCACTGCACTCCAGCCTGGGTGATAGAGCTAGACCCTGTCTCAAAAATAAAAAATAAAAAAGACAATACTGTAACATAACAGACTATGTTAGTATTCCACTGAGAATCTGGAGTTTAAATAATGTCATCCTGCCCCTGTTTTACTTATCTCCTTCTGTGGTTCATACTGTCCTTTAGCACCAAGTAATTCTTTAGGTAGGCAGTTCTTCCACCTCTGACTTTGCCCTAGAAGGGTACTTGAATTCGTATAACTTGGGCAGCTTTATTTAAATAGCACATACAGCATATGACTAATCCAAATGGAGCACCCATACCTGATCATTTTTCAATATCTTTTTTTAAAAAATAAATTACCATGTATGTGTTATCACTATAGTGAACCAGATTAGGGAACTTTATTTTAAGCTGAGTACATTTGCTTTCTTTTTTATTGTTTTGCTTGGCTTTTAAAAATTGTCTTTAGCAGCTTGGATTGCAATACAGGTAAAATTATACTGTCATTTCCATTGAATTTTTTGCATGCCAAAATTGGAAAATAATATTGATATCAGAAATTACTTAGGTCACTAGGATCTTCAGTCTGAATTCATTCCTTAATGTTATAATCCACACAGAAGGAACAGATTGATTTGGACTTGTTGCAGACATTGTATGGCAAGGTAGAGCAATGCTAATTTATTGATTTTTTTTTTTTGGAGAAAAATACTGAGGTTAGGCAATGAGAGATGAATAATGTAAGAAGGTATATAGAAATGTAAATGGAATAGTGAGAGTGAAGTATAAGAATTACATTGACAAAAGCTAAACATAAATAACCTTGAGTGACCAATAGAAAGCAAATGCCTGAAATTACATTAAAACACATGGGGAGCAAATAAGGGTTGAAAATTACTTATTGGGTACAATGCTCACTACTCAGGTGATGGGTGCACTAAAAGCCCAGATTTCATATATGCATGTAAGAAAGCTGCACTTGTACCCCCTAAATATTAAAAAAAAATTTTAAATTAAAAACATATGGGGCAGAAAAAAATCAAGGCTTTCCCTTATTTTTGATAAATTCTCATTATATAAGTTTTGTTTCATTTTTGTAACAAATCAGAATGACTCTCCCACTTCCACCCTTTTTCTTTCAGACTATGGATCACAGATATTTAGAGCTAAAAGGGAACCTAAGAATTTTCAAATTTACATTCTGTGTCATGTGGATTAGGAAACTGAATCCCAAATAAGTTCATTGACTCTTTTAGGGTTACATAGTAGAACCTACAATCAAGGCCTCCTGGATTCTAGTTCAGTGCTTCTTACAATAGTTAATAATAAAAGTAACTGTTCTACTTGAAGGACAAAATTTTGAGTTTATATGTACATATGATCAGCGCATATCCATGGATACGTCATTGCTATTGTATGTAGACTTTTTCGGAAATCAGAAGGAATATGTATACCTTTGAGTCCAAATACTCAAAGGCAGGTTGACATTTTTCAGATGTCACTACCAATGGGAAGAATAGGAAAGGCAACTAAGATATTGTGGAAGGTAGAATAATCTCTCCTACCCCCCCAACCCCCAAAGATGTCCACATCCTAATCCCTGGGAACTGTGATTGTTACTTTACATGTCAAACAGCACTTTTCAAATGTGATTGAAGGTAAGGACCTCGAGATGGTGAGGTTATTCTGGATTACTCAGCTGGCCCCCTCTAATCATGAGTCCTTAAATGCGGAAGAGGGAATCAGAAGAGTGGGTCTGAGAGATGTGACATGAAAAGACTTGTCCTGCTGTTGATGGGCTTTGAAGTTGGAGGAAGAGGGCCATGAGCCAAGAAATGTGGTTATCTTTAGAAGCTGAGAACAGCTCTTAGTTTATAGCCAGCAAGAAAACAGGGACCTTGGTCCTACAACAGCAAGAAACTGAATTCTGCCAAAATCTAAGTGAGCAGGAAATGGATTCTTCCCTACAGCCTCCTTCTGGAGGCATACATTCTACTAACACCTTGATTTAAGTCCAGTCAGACCCATATCAGACTTACAGAACTGTAAGTTAATAAAGTTTTGTTGTTTTAAGCCACTAAGT
Organism: Homo sapiens; assembly: GCF_000001405.40. Classification (NCBI taxonomy): domain Eukaryota; kingdom Metazoa; phylum Chordata; class Mammalia; order Primates; family Hominidae; genus Homo; species Homo sapiens. The sequence goes on along the minus strand of NC_000007.14, from coordinate 118,175,654 downwards.
TTGTGGCGATTTGTTATGGAAGGAATACAAAGTGATACAGATATGCAACCTCTTAATTTATTGTCTTCCTGGATAAAAGTAAAGTGTCTATACTGTACATAGGAGGTTTTGAACATTTTTTATTCATTCTAAGCAACTTAAGTACTATTGCTCATGGCCATCTTTTTCTGTGGCACAAAGTCTTTGTAAATTCTAAACTTCTACCCAGAATTTCCTCTGTGGTGACATTAAGTAAAAGGTGAGTTTCTTCAAAGTATTATTTAATATATTTGTGTGTTTTTCTCATTATACTGTCATTCTTATAAAGTGGATGCTCCACTGTCATGACAAGTAGTGGTACATGTTCAGTCTTTACATAAATCTTAAGTCATCTTCGTCAAGTACCTACTGTGTTCCACACCTCTGTTACTCCAGTGGTTTCTGCTCTTTTTTTCTCTAGGTTTTGTTTCTTGCCCGAACTCATTTTGTTGGTAATTAACAGAGCCAGTCTTTAAACCTAGACAGTCAAGCTCCAATGTGCTGCACTGCCATTGAGATTGTTGCCCAGGAAAAATTCACAGTAGTGTCAAGAAATAACCAACATATATAGACAGAGGATCACTTAAGGTTATTCAGATTTGAGTAGTTGTGACTGTTTCCTCAGATTCCTGGGCCTAACTCTTTACAAAGAGGAAGAGACAGATTCAACACTTTTCTGCCTCTGTGGCATTTTTTCCATTTCTTCAATATTAAGTATCTGTATCATTACTATTTTCTCTAACAGGGGTTGGCAAACTACAAACCTTGGGGAAATCATTCTGTTAGTAAATGTTATTGGCACACAACCACAATCATTAATTTGTATATCATCTATGGCTGCTTTGAGGCTACAACAGCAGAGTTGAGTAATTGCAACAGACGCCCACAAGACCTAAAATATTTATTATCGGGCTCTTTACAGAAAGTTTGCAGACCGCTGTTTTCTAATGTCAACAAATGAGATTTCCAGAGCTTTTATATTACCAATTCATCATTCTGACCGGCCTCATGTATTCTCATAATGCCCATTTTTGACTAGCTTTGAGATATGATTCTTCCATTTTTCTGAACTTGACCTCTTGCACTGAGAATAAACAGACATAACAAAACCTCAGAGGACTTCAGAGAAAGTCTGTATTGTTTCCTCCCTACCTACCCTACTACCTATTGTTTTTAGAATTTCTGTCAAGAATATGCAGGAAAAGAAATGAAAAATAACAACAAAAAGAATATGCAGGAACTTTTCCAAGTCTTTACCCCATGTGATAATTACTCACATAATGGAATTTTTCATGCATGTGGCATGATCAAAAATAATGATCTGCATTTTAACATATGCACCAGAAACTAAATTGAAAATCACCAACTTGTCAAAATAATGCAGTGAATTGAAACAAAATCTCAGCAGAGAGATTTTTTGAAAACAAAAAGATAATTCTTATTAAAGACAGCTGTTTGTTGGGGACATTAGTCATTGCTTTTTGGCTGCTTAACCTCCGTACTGTCTTTTTATTTCTTGAGAGTTCCCTATTTTACAAGTTTTGGTGATGGAGCTCAATATATCAGCCACTTTTTTCTGATGTTTCTTGCAGTGAAAGAGGCCTAGGCTCTGCTTATGACTACCACAGATATTGAATTGAGGGCGGGTGCTGCAAAGCAGCAAATCCTGTAGAGAAACGACTCTGATGGTCATACCAGTTGTAGCAAGAGCAAATTCATAAAGGAGCATGACATTGATGCCTGTGGTGACATCCAGGGCACAGTGAGCAGTGCCACTGTGTATTGGGTCAGAAGCTTCAGTTTGATTGTTTGACAGTGGTGTTCAAAGGGTCCTGGCTGACCCAGCTTTGCTGTGCATTTGGGACCTGCCACCCAGCTACCTAACCTCTGCATATTATTCTGCTTTTTAAAAGGATATTGAGTAGCTCACATAATTGTAAGACAATTATGAGCTATTTTTGCTCATATGGCTTCTAAATTTTAACTAAAAAAAATTAAACCAAGACCCTTTTATGCATGTTTACTTTAAAATGCTAAATTTTTATATACTAAATTTATTAATTGCAAAGAATGGAACTTCTAGCACATAGTGTTTTGTTTATGTGCTTTAAATATATTTTCATTAAAATTGTAGCTGCAAATTTAAGTCATATTTATGGTAGAGCCCATATCCTTATCAAACCCATTAGCTGACTTTATTTTTCTATTTAAATAAATATGTTACCCTGCATCCTGTGAGTGCTGTTGGAGAGTCAGTCTACCATGAGCCCTGAAAAATCACTGCACATTCTTTCCGGGGATGCTGCTGGTGCAAAGCCCTGACTACTCCTTACCTAGGCAAGTTTTATGTCTCGTATAGGTATATTAGTATATAATAATATCCATTTCCCATTTCTCTCAAAATGACTTCACTGTGCTCCAGTGTACTTTCAGTTTTTGATATGTGCATCTCCGCGTTTGAAGGCGTTTTCTGCACCCCTCTCCATGTGTGGCAGGCTAGGAATTCTGGGGAATTAACACTCCCTCAGGGAGCAGTCTTCAGTCAGTGACTGAGTTTATAAATAACAGCCTCTTCATCAACAAGGTGGGATAATCCAGGTGCTGTATCTCTGCTCATTCAACAGTAGTGGCTTAACTGTGCACATTTTATTGACTCACTTCCTTTCCTTATAACCCTTCTCCACTCCCTTACTGGTTTTCCCTAAATAATCTACTTGCACTTAAATTCTTGCCCCAGGATCTGCTTTTGGGAGAACTCAAACTAAGATAGAGATCAAAAGTACTCTTCCTTTAAAAAGGTCTCTATCTTGAGTTAGGAGCAGGAGTCTAGCCCCAGTCCTTGTCATCATTTGACTTCACCTGATTCTCTTTTATGTGAAGCAAAGGACAGGGTAGGGTTTCTCCCCATCTTCACACATCTGCACAAGCCTCCCTAAATATTCCTGAGTGGGTAGTCTTTCCTACCACCAAAGTTGGTCTAAAGTGGATTGTTTACTCAAAAACAAAATTCCTGTCTTTAGTAGACCATAGACTGTCTGCTGCACCAGACTTCAACTTGGGCCACTTATGTAGCAAGAAATGATACAAAGAAGTAACTTAGTTATCTGATTGTGGCACAGCTAACATTTATTTCATGGTGTTAGGACCGACTGTTGACTGTGGGTTGCCACTTAACCTCATCAAGCTGGAAATGTAAAGAGTAGAGTGAGCCCACATTTCAGAGCTGCTCTGACCTACTGATTCATTCCTCTGGGAGGTTGAGATCCCCAGACTCTGAGAGAACCTCCCGCTTGTTGCAGCCACGAATCTATATTCTAATCTCATGTATATCATTTGCCTTGCTTGCTTACTGGTTCAAAGCAAGCCAAGGTGAGAGCGCTGTTAGGTGAATGTGAGATGCCATTCTCACCTGTCCTCCAGCAATAACAACCTCTCTCTGTGGACTGGCATAGGTGGTCACCACCAAATAAACCTGAACATCCTGCAAGCATATTGGGCTCTTCAAGCAAACATTTGACAAATTTGATCTCACCTTCCTTCCCAACACCACAGTGATCTAGTTGTGGCTTTCAAGAAGCCTGAGCCAAACTCGCAGTGTGGAGATGTTAGTTAGTCATGGAGATGAAGGTATAAGCTACCCAGGCCTTTTCCCCGGAGTAATTGGGCATGGGCTGGTGAACTTGCAAGGGCCTGGTGTTTATGGAATTTCACTCTTACCAATTTGGTAAAAAAAAAAAAAAAAAAAAAAAAAAAAAAAAAAAAAAAATTAAAAAGTATGTTTCCACAGAGCATCGTGCTGTGAGCCTGTGATCTCAGCTACTTGGTAGACTGAGATGAGAGATCACTTGAGTGCAGAAATTCGAGGCTATAGTGAGCTGTGATCACACTATTGCACTCTAGCCTGGGCGAGAGTGAATCCCTGTCTCCAAAGTAAATAAATTAATTAAAAGTGTGTTTTCATTTCTTATCTCAGAGAATCTTTGTGAAAATAGCTCTTCTTGCTTCTGTTGTAGCTGGCCCTTCTTTGCCTTCCCCAGAGTTTAGACGGAAGACCAGAAGACCCTGAGTGAAGAAAAAGATCTTCTTTGTAGTCTCTTTTCATTCCATACAAATAGATGACTATAAACACATTAGACATTACCAGTCTATTTGCAGCAGTCGACACAACTTTACCTTAAATTTTCCTCCCCCAGCATGCCTCTCCAAAGAAACTTACACAGAAAACCTCACTAACGTTAGATGTTGCACTGGGCTTTAACCTTTTCTACTCACTCATTCAGAAATCTTTAATGAAAGTTTGACATGTTAAAAAAAAAAGAACAATTATTTTCACAGAGAATATTAGAAACGAGTAAGACACATTTTCTTAAGACTTTTACCTTTTTCATGGAATGTGTGTGTGTGTATACATGTCTGTTTGTATGTATATAACATTAACCACCATAGGAAAGCAGAAAGAAAATATGCAGTGGTATGTATTGCCACACAGATACTGCTGGGAACAGTATCTCTCTTTGCACAGAAACTTTTCAGTTTCTCTGTGGGTGGTGTCTCTTGCCCCTTTCAGTTCCCAAGATAATTGGGTATCCAGAGGTCACTACTAGACAGAGAGCCTTATTTCCTGACCATTGTCAATTCTACAAACGGTGGAGCAAAGTGCCAGATACTGAGACAGTCATTGGCTCTCTGAAGCTAAATAAGATACTGTTCCTGCTTTTGAGGAGTTTAGGTTGTAATGATATCTTTTCTAAAATGAATAGAATTAGCTGAGGTGGTTCTCCCTGTATTGAGTTTGGGTTGGCAGGCAAGGAAATGGAGTTATGCACAATTGGCTCAACGTTCAATGGGCACAAAATCTTAGATGAAAATGAGAATTGGAAGGATCCTGTTTTAGCATTAGTGAATTATTCCTTGTATCCAATAAGTAGAGTGATGGACAAAGGTCTCTCTGGGACTAATTAGGAGAGACAAATCCAATTTAGAAGGCTGATACAAAATTTCTAGATTGGTTTAAAAATCAGTTGAATCAATTAATGTCTCCTCCTGCCTGAGATAGTGGAATAACTTGCCAATATTGATTTAGAGAGTTTATTGATGTCTCTTGGTCATTTCACTTCTTGACTGGCTCCCCTAATATGCCATACCCTCCACTCAAGGCTCTGCAGTGGATTCTCATCTGCTGAGGGGCAGGTTCAAGTCCATGCACAGGATGCCTCGATTATTTCATCCTGAATCATAACTCCCTAGTCTACGCCATTTGTTCAAAATTCTAGGAGAGCTACTCTACCCACATTGGGCTCCAGGTGAATAAGAAATAAATGTTGTATAACAACAAATTTGGGTTTAACTCTACACTAAGATTTTTTTTTTCATTTTGTAAATGAGGTTTAAATTTGGGTGAAGGTTGTATATCATACATAATTTCTGTTTAAGTTTATTAGTGAAGTAATTCTGAGGCAGTTTCATGAGTGCAATTAACAAATATTTTATCCAGGAGAAGTTTTCCTGGAAGAACAGAAATACACTGGAAAGTTTTCAGAATGTTTTATAAATATTTTGTGAAAGTTAGGTTGAAAACTTGGAGGAAGAGGTTATTGAATCCTAGTAAAAATCAGAGATCCCTGATTCTGCGATCCTCAGTATTTGGCCTCCATAGTCATTGAACAGAAGGAAGAGAGGATTTTGGAATCATATGAAGTAAAAGGCCTTGGTGTGGTTTTCGTCACTTTGGTCTACATCCCATCTTTTAGTACTGAATCACAATTCCCCAACTGAACTAATGAGAGGCCAATAAATACAGTCCACCTGTACACTCAGAAAGATGTGTGGAATTGGTGGACATCTAGCCAATTTGTTCTATGTTGTATTAATAGAAATCATCTAGAATGAATATTCTTGTAAAAAGGATACAGTGGTTAAAGGGTGTGGTTATAAAGAACTTGCCTAAGACCACACAAATAATGGCAAAACTAAACCAGAACTCAGACCTCCTGACCACAATACTTCCTCCAGTGTTCCAAATTACCTTCCTACATTGGCTGGGAGGCTTTTGGAAGTGACAAAAAACCTGAACCAAAGTGGATTATGAAAGAAAAAACTTGGAGAGTATGAGTTCATGTAATTGAATTGTGTACACACCGCTCTAATTTTAGGCTTTATAAAAGGGAGACTTAATTCATCAGTTTGTGTTGCCATCTGGACACTGAGTCCATTCTGATTCTTGTAGCTCTGTCTTCCTGCAGATGCTGGACTAGTTTTCATACTAGATCCCCTCGTGGCAGCATTAAGGAACTTCACATTCTTCTCACACTATTCATGGAAAGTTCCTGGAACTCCCACAGCAGCAAGAAAACTTCGCTTGTAGGAGTCCTTAGCACATCTGTAAAGTTTTATTGGCCAAAATGTGATACATCTCCATTTCTGGATCAGTCACTGTGGTCAAGTGCAAGACGCTCTACAGGACTCAACCTGGGGATGAGGTCTGTCTACTCCATCCATATGGTCACTTTATACTGAGGTTGGGTAAGTACTCCTAAGGAAATCAGGTTTGTTTTGGTTGGAAAAAAAAAATGGAAATGGATGCTGAGGTAACAGCCAACAAATATCTACTATTTTCTAAGATGTGTTTGAAACTAATGCAAAAAAGCTCTGAGATTAAGATGTGTATGTAGCTCATCAGTTTAGTTGTATTTCCTATATATAATATTTATGGTACCTAAACTATTACTAAGATGTTTATTATTTTATTTAAAATTTGGTTGAGGTTTTCTATATCATCCTAAACCTAAGTTTGGAAATAAAGATTTAATGCTATATGACAGGTACAATTGCTATCTTTTAGTGAAAAGTCCTAAAAATCTTATGGTTGAGAATACAATATTTACTTTCTGGAAGCTCTGCTCACAAACTTTCTGGACAAAGAGCATTATCCACAATCACTGCTAACTAAAAGGATAGAGAAACTTTTCTTAGGCTTTCCTCCAGGATTGTCTGTACTTAATCAGCTCCCCTATATATTCTCAAATAGCCTCTGAAAATATACCCTTTGTCCCTTTTTCAACAAATCCCATAATTCTTTATTTTTTCTTCCTCATAGTTACTTTCAGACATTTACAATGTCTTAAGAGTATTATACAAATTGAATAGAATGAATTGTGCAAAATAACAATATGTTGTAGGTCCAAAAGAACTATATCTTTTATGTCTGAGAAAAAGTTTTAAAATCAGCACCTACACAGCAATAAATGGTTTAATGATAGCCTTTTAAGTGCACCATCAGAGCCCTTTTATAGAATTTTGTGAAAGACATACTAGATAATTTCCATGGAAGTTGGTCTCATTTAAATGATACTATCCTAAGGAACATTTCATATAAACAACTCATATTTTCTTTAAGTTTCTTTTAAAGGTTGAGCTGACAGTCACATCAGGATTTGATAAGTCAGAGCAGTGCTGATGTTATTACAAGGTAATACTTTTGCAATCATCAGCAACAGGATAGGACTGCAGAACTGTAACAGACTTTGCATGAAAAAATACAAAATAATATCATGTTTGGGCAGTTGTGATAATAAATGATGGCATATCAGTGTAGAGGTAGTAGTGAAACAAATGAATTATTAAAGAATATTATTTTTAAGTATATTAAAGAATATAAAGAATATAACATCCTTATTGTGCCTATCTTTTTGGTTTTTTTACTTTTGTCAAATAAACTGGGTTGGCAATTGATGGTAGTAATATGTCTTTTAAAAAATATAGGCAAAGAAATAAGTTTACCTGAAGAAAAGTAGAATAAACAATGAAATTATAGTTGTCCTCAGAAATGGTAAAAGTCATCATTACAAATGAAATGTTGTCATCTATATGGAGTGATCGTAGATGTTCTCAAAGAACCTTGAAAGCTAAGCAATAACATCCGTAATGCATTCAGTGCAGAGAAAAGCAGAACATTTTAAAGAGATGTGTCTGTTCCTAGGCAGAAAGGTATTAACAGTGGTAAGGTATGGATATGTACTTCAAAAGGAAATTTAGAAATAAAGGTGCAGAAGAAGCAAATTTGTAAGAGCATGCCTTCACCTGAAGAGAGAATGCTCTGTTAGGCCGATTCAAGAATCCACTCGACAGGAATATAACTATTTCAAAGACTGTCACATCAAAGCCAGATGTCATTACACATTCCAATAAGTAACTCCTTATCCTGCTTCCTTGCTTCCCAAATACCCTAGGGATAATTGGGCTCACTGGTCAGGGCTCACTATGTCTAGACTGCTTGGCAATCAAACTCCTTATTGTAAATAAATAAAATGGCTTAAATATCAGACCCTGATGAGCTTTGTTAGTATGAATCACCTTCCCGAATATGCTAAATATGTTCACATTGATGAAATTAAGTTTCTAAGTCTGAAAGGCTAAAAGGACAGATCCTGGACTGGTTGGCTGCATCAAGATACATACCACTTTGTGGGGCTACATCTGGGTGAGCAGTACACCTAGAAAATCCCTACGTCTCATGACTTGGGTTTTCTCAACTTTTGCAAGACTACTGTTAATGTTATGTGATATGAACCAAGCTCTTAATGTTATTTTTGTGTCATATTAACATGAGATAGGGAGATAATCCCTTAATGAAAAAATATATTTATTTTGCTGCTATGAGAACTTGAAGTTTTGCAAAGGAAAAAAAAGATGAGTTATTTGAGTACCTACCTGGCCTGAAATTGAAGCATCACATAAATTAAATATTTCTCATTTAAACTACTGTATATCTTTCTCTTCTCTTTCCTTCTTCATTGCCAGCCTTTTTGAACGAGCCATTTGCTGCCTCCACTCCTTCAGTGCCAAGTATCTCCTCTCCACCCCCCACCATCTGGCTCCCACCCCCATTATTCTGCTGAAACTGTCTTAAAGGTTTCTGACTGATAATAGACAGCTTCTTAATCATTATTTTACTTGACTTGTCTGCAAAGTTGGATAGTGTGTTCTATGCTCTTCTTTTGAGAACATACCTTCTCCCTTTCCTGATGTCCAGGACCTGTCTTTTCTTAATTTTTCTCCTGACAATTTACACCTTTCTCTCAGTGCCTTCTACTGGCAGCTTTTTAAAAAAGAAATATAATGTGGCAGATCAAGCTAGTGCCCCCTTCACATGTTAGTTTTCATAGGCAATACATAAATGAATGGTTGTAGATATATTCCAATAGAAGTTTATTTACAAAAATGTCAATGCACCAGATGTGGCCCAAAGGCCATAGTTTGCTGACCTCTGCTCTACAATGTAAATTAGATCATGTATCTCCCTATTAAAGCCTTTCTATTTTCTACAGAAGACAGTGTTCACCATCCTTTAAAATCTGGCATCATCCTTAATTTACCACTTAAGGTCAGTGCCTTAATCTCTGAGATTCTAATCTGTATTCTAACTTGTTCCTAATAACTCTATTATTATCATATCATGTAGTTGATACAAAAGCTTAAGATAAATATAACCTTTTTTTACAAATCATTAAGAGAAAATTTAACACTCTAATTGGCAAAATAGACAAAGGGTATGAATAAGCATTTTACACTAAAAAAAGAGAAATGCCCAAGAACTATTTGCAAAAAAGTTTAACTTCATTAATGAATAAATGAATATAAATTAAAATGATACATCTTTGCTTATAAAATTGGCAATTTAAACCATGATAGCATCCAGAGTTGATTACTATATATATTAATGCTATAAAAGAGTCCCCAACTTAAAATGGTTCAACTTACAATTTTTCAACTGTAACATGGGTTTATTGGGACATAACTTTATGATAAGCAGAGGAGCATCTGTAGAGGAGGTGCTTTTGGTAGAAATAGAGGATATGTTTATTCAAAATTTCTAGGGGAAAATTTTATAACAAATATTGAAAGCCTTGTCCCAGCAGTTCCATTTTTAGGGATTGCTCATGTAGAAATTATTATGAAAGTATGTAATGATTTAGCTGCAGGGATAATTACTACAATCCTACTTAAAAATACCAGAATACAGCTGGGTGCGGTGGCTCACTCCTGTAATCTCAACAATTTGGGAGGGCGCAGCGGGAGGATCACAAGGTCAGGAGATTGAGACCAGCTTGGTCAACATGGTGAAACCCTGTCTGTACTAACAATACAAAAATTAGCCAGGCGTGGTGGTGCACGCCTGTAATCCCAGCTACTCGGGAGACTGAGGCAGGAGAATCACTTGAAACCGGAAGGCGGAGATTGCACCACTGCACTCCAGCCTGGGCAAAAGAGCGAAACTCCATCTAAAAAAAAAAAAAAAAAGAAATAAAATAAAATACCAGAATCCTTAAAATAACAAAGGTCCCACAAGAGAGGATCGATTAAAGAGTACAAGTGTTAAAATTTCTGTAGAAGACCAAGTAGGGTTTATTCCAGAAATGCAAGTCTAATTTAACATTTGAAAATCAGGCAACCTAATTTACCACATAAACAGAATAAAGGAACATTTTCTACCTAAGGTTGCTAACAAGGCAGAGATACCTACTGACATGATGTCTGCTGTGCTGGAGTTCCTAGTAGGATTTTCTTTCCTTTCTTTCTTCTTTTTTTTTTTTCTATTTTTGAAACAGAGCTTCACTCTGTTGCCCAGGCTGTAGTGCAGTGTCAGGATCTTGGTTGACTGCAACATCCGCCTCCCAGGTTAAGTGATTCTCTTGCCTCATCCTCTTGAATGGGTGGGATTACAGGAGCACGCCACCGCACCCAGCTAATTTTTGTATCTTAAGTAGAGACCGGGTTTCTCCATGTTGGCGAGGCTGGTCTCGAACTCGTGACCTCAACTGATCTGCCCACCTTGGCCTCCTGAAGTGCTGGGATTACAGACGTGAGCAACACACCTGGCCTGGAGTTCCTAGTTAGTGTTATAAGGCAGAATAAAGAAATAAAAAACATAATGATTGTAAATAAAGGAGTAAAAATATCATTGGTCAACAGTTTCATGACTGTGTATGTAGAAAATTCAAAGAAAACCATAAACTACCAGAACTAATAAATGCATTTAGCACTGAACACAAGTTTTAATATACAAAAATCAATTTTATTTTTATATAATATCAACAAAAATTTCAAAATAAAATTTAAAAGCAATTCAGCTACCATTTTTAGTAATACACCAATAAAATTTTCTTAGTTTGACAAAAATAAATCAGAAATGTAAGATACTAACAATGAGAGTAACTGGGTCAGGAGTATACCAGAACTCTGTACTATCATTCTAACATTTCTGTAAATCTAAAATGTTTCCAAATTACAAAGTTTATTTAAAACGGAAACCCAGAACCAACAAACAAACAAAAAAGCAATACCAATGACAGTAGCCACAAAACCCTTCAAATACCTAGGAAAAATTTAACAAAATATATGCAAGACCTCTAAATTTAAAACTACAAAACATTGCAGAGAGAAACCAAAGAAGACCAAAACAAATGGAATAGTATAGTAATGTACTGGAAGATTCCATATTGTTAAGATATCGGTAAACCCTAAATTAATCTGTAGATTCAGTGTAATTCATTTGAAAGTCACAGCAGATTTTTTATAGGAATTGACACACAAATTCTAAAATGGAGTTATATAGAAGTGCAAAAGATGTTAGATAGCTGACAATCTAAAAAAAAAAAAAACCAGGTTGGAAAATTTATTCTACCTTACTTTATTTTTCTTGAGGTATAATTGATATACAACAAACTATACATCATTAATGTATACAATTTGATGAATTTGGAAATATGCATACACCTGTGACATCATCACTACAATCAAGGTAATAGACATATCTGTCACTTCAAAAGTTTCCGGGTGGTGGTTTTTCCTTTGTTTGTTTTTTGTGAGTGTGTAGTAAGAATACTGAACATGAAATCTACTGCAAACAAATTTTGAAGCGCACAATACAGTATGTTTAATTAGAGGCATTATATTGTACAGCAAATTTCTAGAACTTATTCATCTTGCATAACTGAAATTTTATACTCATCAAACAACTCTCCATTTTTCCCATTGCCTAGCCCTGGCAACCACCATTTTCTATGAGTTTGACTATTCACTATGAGTTTGACTATTTTAGATACCTCACGTAAGTGGAATCATATAGTATTTGTTCTTCTGTGATTTGCTCATTTTACTAATGCCAATTCTTCTTAAACTCTTCTAAAAACTAGAAGAGAGAACAATCCCAAACTCATTTTATCAGCTAGTATCACCCTAATTTTAGAGCCTAACACATCACAAGAGGAGGAAACTACAGGCCAATATCCTTGATGAACATAGATGCCAAAATCCTCAATAAAATACTAGCAAGCAGAATTCAGCAGCACATTAAAAGGATCATAAACCATAATCAAGTGGGATTTATCCCTGGCATACAAGAATTGTTTAACATACAAAAAATCCATCAATATGATACACATTAACAGGATGAAAGAAAAAACCACATGGTCATCTCAATAGATGCAGAATAAGCATTTGACAAAATTCAACATTCTATCATGATTTAAAAAACTCTCAACAAAATGAGTATAGAAGAAATGAACCTCAACACAATAAGGGTATATATAAAAACCCACAATCGGCTGGGTGCGGTGGGTCATGCCTGTAATCCCAGCACTTTGGGAGGCAAAGGCGTGGGGATCACTTTTGTTCAGGAGTTTGCGACCAGCCTGACCAACATGGAGAAAGCCCGCCTCTACTAAAAATACAAAAATTAGCCAGGCATGGTGGTGCACACCTGTAATCTCAGCTACTAGGGAGGCTGAGACAGGAGAATTACTTGAGCTGGGGAGGCGGAGGTTGCAGTGAGCTGAGACCATGCCGTTGCAGTCCAGCCTGGGCTACAGAGTGAGACTCCGTCTCAAAAAAAAAACAAAAAACAAAAAACAAAACCCTCAACATCATAATCAATGGAGAAACACTGAAAGCTTTTCTTCTAAGATCCAGAATAGGGCAAGGAAGTCCACTGTTAACATTTGTATTCAACATAATACTTCAAGTCCTAGCCAGAGCAGTCAGGCAAGAAAAAGAAATAAAAGGCATACAAATCAGAAGAGAAAATTATGTTTGCAGATGACATAATCATAGAAAACCCCAAAGACTCCACAAGGAAAACTGTTAAAACTAAAACATATTTCAGCAAGGTTGCAGAATACAAAATTAACATACAAAAATTAGTGATATTTCTATAAATCAATAATGATCTGAAAGGTTGAAAGAAAACAATTCCATTTACATCACCAACAAAAACTAAAATACTTAGGGATTAAGATAAAACAAATTCAAAAAGACATAAATAAATGGGATGATGTCCTATTTTCATGGATTGAATCATGCAAGAAAGTGCCTTTCTTTTTGTTCCTAAGCAAATGACTACAGACAAAAAGTTAAATGTCTCCACAGGTAGCTACTCTATGTTCCCCTTATCTTATGTAAAGTGCCAATTTAGTGAGTGTGAGATGAATATATAATTGACTATCTCCTACCTGCTCCTTTCCTCTTGCAACATGTGGATTCGGTAATATGACCATACCCTCCCTCTTTCCTCTAAGACTGCTTTTTCCCTTTAAATATTGAAGCCCTGAAAATCATCTCTGGAGAAAGACACAGACTTCTCTCCTGGACATGTCCTTAAACTTGGAAAAATAAACTTCTAAACTGACTGGGAACTCTCTCAGGTACTTTTTGGTCTACAAATTGGTGATCATCAGAAGGGACTCTAAGTAGCGGTGGCCCTGACCTTTGGTAACTTTCCCATCAGTGCTTGGGACCAGCTTGAGCTATCTTTATTGCTCAAACCAGTAGGAAAATTTTCTGAGGCATAGGAGCTCCCCACTCCAGAGAATCTCTGATCTCCCAAATTTGGTTGAGATCTGAGGTTTATTTTGCTGTACAACTCCTTTTCTGGAGCTTTACTCACTAACAACAAGGAATGAGAGTTTTCCTGCTTCCATGACGTTAGAGGCAGGCAATTCCTTTCTGGAGCTTTAGCTCACTTCCAACAGGGAAGGCAAGGTTGAGAGTTTTTTCCCTGCTTCTAAGGTGGTAGAGAGCAGTTTCAACCTGGGCCGCATTTCTGGGTAAGTAGCTGAATTGTGGTTTTGTCTTGGAAGTTCTCCTTAATGACTAAAAATTAAGATTAACAACCAGGTGTTCTTAATTTCTCTTTACTATTAGAGCACTCCGTAATCATATAAGTTGTGTGATCATTTATTTGTTTTGCTTGGTTTTTTGTTTATTTGTTTCTGTTCTTGTTGTTTTATTTCAGTCTTTCTCCCATTGGGTTTGACCAACTCTGCTTGACTTGGTTAAATCTGAAGGAAAGTTCCAAATTATGGGGAACACAGCCTTTGAATTGCCTAAATTCCCAAAGCTGTGTACAAAAAAAGGAAAAGGAAAAAAAATGGCCAAGAAAAGGAAAAAAGAAAGATTTTGACTACCTGAAGGGCTTTATTTATGTAAAAAGGCCACCTTTTGCTAGCAAAGCCAAACTAAAAGAGCAACAATGGTGGTCACTCCATGCTGTAGTTCAGTAGCTAAGGTTCTGCCCTTTCACCATGGCAGCCTGAGTTTGGTTTGTAAATCAAATCCTTTCTGGATTGGTATTTGTGTTACCTTTGAAAAATCAGTTTGTCCCAGATAAAATATGGTAATAAGAGATTTTAAATGATATTTTAAAGAGCTCAATGATTAAAAGTCAGCTTAATTAAAAGCTAATTAAGATGTATATGTGTATACATATGCATAATACTGAATATATATGTACATACATATGCAGTGTTTAATATATGTATTTAAAAGGCCTTTATACTTTTGTTCTCTCCCATTATCTTGTTTTTTTGGGAAAAAGGTTTTTTTTCTTCTCAGTCAACTGAATTCTGTTTTCTCCATTTACTTCTGTCTATCTCTCCTTCCTCTTGCTACCCCTCTGCTACCTAAGGGACCTAAAATAATTTCTAACAGCCTGGAATGTCTTAAAGAAAACAGTGAAGGCCCCAGACTCCATTCTGGCAAGAAATCTCTGTTTTTCATTATGGAATTCCAAGACTACAAACAGTCAAGTTCCTCTCAGACCTTAAGCTGCTTGCTTTTGTATTATGTTACCTGATTTTTTTTTTTTTTTTTTTTTTACTAAAATAGTTACTACATACAACAGGGGCTATTCTTGGGTGTTTAAGATAAGAAGTGACATGGTTTAGACACTTAGAGAAATGTCCTTGCAACAAAGTGCACTGTAAAAGCGTTACCTGGCCTAGTTTCATGATATGTCTCTGTTTTTGGAGACCCAGGCTTCATTGTAGGCTCTGCCCAGAGCTCAAAGGTCCAGTTAAAAGACAGAGACTAAATTTAAAACTACCTATTTAAATAATATTGGCCTCCTTATAAAATCCTATGGTAGATTTCTAGAATTTTATGTGTGACTTGGCATTCATTTTTAACTCCCTCTAACAAACCAGTCTCTCTCTCTCTCTCTCAATCTCTGTGTGCGTGTGTGTTTGTGTGTGCATATATGTACTTTG
Source organism: Homo sapiens (assembly GCF_000001405.40). Taxonomy (NCBI): domain Eukaryota; kingdom Metazoa; phylum Chordata; class Mammalia; order Primates; family Hominidae; genus Homo; species Homo sapiens. Next base: position 118,160,094 of record NC_000007.14, on the reverse strand, counting down.
AGACATAAATTTCACTATCTGATTTTTACCTGAGTTTTTCCTTTAGTATGCAAATTTAGGGCTGTCTGACAATTGCCTAGGGTAATGAAACAGATTATCAAGAAATTGGATGTCTAAAATAGGAGGAAAAAGGGGTCTTATGGATCTATAAGATCTAATACTACCTGTGTATCTAAAACGTCTGCATATTTACGTGTCTTGTGTATGCTTCACTACCAAAGTATATAAAAGAGCTCTAATTAATTGGCTTAAAGAAAAAAAATTTTGTATCAAATACTTTATCAGAAAAATAGAAACCTTAAGCCCAAACACTTTTTCAAGTTCACATGACTTAAGTAAACCTCTAATAGATAAGCTGGTTTTTAAATTATTGGTAAAATAAAATTAGATGTGTCTTCAGATTTGTCAACATACATTATTGTTTAGATTTATTGGTCAAATAGTGTTATATTTATTTCTGCTAGATATTATAAGGTGTCAAAATTTGTCATGAGGATTATAAAGCTATAAATACATCCCAAAAGAGAATTATCTTTGTTTGTGTAATTTTTTTAATCAAGAAGGCATTAAATATTGTTGGTTTAATGAAAATAGCTAAAATCCTGCATTGTTGGCAAAAACAAACAAACAAAACGTCTATTTAACCTTAAGGTTCTTTCTTAGGTAAACACAGGAAATTCACAAGCTCTAAAATGATTAACAGGGAAATAACTTTAAATGTTTTCATAAGTAATCTCGGTAAACTATAAAAAAATTAGGTAAATGGAATAAACGTCATATAATTTGGAAGGTAAACTTACATTAAATTAAATACTAGATACTCATTAAATAGCTAGGTCATTTCCAATTTTTTTAAATTATAAGAATTTTCTAAAAATCTTATTTGAAGGAAAATAATTTTTGTCTAATTCAAAAGTTATTTAAAGGTTATTTTTGAAACAAAGTAAAAAGAACTAGTAAAGAAAGTAATAGATATAAAGAGATATTTTTGATAAGACAGGTTAAAAGGAATAATTTTATATGAGAAAGAATCTTATATGGTAAATTTTTGTCCTAAAGTAAACTCACTGGTTATTTAGGAATGAGGGATGTTTAGGACAAAACAGCAAGTCCAAGCATGTTGGAAATGGTTTGTATAAGTTGCAATAAGGTTTGTAAAAGGAGAATTTATGGAAAAAAACTGTGATTAAGTTGGCTATAATTAAAAGGAAATTATTTATAATAGTCTTTTAGAGATTGGGCTTTGATATTAAAAATAAACTAATATGCTAAAGAATTGGTTAGAACAACAAGATTTTCTTAAGGTATTTATTTATGCTTAATAAAATTACAAGATTTTAATTTTTTAACCCAAAAGTTCAACTTTTATCATGTCTCACTGTTTTCAGCTCTCTCTCTCCTTCAAGAAGGACTGAGATAATACCATTCTCCTTCAACTTTTTTGTCAGCTCCTGTAATTTTTTCACTCAGCTTCTAACTACTCTTGTGGCCTAAAGCTAAAAATGTTTTACCTTAAAGGCCTAAAGGACATATTTTCTTCCAGTATAACATTCTGTGCTCTTGGCTTCATACTCTTCCTATATCTAATTCAAGTACCATTTTCATTAGTTTTGACTTGCAGGTTATCTAAGTGGACTCCTTATAGGGAAAAGTAGTCCCACTGCAGAAGATTGGTTTTTATTGTTTTGTTTTGTTTTTTGCCTTTTGGTAAATGGCCTAATGGATTTTACATTTTATCAAAATAATTCCTAGGTCATTGTTACTAAATTTTGATTTGCTTAGGAAAACTGAGATTTAAACATTTTAAAAATTAAGGTTATCTCATCCATGTAACTTTCTGTATTGCTTTAAAAGTCCTTGTGCTGTCAAGTTACAGGGCTTTGATGCATGGGTCTAAAAAGGACACTAAGTCCTGCTAAATCTCAACACTGACAACAATTAAAGCCTCATTTTCAGACCTGGGAGAAAATGACAATCAAAATACACCATGTTCATGAGACACAGAGCCAGAAATTAAAACTATTCAATACCTCTGGACCCAGGGACTATTGCAGAACAGGTGGACATTTGAGGTTGTAAGGGCCAATTTTGAGAGACAAAATTTGTTCAGAGTTTCTCTGTAAATTAAACATTAATATCAAAAGCACACTAATGCAAACCAGCATCTAGGCCCCTGTGTCAGATTAACAAGGTTTTCTTGAAGCACTAACCAACTATTTAATAAAAAATTATAGGAGGTTATAAAAAGGTATATGAAAATTATATCTTTTAGTCAAGATATTTAAAATTTAATACATTTGTTTGTAAGATTTGAGAGACAGATTTAGTTGGCCTCATGCTGTCTTTTCAAGGGCTTGTTGTTTGGGAAATTAAGGCCTCCTCTCTCAATAAAGATTTTTGCCTTTTCTTGGAAATCTTTGAGTTATAATTTTGGCTAAATGAATGACTTATTTTACAATAACCTGTGATTCTACTATGTGATATGAAGTGTTTTAAGCTTTTTATATTTGACAAACTTTCTAATATCAAATTTTAAATTCAGTTCTGTTGACTTCATTAATTTTTGATATTAGGTCTTCTGAAGCCCAAAAGAGACATGTTCAGCTTATTTGGTATAATAAACATCATACAGAAAGCATTGTCAAATTCAAAATGGTGTTTAACCTTATTTGGATTATGTTTATATAAATGGGTTATTAGTATGTGTTCCAAAATTGTATGAGATTCCTGTGATTCTGTTATGTCTTAATATATGTTATCAGTAGCGATTATGATTATTATGTAAAATTGTTGTATGCCACAAAAGTAACCCAATTTCCTTGTCAATTCTGTCTTTAACCATGACTGTGCTAAGACCTTTGTCATCCACAATTGTTGTTTTACTTTGATCCTTCTATGGGGTGATTTATAATCAGCAATAATACTCTGAGAAGTACTCTTAAATATAAGTTTCTGGTAACTTTAGAAATTGTGCCATTGGAATAGAGAGAAAACTTCCAGGACTCTCATGGAGAGCTGATGTATTAATGAGGATTGTTGATCCAATCTAGAGCAGGCTGACCTATAGAGTTGATAAAAGCCCTTTGGAAAAACTGACCTCATACATTGTCCTTTACAAGGTCCTGACTTGTCTTAAGTAAAGAATGTCTCTTTATGATAGGCCCAGGAACCCCAAGTTTTCTTGGGACCTCAAAAAGAGAGGAATTCACCCAATTCAAACAGGTATCTGCAGGCACAGATAAATTGTTGGCTGGGCGTGAGGCTTTTAAAAAGGTCTAATCTTAGATTCCTTATGGAAAAGCTTCCAGCAAAGCCAATTTCAAAAAAGAGGGAGCCAGTATAGTAAATGATTATTCTTGCTGCACCTTATGCAAATAATCAAGCCAAGTATAATACGACTAAAACTTATTTTACAGATAAGTTTGTCCTATTATGATTTTGTGTTTAACAAAATTAGGGAATTAGAGAGAAAAAAATCATGTTTCAGAATAAACTATAGTACACTTGTTATTAGATTTTAGCCTTGTCTAGTGTTACTTAATTTTTATTATTTTTCTACAATTTGGACTGAATTCTAAAATCTTTCCTGATCAAAAGTCTCCAAAATCATGTTTTCAATTTTTTTCTTCCTTCTTTTCCTCCCCCCGCCCCTTTTTTTCTGATTAGAAATATGGAAGCTAGGCAAGTTAAATTTTGGAAGAAAATAACAGCAACCTATTTATAAACCATTTTCATACCTGCAATCTTATGTATAGACTTCAGAGTAATATGTTATTTATTACTTTTCCAGGATTGTTTTCCCTTTGTTGTTTTTTTGTTATTTTCTCCTTTTTTTCCTTTGTTTTGTTTCTCTCTTCCTCCCCCTATTTTTTCTTGTGGTAGTGAGACTACAACATGGTAAAAATGAGCTTTCATAACATGAGACCTATTTATCTAGGAATAAATTTCCCTAGCCACAAGAGATCAGACAGAACTTGAGACAAGAGACTAATTTTATTCTAAAATGCTTTCTCCAAAAGACTTTAAAAAAAAAAAAGAAAAAAAGGAGGGGGAGAAACGTGAAAGGAAAATAAATACTCGGGACTCCAACTCACTATGCCAAAAGAAAAAAATTAAGCTGAACACTGAGTCATGTAAGAAACTGCCCTTCCTTTTGTTTCTACATATATAGCTACAGACAAAAAGTTAAATATCTCCGTACATAGCAAAAAGAGAGGTCTGAAGCAGAGTGAGTTCATCCATGGATTGGGTTTTTTGTAAGATCAGCTCAAGTGAAGCAAAGAAAGGACTGGGAGTTGAAAGTATTTCAAAGGGGGAACTATATTGATTATGGGATCTGGGTTGAACAAGATGGGAAGTAATGGCAGGAGGGGACTGATGGATAAGAAAGTGGTGAGATGAAAGAGTTGAATGTCCCCACATCATTGAGAAACTATGTGGTTGTATGGAGTACTTGCATCAATGACCTGAATGCATAGGAAGTTGTAGAAGGAAAGTTAGATGTTATTATTTGAATTTTTTGAAAGGGTTGCTGCTTTTTAAGAGATGAAAAGATCCAAGGTGTGACACAGAATGGATGACTGGAGTGGAAAAAATGAAAATGTCATTGGAATATGGAAGTAAAGAAACTGAGAAGCTGAGAGTTTTTGCATCATCCAGTCAGGTATGGAAATCACCAAGGATAAAGGAAGGAACTGGGTTAGAATGGAAGACCTTTTGCCAGGAATGGAAGACTTCAGTAAATGAAGAGATTTGACTAGGATGTTGGCAGAAGATAGTGAGAAGGTCTAAGAAAGGGTGGTATATCCAGATGACATAAACATCAAAAGAACGGTGATTTTTGCAGGAGGGAAGGGGTGAAATAATTTGAAAGTAGCAATGGGAGAGAGCAAGGAATGCACCTACCTCCAATCCTGGCCCTGACATTCTCTCAGGGACCAGATAGGTTTCAACTAAGGTAAGGCAAGGAGATGATGGGAAAATGAGGGAAAGGGGACTGGACTGCTGAACACAGATGAGAGTCACATGAAACACTAGAAGGGTTTATTTAGGGAGGGGGAGAAGTGGAGAGAATAACAGTTTGTGGATTATGATTTTATGAGAAAAAGAAGGACTTAGAGAGGCTGGAACTTCTGCAGATTAGTGAGCTACACAGGGATGTGAAGCATGATTGGCTTGAACCTGGTAGTCTCATCTTGTCATCCTCTTAGTGGTGTGTGCAGCCTAAGGCATTAAATTATGGTGCAGCCTCTGGGCTAATAGTTACTCTCTCAACAGTGGAGAGTTCTACATAATTTGCCATAATTAGATACATTACCTTAGAGAAAGTGCTAAACCCTTCAAAATCCCAGTTGCTTAATCTATGCAATGAGGAACTGATCTAAATTTCCTAAACTTCTTTAGACATGTTAAGGATCTGACATTGAAAAAGTGAGGTTATGCCACTGGTAAGTTTGCAGTATTAAAAATAAATATTCATCTTTCAAATCAATGTATCAGGAGCTAATATTAGGAAGAAAGAGAACTATCTGAGTGTTTATGCATCTGCTGCATTTGACTTCAAACTGTGTTAATGATCTCAACAAAATAGGTAAGTGAAAGAACAATTCAGCATATTTTAGAGACATTTGGTTATGCCTTCCTGCTAAAGCAAATACATTTTGTAACTCATAAATATGAATTAATTTATGACCTCTCAAACGCTAAATAGTAAAGTTGAAATTGAATTGCCAACCTTATCTCGCACCTTCCTTCTATTCTGTTGGACCCCTATCCAACTGATGTATCAGTTCAGTCAATGCTGTAACCACACTAATAGCCTGCTGCACAAAACTGCCTATTTCAATCCAAATAGTGGAACAACTTTGGGCTGAATCCAACAATGAATCCTGCTCTCTGGGGAGCTTTTCTTTAGGTCTTCTTATTTCTCTGAGTTCTGTGTCTTGGCAGGTGTTTTGTTGAATGGTTTAGATTCTTCAGGGAGAGAGGTAACTGAGGGAAAAAGCAGGAAAGGCTGAGCTTGATTAGGAAAGGATATTGTATAAAATCAAAGGGGGATAATTTAGACATTACATCGGTATATATTCACTCATTTGCAAAAAAAAAAAAAATTATATATGGGAGGTAAAAGCCTGATACAGGTGAATTAATTTCACTAAGCAAAGAGTCAAAAATTGGAATATTTCAGCAGTTGAAAAATATATTTGCACATATATGAAAGGAGTTCTGAAGTTTCTTTATCTTATGACAGTGAATGTAATTTTGCATTTTTGTATTTGAGAAATACGGCTTGTTAGCTTATTTCATCCTAGATATTGTACCTGTAGTTTGGGTAATTAGCCACTAGATGGCAGGGCCGTGATGTGAATAAAGGTTACAAAACAATACATGGGTATTCTGTACTCTTAGATAATTTAAAAAGCCAACACGTGGAATTCCTCCCAACACAGTTTAAAAGTAGAAGATGAGCACATATTATGTATTAGGATATTTGCAAGCACTGGAGATGCAAATTACATGATCTCTGTCACCAAAGAGATGCTAGTTTTATAGCCAAAAATATGTATGCTATATTTGTGTTTCTTAAAGCACTATAATTAAATGTGATAAATGTTATTATAGATTTATTTATTTCAAAGTATAATGGGAACATAGGGACTGTTATAATGAATTTAGACTGCAACTTATCTTTAATTGTGGATAAAGTGGCAATATAAAATTACAGAAACATTTTCAAAAAACTAAAATTAACTCTAATTTTTTACTTCATATCCAGTGTTTCTCAATCGGGAAAGAATTTGCCTCCCAGAGGACATTTGGCAATGTCTGGAGCTACTTCTGTTTGTCACAATTAGGGTAAGGGTGCCACTGGCATCTAGTAGGGGGAGGTCTGGGATGCTGCTAAACAGCCTACAATGCACAAGACATGCTTCCACTATTAAAAAAAAATTATCTGGCCCAAAATGTCATAGTGCCAGGATATTATAAATATAGGCAAAGGTGTTCAGAGGTTTAAAACTGAACAAGAGGACATCAGTAAAAGTTCAGTGTTGCAGAATGGGTTAAGATTGGAACATGAAAACAAAAGTTTTTGTCCCAAGATCAGGAGCAGATGAGGTCTAGTGGTTGGAAAGCAAGACTGGAAATGACACCTTGGACTAAGGATATTTGGGCAAGCCCACATAACAGCATTTGAATATGCAACAGTTAGAGCTGGGACAATGAAAGCTTGATTTTGGTCTTGGCAAATAAGGGCTAGAGAGTGTGGAGCTGTGGCCAGAGTCAATTCTGTGGGGACAAGTAGAAAAGGGTTTGGATCTTAGCTTGTGCCTATACTAGCTGAGCAACTCATTTTACCTTGTAGGGTTTCCTTCCTTTAAGGTGGGAAAACTTGTTAAAAGGATTAGAAATGTATGTTAAATACCCAGGACATAAATGCTCAGTAAATGATATTGAACATTATTGAGATACTGTTGAAGCTCTAATTATACCTCTCTTTCCATGATTGTCTTTGCCCCCTTTTGGAAAATTAGTCAGGGTACAACTATATTGCATAACATGGAAAATAGAAAAACATATGAACTGTGGGATGGGAAAGGAAAAGTGAACGACAACAGACAAAACATTTGCAAGACATCCTTAGGCAAAATATTGAAAGCTGAGTCAGAATCACCAAGATCTCTGAACAACATTCCTCTGTTAGGAAGAGAAAGCAGATATTTCCATGAGAATGTGAGGGGGATGAGGAGAGTGGAGTATGCTGCTGTGATCAATTATCCAAACACAACCTGGTTAAATCCAACTCTCTGTGGCTCCTGCATCCACACAGCTGCATGTTATGCAGCACACAATGAGGCTGACTGCTTCCACTTGCACTCATGACCACTGTCCTCCAATGTCCTTAGTACTGTGCTGCAATGATGTTATATATCCCCAATCCATGCTCTCCTAGTTGATACTTCGTACTTTTTCAACCTCTTTGCAAACCTCCAACACCTCTTTTACCATAATCACTGTTAGCTAATGACCTTGATACCTATTTGACTGTCAGAATGGAAGTCTTTAGGAAGAACTTCCATAAACTCTCCCACCTCATCTACTTAACTCCTACATCTGTGTCCATTCACTCTACCTTCTTTCCTGCTATGAAGAATTAGCTTGAACTGTTCATACTGTTAGCTAAGACCAACCCCTCATTGATGCACTATAAAGGCATCCCTTTACACCCACTAAAGCATGACTCTAGCAATTCTCAACATTCTCTTCGACCAGAATCATTCTCTTTTGGATCATTCCCGTCAGCCTAATGTCATTTCTCTCACCTTAAAAAAAAAAAAAAGAAAAGTTTTACTGTGCCAATTTCATTTCATTTTGCTTCTTCCCTTCAATACAAAAGCCTTGAATTCTCTGTAGTGACAGGCTCTACTTTCTCTACTCAAGAGAGCGCTCATTCTCTATCTTAATCCATTAGGCTTTCACCACCACTGTTTTGCAAAACTGCTCTTACCAAGACCATCAGTGCAATTTGTATTAGTAAATCTAATAGCTCTCAAACCTCATCTTCCTTGAACTGTATGGAATTTGACAGTCAGATACATTCTCCTCCTTAAAATGCTTTCTTTACAGTTGACCTTCCATATCCACGGGTTCTACATCTAATACATCTGGGATTCAATGAAGCCCAGATCAGAAATATTTAAAAAATAGGCTAGGTGTGGTGGCCCACGCCTGTAATCCCAGCACTTTGGGAGGCACGAATTGTGTGGATCACTTGAGGTCAAGAGTTCAAAACCAGCCTCACCAACATGGTGAAACCGCATCTCTACTAAAAATACAAAAATTAGCCGGGCACGGTAGCGCACACCTGTAGTCCCAGCTACTCAGGAGGCTGAGGCAGGAGAATCGCTAGAACCCGGGAGGTGGAGGTTGCAGTGAGCCGAGATCATGCCATTGCACTCCAGCCTGGGTAACAGAACAAGTCTTCATCTTAAAAAAAGAAAAATAAAAAAGTATTTTAAAAATAAAAATAAAAAATAACAATACAATAATGAAAATAATACAAATAAAACCAATTTAGTATAACAACTATTTATGTAGCATTTACATTGTATTATGTATTATAAGTGATCTACAGATTATTTAAAGTATATGAAAGGATGTGCCTAGGTTATGTGCAAATAATACACCATTTTATATAAATGCCCTTTCCCTACCAACCTCTACAGTTTAGAATACCTAATACTTAGTCTGTAGACCCCTTGTTTTTTCTATCTATACTCAATCTTTTAGTGATTTAATCCAGTCTTATGGTTTTAAATACCATATGCTGATGATTCCCAGATTTATAGCTCTAGCTGGAACCTCTATCCTGAATTCCAGTCTTGTTGATAACACTTCCTCCTCAACATCTTCAGTTGTAGGTTTAATAGCCATCTCAAAATTAACATGTGTAACAGTAAACCCTCAAACATCCTCACGTCAGTTAATGGAAACTTCATTCATCCTGTTGCTCAGGCTCAAACTTTGGAGTAATGTTTAATGCCTCTCTTTTTTTAATCACACCTCACTTCTGATCTGTTAGGAAATCCCATTGCCTGGCTGTATTTTCAGTTACATCCAGAATCTGTCTAATCTCTCCACTTCTCACCACCTGTACTATTACCATTCTGGTACAAGTCATTGTCCTCTTGCCTGGATTATTGCAATTATCTCTTGATTGATTTTCTTGAATCTTCTTTTGTCCCTTTACCCATACCTGTTTTTAACACAGAAGCCAGAATGATCCTTTAAAACACTTAGTCAGATCATATTACCCTTCTGCCCAAACTCTCCAGTGATTTCCATTCTCAACCAAAATTAAAGCCAAAATCCTAACTATGACTAAAAGATCCTGTATGACCTAGTTCCCCATCAACTCTTAGACCTTGTCTTTTACTACTATTCCCTCACTCACTCACTTCCAGCCACAATAGCCTCATCACTGTTTCTTGAATACATCAGGCACAGTTTTGTCTCAAGTTCTTTGTTCTTGCTGTTCTCTCCGCTTTTCTGGTAGATTTCCTTGTTGTTCCATCTCTCTTTTCCTCAAGGCCTTTCCTCAAATGCCGTCTTCTCAGTGCCATCTTGGGCCACTAATCTAAAATTTTAACATCCACCCTTTAATATTTTCATCATCCCTTCCCTGCTTTAGTTTTCTTCTTAACACCACTCTCTAAATACTGAATATTCTCTGTATTTATTCTGCTTATTGTCAATCTCCTCTCTTCAAGAAAACAGGGTTTTTTCTCTATTTTGTTAATTTTCATAATGCCAGTACCTAGAAAAATGCCTGCCACATAGTGTGTACTCAATAAATATTTGTTCAATGAATTTTAAATGACTTTTTGTTGAATGAACATTTAATGAATCTGGTAACTCTGTAACCATCCACACTGAGGAAGAAAATTGGAGCATACATGAAAATCTATTACACAATAATGCTAAGTAATTTGGCAAGAGATATCAAAAGTATTTTCTGTCAGAAGCGTTAAAATTATTCTGAATCCTCCACAGCTATAACTGATAGGCAAGGATAAGATAAGGGTTACCATATGACTAGGTAAGAAATAGGCAAAACTAGAAAATGTAGTTCTCCAATAGTCGTGTTATAGAAGACACAGCTGTCCCTTCTAGGGACTTTGGGAACACTATTTTATTCAAGGTTTCTTGACTGATATTTTGGCTATTGATTGTTGAATAAAATAAACACCATAAAATGTAATGGCATAAAATAATGTTTTATTATAGCTTGTGATTTCATGGCTTGACAGCAGTTCTGCTGCTGCACATGGTATTGCCTGTTGAGACAGCATTAGTCATTTGGAGAATTGACCAGGAGCCCCGCTAGAGCTCTAAGCCAGGGGGCCTCAAGTCATAGAGGTTGGGTTCCAAGAGTAAGCATTTCAAGAAGCAGGAAGTAGAAGCTGCCAGATCAGTTAAGGGCTCAGCCTATAATAGGCACAGCATCAGTTCTCTTGTATCCTATTAGAGCAGTAAGAAGCTCAGCCCAGAGACAGCAGAAGGGCTAAACTTGTGACTGCTCTTATAAGAGCCATCTAAGAGGTGTGGTTCACTGGAGGTCGCCACATTAACCATCTACCACCACATTTGGGTGCTTTTAGACACCCCTGGAACACTGAATTTCATTACCTAGGCCTACCTCTGATTTTAGCTGTAGCTGTGGTATACATGTCTATGCAAGCTCAGATTGACTTTGCATTTCCCACCTCAAGAGAGGCAGTATTTTTCTGCTTTCTGCCTCTAATCCTTCCCTGATGCTGGGGAACCTGAAAGTACGGGTGAGTTAATTACCAGGATAGCTTTAAAGCAATAGGAGATGGAAGCTGGTGGATCAATGTTCCAGCCTCTTGTCCTTTAGGAATATGATTCTGGGAAGCATGATGTGTGCTTCTCAGTAGGTCCTGGTGAATTGAGCTCATTTTGTCCACAGTGAAAACTGTGGCAGTGAACCTTTATGTTGGCTTTTCCTATTTTGTGAACTAAATTTTCTGGTCTCTCATTCCTATGTCCTAGGATCACCACCCAAATAAACTACCTGTACTAAAAATATCCTCTGTGACTCTTCCTCCTGGGGGAAAATAAACTTAGAGAGGTATTTTGTCAGATAATGAAACAAAAAAATCCTTTCATGTTCCATTTGAAGAATAAGGCCCAAAGTTAGGACTGGTGGAAATAGTTAAACTTGTGACTGTAAGTTTTAGTCTTACCCTTTTAGTAAAAGGGCTTACATTCTGAGGACTAGACATTAGCTTCAGTGTATCAAGCTAATAGAAGTGAGGGGAAAAGTTTAGCCTTTTGTCAGGTAGAAGACCAACTGAGGAAGATGACTTATTGTGTATTAGCCATTCCTGCAAAGAAGTATGATAGCTACAGATATACTTTAAAATAGTGCATTAAATGTGCATGCAACTTTCTTGTTTCAAGATAAAATTATGCCTTATTGGAAAGAGAATACTGTATTCTTAGGAAAGGTGGCTATTGCAAATTTCCTTTTTTGGGAAAATAAAATATTTAGTGTCTAGAGGTTTTAAATATGGTTTGTAATCTAAGATCTGGAACCTTAGATTCAGTAAACAATTCAGTTGTTCAACTGGGAGAACAACTTCTTATGCAAATTTTGGAGATACTTCAATGTGTATGTGTGTATGTTTATGCCAGCAATTGAACTTGTATTTGAAGAAATATATTTGAACTAATGTATTAAAAATATATTTAATTTCTTTTACAATTTATTTATACCTCAGTTTCTTTAAAAAGTGATTTATAGTTACTTATATTATAAGACATGAAATGTGACCAGATGGGATATATTAGGATTGGAATTTAAAAAGAGTAAAAAGGGTATGGTGAAAAGCAGATATGTACCCACTTCTATGTGCTACTCTGCTGGTCTTTGTATCTCTTCCCCTTGAGGCGAGTTAGGAAAATACCTGCAGAGGGCTAAAGTACTCCCCAAAATATAATTTTAGATTAGTTCCAGCATGCAGATTAATATAAAATCAAATCCAAAAGTTCTGCTCTGTGTAGCATGGCAACAATTGATTTAGCTTGAAAACAATTTAAAGCAGTATAACCAGATGCTGTATTCAGAAAACAGTCACAAAAGCAAAAATTTTTTAAACTGTCCTTTTACCATCTATATATTATCCAACTTTGAACAGCTCTACTTCCTCACATACTCTCCAAAGAGATGCCCTGTTTGTGAAATGTTCATCAAGATGACTTGTTGTATGGGCTTGTACTTTATAAACTGGTTAAAAGTTCTGGGACATCCTTCTAAAAGTAATTATTTTCACATTTGAAAAGTTGAGCTACAACTCGGTTTTATGGCAATAATGAGCTTGCAGAGTCAGTTGTTTGTTCAGGCCATTCACGAATTAAGATAATATAACCGCATCATTGGAATACAAAACAATATTTCTCTGTTCTATATGAGTCTGTATCCAGCTCATCTGAAAGTACCATTCAATCATTTTGAATCAAGTTATAAAGAATAATAGGGAGGATAAATTTGTTTAACCCTTACGGAATAGTTTAACTCTTCTATCAGACATACCGTTTTTTATACATTTAAGAATTGTTCTAGGCTGCTATTCTAGTTGAAGAATAACTTGAATTCATTTTGTTATGTGATTTTTAAAAATAGTATGTTTAGTCATCTATCAATTATCTGAGCAGCCTCAGGATAACATTTATAATCCCATAGCACTTTTCCAAATTCTAGTTTATCTAAGTTGATCCTACAATGTCCCCATGACACCAACTCAATAAGCTTGGTATTAGCTCTTTTTTTCCTGCCTTTAACCTCTAACCCCAATACCCTAAACTATCATTTCAACTCTAGAACTTTTTACTTCTTTTCCAAGCTGTGCCAGTTTAATAATAATGGCCTTAGCTAAATCATGTACCCTTCCCAGGTCTTATTCTTCAGCTGAAAACACCTATTTTGTAGTGTTGTGTTGAGGATTAAATGAGCTGATTTAATACACTCATACACAAGAGCATGTAACAATAGTAAGGACTCTCTGAGTGCCTGTTGCTGTTATTGTGATGATTGCCATGATGGGATTCAGCTTTACCTGTAGCAGAGCCTGTGTTTTCTCCTTTTTGCACCAATTGAGAATAGACATAAGAGGGGAGCAGTGCTGTATGACGCTAAGACAATATGGGTAGAATTGGAGCTCAAAGTCTCTGGGTCTGCCTTCAAGGTGGGCACTTGAGGTGGCATGACCAGCCAAAAGCTATGCAAAGTCCAGGACTCCTCTCTAAGAGTCCAGATATTAGTTTTACATTTAAAAAATTAAAGCTAAATATGTTTCTGTTGCCACTGCAGAAGCAGAGTGTTTTTCTTTCCTACAGAAGGTTATAATTCTTCTACCCTCCTTTGGCTAAGGAAAAGTTGAGAATGAACCAATTTGACATCTGCGTTAACCTGATATCACTCCCCTATTTACTAATTGTGTATAAGCTAAGTCACATCACAGAAATATATGTAGCAGAATAAAATAGCCTAAGAAGACAGCACTCATGTTTGCTCTTTCATTTTGAGGATAAAGTCTGTCATTGACTCCTGCTGGAATAGAGCAAGTGGAAGCAGGCCTTGTGTGCCTCAGCTCCTGCAGGTCGGGCCCTGCAGACCTGCCAGGAATGGGAGGGGGTAGGCACACACATGTGAGCAGCTCCAACAGGGGTGGGTTTGTAGAATAAATTAAGAAACAAAGTAAGCCATATGTCCAGCTTTTTTACTCTGCTGGTAGTTTTTTGTGCATACATTTTAAATATCTTCTGTGGCAGCCTCCAGCCAGGCTGAGCTGCCTCTCTGGGCAGTCCAAGTTTTCTCTGAGATGCTAATTATTGTTTTGTTTTCATTGGCTTGTTTTTTAGTGTGTTGGTCACCAAGTTTTGAGTGGTCTGCCCTATTCCATTTTCTCATAAGCTCTGGTAATTTTACTAAGCAGTTTGTTTTGAGCAACGCACATATTTTATTATATAATATAAAACATACACATATACATACAATTATCTCTCTGACAAAAACTGCAGCATATCAAGAGAATTTGGAGAATGTGGGCCTTTATGCTTTGTCTTAAGCTTCTTGGTCCAAAGGTAGGGCTGCTACTAGGGCTTTTTACCATATGGAGGCCAGAAGTAATAATTCTGATCCTTTTTAATTTACAAGGAAAAGGGTATAAGAGAAAGTGAAAGACATAGAAAGAAGGCCGTGTATGAACTCCTACAATGTCCCAATGACACCAACTCAATAAGCTTGGTATTTGCTTATTGAGCACCTATTTTGTAGTGTTCTTAACATCATGGTTAGGAATGTGGATGCTGTAGTCCAGCTTCCTGAGTACAAATCCTGGCTCCTCTACTGATTGGCTGTGTGACCTTAGAAAGTAAGCCCTATTTCCCCACTGGAAAAATAGAAGTGGTATTATGAGTACCCATCTTCTAGACTTACATTGTGAGAATTTAGAGAGATAACCCATGAAGGGACCATGAAGGATTGTCCCAAGAAGATATGTCCACATCCTAATTTTCAGAATCTGGGAATGTTACCTTATTTGGAGAAAAGGTCTTTGCAGGTGTAATTATCTTAAGAAAAGGTGGCCATCCTGGACTATCTGGGTAGGCCTTATATTTTAATAAATGAGTTCCTTAGAAGCATGAGGCAGAGGAATATCAGACAAAGAGGAAGAGGCAAAGTGACCATGAAGTCAGAGATTGGAGTGATGCAGCCACAAGTAAAGGAATGGTAACAGCCACCAGAAGCTGGAAAAGGCTAAGAACTGATTGTCCACTAGAGCTTCTACAGGGAGTGCAGCCTTGCAGACACCTTGATCTCAAACTTCTGGTGTACAGAACTGTAAAAGAATAAATCTCTGTAGTTTTAAGTCACAAAGTTTGTGGTAGTTTGTTACAACAGCCACAGGAAACTAATGCACCATACAGAAACATGTAAAGTCGCTGGCAAATAGGAAATACTCAATAAATATTAGGTATTATTATTATTACCCCTGATCAATTGAGAAATGTGGCCTTATAGATACTGGTTTCTCCCTAGTCTACCCAATCAGTTAAGTCATTCCTCTTTGCATGATGAGTTGCTAGTAATTGAGAGTTGCTAAAATCCTTCCTTGGCAGTTCTGAGAGAGGGCAGAAAAGTTAAAGTAGCCAACGCTTTCCCTAGAAAAAGGAAACAATGCAGATCCCTACATTTTGAGCCAAGGCTGAAGCATGCAGTGCACAGATAATGAAGTTTCTATTTGTAACAGACTTGTATAGATTTATCTACCCAGAGAAACCAGGGAGTTGGACTACAAATCCCACATGTGTGCAAATATATTTTGTGCAGTGTAGCCAGTGTCAAGACTTCCTGGAGCTGCAAATAGAAGCATCATCCTGGCAGGGGTGACACAACAACTTGTTTACTGAAAGCTGCTTCTGCACATTTCCTTTTGGAAAGGGAACGTGCACATTATGTAGGATGGCCATGCCTGTGCATTCTGGTTTGTCTGGACTGTCCTGACATTCTCCTGATGTACTAGCACTCCAACTGGTGTAGCATTTGTCACCTCAAAAATGTTCCAGGCTAGGTGATAAACTATATGCTTACTTTAACATGGAGACATGATATTCAGCCTGCCAATAAGTAAGATCAGAAATCACAAGAAAATATTTCTTTCCGGATGTGTTAGGCAATTTTGCAGCAGTAGCCCTAAATGTGAAAGAAGTAAGGATGGTGGATTGATCTGTATCTCTGGAAGAGATTTTTTCCCATGATGGCTAGAGGACTAAAAGGCCTAAAAGGCGACATACAGGGAAATGGATGACGTAAAATTCAGAACTTTAGCAGGTGATTAATATTAAAAGCCCTCAACATTTTGGAGATCTTCATGTCAGATTCCCAACTGGCTAAAATCCAAGGGGGGACTTTTGGAGAATGCAGATCATGCTCCAGGTCTACCAGGCTTAAAAAGCCATACTCCTTGGTGATGTTGTGTGTCTGTGGCCTGCCAGAGTGCCACCTCCTGAAAACCAGTGCACTCCACATCCACCCGGCTTGAGCCCACCTGGGCAGAGGTGGTGGGTGAATCTGCAGGATTTCTGACTGTTTCCCCTATGGGCTAGTGACACGGCAGGAATCAGGCACTGGATCAGATCTCTGTACCTGGAGACAGTGAAGTGACTGCCCACTTTCTGAAACTTTGTGGTATGTTTGAGATGGCAGAACATAAGAGGTAGGAGGAAGGCAGATGGTTATTTGATATTGGAGAAAAGTTCCTTCATGGGGAAAATCTGTCTCTCAGTGGAGGAAATAAAGCCAACAGGAGATAAGGAATAAGGAGGAAACTGTTATCAGAGTTATCATTATGATCTGGACCCAAATTTGATAAAAGTATCCCTTAAGGGACTCTAGTGTGCTCAGGATAACATCCTTTGCTCTCTAGGGACAAAGAAAAGGGACTAGAAAAGCATAGTTCAGTTATTTCTCTGTAATTCTGTTTATTCCAGAATCTGGGGGACTGAGGGGATTTGGGAACAGGGTAATAGAAGTAGAAGGGAAACATGGATCATCTGAAAGTGGGAAAAAAGATACCAAATATGTAAATAACATATAATACATAATAATACTAATATTGGAAGACATGTAGATAATAAAATTATGTGAACATGCATGGGAAAAATGCATATATGCTCTGGGGAAATAGTTATCCCCAGAAGAAAGAGAGGACACAAAGATGGGTAATCATGGGTATTTTAGTTGTCTCTACCACTGTCCTCCCAAAGTTTTATTAAAAGTGACTGTTTAAAAGAAGTAACAGGAACCTGACTTGTACCATAGCATTCCCAGGGGGTCGTCTGGGAACTCCATTACCCCTGGCTCCTCATAAGAGTAAGGACTTAACAGTGTATTATTGGGTATGAAGTTCACCTTGCTTTTCCCTCGTGGCACACATTGCTAAGGTTTTTCTAAAATCCAATCATTATATATTTTGGATACCATGGATTCAAAGTCACAGATTTTCTCATAAAGGGGGTGGTGTGAGGTTTGAATAGATAACTTTTCAGTAAATCAATGACCCATATACAGAGGGTGGCTGGGAAAAGTCCACACTGAGCAGGGAGTGGAATATGTTGGGGAGAATAAAATAAAGCATGTTGGGTTTATTTGGTTAAATAAACTGAACCAGTTCTAACCACTGGTGAAATAAACCAAACTGGTTGAGGGTACATGGAAAGGGTTTTCTCTAGTATAATAAACACTCTCCCCTGTTCACACTCCCTCAGACCAGTGGTTCTCAGAATGTGGTCACCAACCAATAGCATCAGCACCACCTGGGAACCTGTTAGACATGTTAGTTTCCGAGTTGAAACTCTGAGCATGGTGCCATCAGTCTACTTTAACAAACTATTTAGATTATTCTGAGACACATTGAAGTTTACTAATCACTTCTCTAGACTGCTTTTTGATCACAATTAAAACAAATTATTAAAAATCACACCACCATAATAACAATCCACATGTGCCCCCACCAACACCACCACCAATCCAACCAACCAAAAAGAAAAAGAGGAAAGTAGAGGGTGTCAACAAAACCTAAGGAGAAGAAAGTCCTAAAACTAGTAATTAAAATAAACCATTGGAAAACTCTAACAGGAAAGTAGACCAAATCGAATATAATGATTTAAAATAATAGACTTAGCAACCTGAGAAGAGAAAGAAAAAGATGCAAGATAATGCTAAAATTAAAATTCAAGAAAATACGTGAAAGTTAAAAATCAGAAAGTGAAAAAAGTGAAATTTCTTATAAAAATTATAACATCTGACCCATATAGCACTTCCTTCATATCAGGCACTGTTCTAAGAATGGTGTGTCTTCTATCTCATTTAATCCTCCCCAAAACTCTATGAGACAGGCACTGTTGCCATGTTTATTTTATTGCTAGGAAGGGAAGACAAAAAGTAGAAACTTTGCTGAAAATCAAATAGCTGGTAGGTAAAGTGAAAAGCAGAAATCCAGCTAGCAGAGCAGTAAAAAAAACATACCTATTAAGAGAGGTCATATCAAAAATAGAACTTAGTCCTTGAGGTTAATGAGTTTAAAATGCAAGGTCAAGAATTAAGCCATGCAAAATATGCAGGTGGGGCAGGAAACAGAGGAGAAACAAAGAATGAGGTCTCTAATGGGGTGTGAAGATGGGTGTGCCTTCCCAGGGTCAAGGCAAAGACCTTACTGTTCCTTGCACAGAAGTGAGGGGTGGAGAGTTTGACAGACCCTCATACCTTCCCTTTCGCTTAACTCCCTCTAATGTTCAGCTCTACACAGAGGTCAGATGCAGATTTTCTTAGATCCACAAAGATCTACAGTACAAATACTGTACCTGTTACAGTGATAGGACTTCATTTTATTCTTTTTTACCAAACATTGAAAACCTTTGGTTTGTCCTGGCTAAGTAGGAGTCATTTGGCTTTGAATAAATTGAAGATTTTGTTTTGCTTTGTTTTCACTGAATCTTGTATATACTGGTTTCAAAGTTTTGAAGGACTTAAATTTTCCACTAACTATCCAGTAGCAATGAGAATCCAGAGGCCATTACTATAACTACTGCTACTACTTGGGGTTAAGGACAATTAAAATGGCCTTTTTATTGTAAATTTTGTTTTTTCCCCTCCTAGTCTTATTCTGACTCTAAAACGAGGAGGCAATATCTTAATATGTTCCAAGAACAAGGACAAAATATCAGGGCAGTTCACACTCCAGCAATCTCCCACTCTCAGAGGTGAAGAGAGAAGAATGAGAGTTTCAGCTTGCTGTGTCCAGATGTGTCCTGGGTGCAGGCCCAGGATAAACTGCCTAAAGCTGTGGCTAATAAGAAATAGTTGGCTTAAAAGCCAGTAGGAAGTTTCTTTGTTTTTTCTCTCTGGGGAGAGATCCAGAAGGGAGGTGAATTCTTTCCTAACCTCAGATGATCAAAGCTGGGTAAAATGCTTAATCAAATTGGAGGCAAAACTGAAAGGATAGCCACTTTTCTGGATTGAAAGACTGATACTCAGCACTACTTTTGAAAGGAAATGTTTAGAATTGAGTCAGTGTGCTCTTCTGCTAAAAGAGAAAAAAGAAATGTTGGGAATAATAAAACTGAAAGGGGCAATAAATTGGGCAATATTGATATAAATTTAGTTCACTAATATAATTCAGAGTGGATGTATTTTACTTGAAAACATTTTAAATAAGCAGTATATGCATATAATACAAAAATTTAAAACTACCAGCAAATTCACCATTAAGATGAATTTTCTCTTTTACTCTTGCTCTTTGGTTTTCTAGTTTTTCCCAACTAAGAAGGCTACCAAATATATATTGTTAAATTTAAAGATTTTTAAATGTTTTAGGTTGTCAATTATTTTATATTTTATTTTTATTCTCAGGTAGGGGACACACTATAAGTCGCCTTTTGGTAAATTTCCTATGCTTTTAGCCGATGCTCTACTTGGCAGATGCCAACAAATGAACAAAACCTTTCTTCTTCATTCAGTAAGCACTGTAGAACCAATATGTTCATGTTGGTGTGTACTTTTTACCGATATGTACCTTTAAAGTGAAATACGATTTTCTAGATTTTGGGATAGGCAAGTGGGTGAAATCTGGAATTGTCTTCTGCTATTAAATAAAGTTTGACAAAGAGATTTTTAATAAAATATATTGGAGGATGCCACAAAACCACTTTTTTTTTTTTTTTTTTTTTGAGATGGAGTCTCGCTCTGTTGCCCAGGCTGGAGTGCAGTGGCGTGATCTCAGCTCACTGCAAGCTCTGCCTCTCAGGTTCATGCCATTCTCCTGCCTCAGCCTCCTGAGTGGCTGGGCCTACAGGCGCCCGCCACCACGCTTGGCTAATTTTGTTTTTGTATTTTTAGTAGAGACGGGGTTTCACTGTGTTAGCCAGGATGGTCTCGATCTCCTGACCTCGTGATCTGCCTGCGTCAGCTTCCCAAAGTGCTGGGATTACAGTCATGAGCCACCGCGCCCAGCCCATAAAACCAGTCTTAAGAAAAATAAAATGAGAGTGAGAATAATAATAATGATGACCATTACTTATCCAGCACCTGTTGTGTGCTGAATCTTTTAATGCATTACTTCAAACTTTAGGCTCAAATACTCACAGCAACTCTGAAAGATAAACATTAACATGGCTATTAAAAGATTCAGACATACCCAAATCCCTATAGTTAGTGACAGCCAGAGTTCAAACCTAGGCATTTCCAGTTCCAAAATCTGTGTACTTATACACTGTTGCTTCTCACTCTGATCCATGCAACTTCTTTTTTTGTTTGGTTGGTTTTTAATTGACAAATAAAAATTGTATATATTTGTCATATACAGCATATTTTTTGAAATATGTATACATTGTGGAATGGCTAAATTGAGCTAATTAACATATGTATTATCAAGATACTTTTTTGGGGTAAGAACACTTGGCTGGGTGTGGTGGCTCACGCCTGTAATCCCAGCACTTTGGGAGGCTGAGAATTGCTTAGGAGTTCAAGACCAGCCTAGGCAAAATGGCAAAACCCCATCTCTACAAAAAAATATAAAATTAGCTGGGCGGGTGGTGCATGTCTAGTAGTAGTTCCAGCTACTTGAGGACCTGAGGTGGGAGGATGGCCTGAGCCCAGAAGGTCAAGGCTTCACTAAGCCAAGATCGCACCAATGCACTCCAGCCTGGAAGACAGAACAAGACTTGTCTCTAAAAAACTTTTTTTAAATAAAAACACTTAAATTTACTCTTAGCAATTTTGAAGAATATAATACATTGTTATTAACTCTAATCACCATGTTTTAAAATAGGTCTCTTTAAATTATTTCTCCTATCAAATTGAATTTTGAATTTTGTATCCTTTGACTAATATCTCCCCAGCTGCTCCCATTCCCTGGTAACCACCATTCTACTCTTCAATGAGATCAACTTGTTTTAGATTCCATGTACGTGAATGAAATGATATGGTATTCGTCTTTCTGTGCTGACTTATTTCACTTAACATAATGTCCTCCAGGTTCATCCATGTTGATGTAAATAACAAGGCTTCCCCCCTTTTAAAGTTTGAATACGTTTTCTTCCTTCATTTATTGATGGACATTTAGGTTGATCGAATATCTTGGCTATTGTGAATAATGCTGCAATGGACATGGGAGTGCACATATCTCTTTAACATCCTGATTTCATTTCCTTTAGATATACCCCATAGTGGGATTTCTGGATCATATTGTTGCTAGATCATATGGTAGCTCTATTTATACTTTTTTGAAGAACCTTCATATTGATTTTTTTAACGGCTATACTAACTCACACTCTCACCAACAGTGTTTGGTGTGCAAGGGTTCCCTTTTCTCTACATCCTCTCCAACACTTATTTTTTGGCTTTTTGTTACTAGTCATCCTAATAGATGTGAGTTGTTTTAATTTACATTTCTCTGATGATTAGTGATTTTGAGCATTTTTTATATACCTGTTGTCCATTTGTATGTCTTCTTTTGAGAAATGTCCATTCAGATCCTTTGCCCATTTTTAAAAATAGGGTTATTTGTTTTCTTACTATTGAATTGTTTGAGTTCCCTGTATATCTTGGATATTTACCCCTTAGCAGATATATGGTTTGCAAATATTTTCTCTCATTTTGTTTTTTCTCCACTATGTTAATTGTTTCCTTGGCTGTGCAGAAGCTTTTTTGTTTGATGTGATCCCATTTGTCTATTTTTGCTTTTGTCGCCTAGGCTTTTAGGTTTATGTCCAAAAAATCATTACACAGACCAATGCCATAGAGCTTTTCCATGCCACCCCTTAAGAGAGAATGGGTATGGAATTGCTGAGTGCAAAGAAAAACTAGAAACAAAAAACAGAACTAGTGCACGATAACATGTGAGAAGAAACCACAGGATTCAAACAGAAGCTGGGTTATATGCAACAAATCTTGGGTTGCATTAAAAAGTTATTCCATGATTTATGTAACATCACATCACAAACTAATGTTTTCCTTTTGCTGGTCATTTTCTGTACTGCTTGTAAAAGTTGTGTTGTCACATTAGATCTTTTGGAGACTCTCTGGAAGGATGTTTTTTCTTTCTGAATTGTTGTGCTATTTTGCCTGCTTAGTTTCTAGCACAGGTCACCTTGGCACAGATACTCTAAAACCAATTTCTGGACAATTGGGCTGAAGGTCAACAATATTGAGTGCATGATCTCCACACTGATTCTAAGTGGGTACTGGAGAAACACCTATGACAGAATATATTAATGGATTTCCAAGAAGAAAAATAATAGTTATTATCAATTTTTGCATAACTAGATACCTTAAAGTTTAATGGTTTAAAGAAACTGTATTATCTCACAGTTACTATGGGTGAGGAATCCAGGTGCCTTTGGTTCCAGGTCTCTCACAAGTTTTAAGGGATTGTCTGAAGCTATAGTCATCTCAAGGCTTGACCTGGGAAAATCCACTTGCAAACTCATTCATGTGGCTGTTAGTTGGAGACATCAGTTCCTTGCCACATGGGGCTCTCTATAGAGCAGCTCCTATGGCAGCTGGCTTCCTCCAAAGCAAGCTAGCAAGAGAACAAGAAATGGTGTTCAACAAAGAATTTATAATTTTATATAATCTAATATTGGAAGTGGCATTCCTTCTCTTCTATGCTATTCTATTTCTTGCCTACAAACCAATAAATCCAGCCCATACTCAAGGAGAGGGGATGACACAAAAGCATGAATATCAGTATATTAGGATGCTTGGGGTATCTAATATGGTCCCAATAAATGTTTAATAAATTAACAGGTAAAAGGATAAATTTTAAAATGTATCATACAAGTGGGCATGTATCAAGCCTTCTATTTAACTCATTAATTGGCAAGAAAGCATGTTATAAACCACTCAAGTGAAAGCAAAATACCAAACAGTTATTGTGAGATAAGAAATGCTGAAATGATTTTTATAAATGGCTATCATATTAGTCTGTTTTCACACTGAGATAAAGACATACCCAAGACTGGGCAATTTACAAAAAAAGGTTTAATGGACTTACAATTCCACATGACTGGGGAGGGCTCACAATCATGGCAGAAGCCCAGGAAAAGCAAGTCACATCTTATGTGGATGACAGCAGGCAAACAGAGAGAGCGTGTTCAGGGAGACTCCTGTTTTTAAAGCCATCAGATCTTGTGAGACTTATTCACTATCACAAGAACAGCACAGGAAAGACCCACTCCTATGATTCAATTACCTCTCACTGGGTTCCTCCCATGACACATGGGAATTGTGGGAGTTCCAATTTAAGATGAAATTTGGGTGGGGACAGAGCCAAACAATATAATTCCTCCCCTGGCCCCTCCCAAATCTCATGTCCTCACATTCAAAACCAGTCATGCCTTCCCAACAGTCTCTCAAAGTCTTAATTCATTTCAGCATTAACTCAAAAGTCTGCGGTCCAAAGTCTCATCTGAGACAAGGCAAGTCCCTTCTGCATATGAGCCTGTAAAATAAAAAGCAAGTTAGTTACTTCCTAGATACAATGGGGGTACAGGCATTGGGTAAATACAGCTGTTCCAAATGGAAGAAGTTGGCCAAAACAAAGGGGCTACAGGCCTAATACAAAACTGTAATCCTGTGGGGCAGTCAAATCTTAAAGCTCCAAAATGATCTACTTTGACTCCATGTCTCACATCCAGGTCACACTGATGCAAGTGATAGGTTCCCATGGTCATGAGCAGTTCCACCCCTGTTGCCTTGCAGGGTACAGCCTCCCTCCCGGCTGCTTTCATGGGCTGGCTTTGAGTGTCTGCAGCTTTTCCAGGTGCACAGTGCAAGCTGTCAGTGGATCTACCATTCTGGGGTGTGGAGGACAGTGACCCTCTTCTCACAGCCCCACTAGGCAGCACCCCAGTGGGGACTCTGTGTGGGGGCTCCCACCCCACATTTCCCTTCTGCACTGCCCTAGCAGAGGTTCTCCATGAGGGCCCTGCCCCTGCAGCAAACTTCTGCCTAAGCATCCATGTGTTTCGATACATCCTCTGAAATCTAGGTGGAGGTTCCCAAACCCCAATTCTTGACTTCTGTGCACTCGCAGGCTCAAAACCACATGGAAGCTGCCAAGGCTTGGGGCTTGCACCCTCTAAAGCTACAGCCCAAGCTTTATGTTGGCCCCTTTCAGCAACTGCTAGAGCAGCTGGGATTCAGGGCACCAAATCCCTAGGCTACATGCAGCATGGGGACCCTGGGCCCGGCCTACGAAACCACTCTTTCCTCCTAGGCCTCCAGGCCTGTGATGGAAGGGGCTGGTGTGAAGACCTCTGGCATGCTCTGGAGACATTTTCCCCGTTGTCTTGGGAATTAACATTTGGATCCTCATTACTTATGCAAATTTCTGCAGCTGGCTTGAATTTCTCCTCAGAAAATGAGATTTTCTTTTCTATCACATTGTCAGGCTGCAATTTTTCCAAACTTTTATGCTCTGCTGCTCTTATAAAACTGAATGCCTTTAACAGCACTCAAGTCACCTCTTGAATGCTTTGATGCTTAGAAATTTCTTCTGCCAGAGAGCCTAAATGATCTCTCTCAAGTTCAAAGTTCCACAAATCTCTAGGGCAGGGGCAAAATGCCGCCAGTCTCTTTGCTAAAACGTAACAAGAGTCACCTTTGCTCCAGTTCCTGACAAGTTCCTCATCTCCATCTAAGACCAACTCAGCCTGGATTTCATTGTCCATGTCATTATCAGCATTTTGGTCAAAGCCATTCAAAAAGTCTCTAGGGAGTTTCAAACTTTCTCACATTTTCCTGTCTTCTTCTGAGCCCTCCAAACTGTTCCAACCTCTGCCTGTTACCCAGTTCCAAAGTTGCTTCCTCATTTTCTGGTATCTTTTCAGCAGCACCCCACTCCCAGTACCAACTTACTGTATTGGTCTGTTTTCATGCTGGTGATAAAGACATATCCAAGACTGGGCAATTTACAAGAGAAAGAGGCTTAATGGACTTACAGTTCCACATGACTGGGGAGGCCTCACAATCATGGTGGAAGGCCAGGATGAGCAAGCCATATCTTATGTGGATGACAGCAGGAAAAGAGAGGGTTGTGCAGGGAGAGTCCCGTCTTTAAAGCCATCAGATCTCATGAGACTTATTCACTGTCAAGAGAACAGCGTGAGAAAGACCTAGCCCCATGATTCAATTACCTCCCACCTGGTTCCTCCCACAACACATGGAAATTGTGGGAGTTGCAATTCAAGATGAGATTTGAATAGGGTACAACCAAACCATATCAGCTGTAAAACTGGCAAAACTGATCAATATCTACAGGGCAATAATCAATGACATTCTACTGGATGCAATTTACATTTCTATGGACAGAAATTATTCTCATTACTCCCAGTTTTCTAAAATTAACTTCTATCACTACAGTGTTGTAAAATAATATAGTCAAAGGCAAAGGCAGAGATAACCTGGATTGCCGAAATCGACAGTATTGCCACTAAATTTCAAAATCTTCCATAATTTTTCCTTGCAAATGCCTGGTACAAACTGGGAGAATGTGCACCCCAGGAAAAGGCCAGGAAAGAGTAAAGTCGTACCTCTTTTTAAGTTCATACACTGTTTGGGTCACTTCACTGGAAATCTATGATCCTTGATTTTTAGAATATAAGACTTTCTGAATATATTAGAGTATCTCCAATATATCTCTATACCTTCATAATATGTTCTTGACTTCTTACACATCATTCTTAATCTTGTAGAATACAGAGTATCTCTGGTGAGAGAGATTGAAACCAAACTATCCCAATGATCCAGGGAGTGATGGGCTTTTGCAGGTAGATCCCGAATTCTCATGGCTAAATGAGATCCAGGGTTCTATCAGCAATTGCCAAACACAGGTGGGTCAGCTACATCAAAATCCTTTGTGGTAGGAGTAGGGAGATGGGGTGATGTTCTTGTCAAAAAGTTTGACTCTTGGACTCTATCCTGGACATACTGAATCAATATGGTTTGATGAGCCTTGGATAATCTTATTTTTAATGTACTCCTCAGATAATTCTATTTGGCTGGTTTTATGATCCACTGGCCTAGATCACTTCTCATTGAAGGTGTTGAGCAAACTGCAACTGTAGAGTTTATGGAAGCCTCTGAATCTACCACGGAGTGGTTATAAGTGGCTTTCCTCCTGAATTTCTCCAGGTGACTATGGAGACAAAGATTTCTCCTCTTCTGGGTCATTAATAAAGAAAGCTAAACTTTGAGAAAACATATA
Organism: Homo sapiens; assembly: GCF_000001405.40. Lineage (NCBI taxonomy): Eukaryota > Metazoa > Chordata > Mammalia > Primates > Hominidae > Homo > Homo sapiens. Next base: position 118,133,245 of record NC_000007.14, on the reverse strand, counting down.
CCATGCTATACACTTAGCTCTAAAATCATTACAGAAAAAAACTAAACAAAATAAGAGGTACAAATACACAAATGTTTTCCTATATCCTCAAACCACAGACTATGGTATTATAGAATTACCTCATTTTCTTCTTTGTAGCCTCAATAAAAAAAGCCTTTGTTTTTATCATCAGTCAGTGGACGTTTCAATAGATATTTGCAGTGTCCTGCTGAGTCCTGTTGGAATAAGTGAAAAACAATTATGTACATTTTTCCTACTATGCAAATTTTGCTGAATCGGTTCACTATATTTGAAAAGCTGCAACTATTTGAAATTCAAATGAACATTTACCATCTGTGGTCTTCATTAAGATTATAATGGCATCATGATTTCAGACATTTCTGTTGATGAATATTAGTTTTCTTGAGTCTTATACTGCTACTTTTAATTTTGTAGTCCATAAAACATAACAGGTAATCTGTGATTTATTATATATAAATCATTGAGAAGACACTTTAGAAATGATCAATTCCAATATCCCTATTTTATGAGAAAGGAAACCAAGATTCAGAAAGAGGAACTCTTATGGGCTGAATTGTATTCCCCTGAAAAAAGTTTATATGTTGAAGTCATAACCTGCAGTACCTCAAAATGTGACTGTACTTGGAGACACCATCATTTCAGACTTCCAGCCTCCAGAACTGTGAGAAAAAAATTTCTGTTGGTTAAACCACCCAGCCTGCGGTACTTTATTATGGCATCCCTAGCAAACTAATACAGAAACCAAACTGCTCAAGGTTACAGAGCTAATTTGTTGTAAAACTGAGACTCAAATCCAGGTAGGTCTTCTGCTTTTCAGTTTGGCATATAGTCATGTGCTGTATAATGATGCTTTGGTCAATGACAGACCTCATATACAATGATATACATAAGATTATAATGGAGCTGAAAAATTCCTATCACCTAGTGACATTGTAGCAGTTGTAACATCAAAGTGCAATGAACTACTCTCATGTTTGTAGTGAGGCTGGTGTAAACAAACCTGCTGCACTACTAGTTGTATAAAGGTCCTGCACATACAATTACGTATGGTACCTAATGCTTGATAATAATAATAAACAACTATGTTATTGTTTTATGTATTTATTATACTATACTCTTTATTGTTATTTTAGAGTATACTCCTACTTATTTTTTTAAAAAGTTAACTGTAAAACACCCCCAGGCAGGTCCTTCAGCTTAGGTTAACGTGTGTGCTTGTGTCTTAGTTTTTAACAAAATAGTTTAAAAGGGAAAATATTTAATAAAAAAGTTTATGGGATAAAGATGTAAGAAAGAAATTATTTTTGTACAGCTGTACAATGTGTGTTTTAAGCTAAGTGTTATTACAAAAGAGTCAGAAAGTTAAAAATTTTTAAGTTTTCAGATTAAAAAATTATAGTAAGCTAAGATTAACCTATTATTGAAGAAAGAGAAAATTTAAAATTAAATTTAGTGTAGCCTAAGAGTTCAGCATTTATAAAGTCTATAGTTATATAGGGTTATATCCCAATCCTTCACATTCACTCAGCACTCACCCACTGACTCACCAAGAGCAACTTCTAGTCCTGCAATGTCCATTAACAGTAAGTGCCCTGTATGGGTGTACCATTTTTTATCTTTTATACCGTATTTTTACTGTTCCTTTTCTATGTTTCTATATGTTTGGATACACAAGTACTTACCATCATGTTACAATTTCCTACAGTATTCAGTATAGTAACATGCCTATAATAACACGCCTACAAGAACTGAATACTGTACTGAACACTATTCAGTACAGTAACATGCCGAAGCCACAAGGAGCAACAGTCTATACTATACACAGCCTACATGTGTAGTAGGCTATACCATCTATGTTTGTGTAAGTATACTCTATGATCACACAACAAAACCACCTAACAACACGTTTCTCAGAACGTATCCCCATCCTTAAGCGACACATAACTGTATTTTTCTCTGTCACTAGACTACATAAAAGATAATTCTCAAAAAATTATGATATACAGAATTATAGTACTATAAAAGAGCAGTTTGAAGATTGTTCTTGTTCTTCACTTGCCTTGAACATTAGGTAGTCTCAGTGAATATTGTATATTAGCATAGGGTTGAACATTAGCTGTAACACATTTATGCCCTGAAATCCAGACTAAGGATTCATATCATGTCAATACATGGGCCTATAAGATATGAAAAACTCTGACTTTTTTATTATAACTATAATAATCTCATCTTTGGCACCAACTCTCAACCCCAATCTCACAGCTGTTTTCTTACATACTGTGTGTAGTGTCTGCAATTCCATGTCTCTTTCTATATATAGTTTGATTCCAGCTGTCATTTTACCATGACAGATAGCTTTTAGCCTGCAGTTATAGCTGAAGCCTTACAATATGGTGCTAGAGAATTAAAAATATCAGAAGTTTTAGAATTCTTTGATAGAGTCAGAATTTTTAAATCTATTTGGAATTTTGCTTTTTTTTCCACTTCATCTATAATTTGCCTATCAAACTAAGGAAGCTAAAGTAACCACTGTATTCAGTTTTGTAAAGTGATTGCCATCTTTCAGATTAAGAATAATAAGCAAATGGAAAAATCTTTGATGTTAACATGGAGCCACAAGTCCTGCAGCACAGGTTTTATGTAGGGTTGCTTGATAAGACACAGGACCCCATGCAATATTTGGGACACACTTATAATTTGAAATTACTTATTGTTTCCTTGAAATTTAAATTTAACTGGCTGTTCTGTATTTTTATTTGCTTAATATGGCAACCCTAATTTTATGGAATTTAATGATAGATTGAATACCAAAATTTCTCCTTTTCATGAAAGGCCCAGAACATTTTGTTGCTAACATGTGCAGAAAAGATCATATCAAGCACATGTAATCCTTAGTTTTTCAAGACAGAGACCTATTTATTGAAAAGAGAATGATCTAAATATAAAACAGATTGTCCATTGCCATCTACCAGACCAACCCATTTATAAAGGAAAACCAAGTTTATTTCTTATTGCTCTATGATAGGTCACTAATATCGACAGTGCTGTAGTAGTGACTTAGGAAGAGAAGGTGAAAGAAGCTATTTGTTTGAGTTGGAGAGTCTAGTTTATGGTGGGTCTTTCAATATGGTATGCGGGTTGATTGAGATTCAGCAAAGTTTATGAAATAATAGTTTAGGATTAGTGGGCCCAGCAAAGCAAAGGTTTTGAAGTTGGTCTTGAAGAATAAACAGCCTTTGATGATACCAATGAATGATCTGTTACCCTGATGGGGGTAAGTTTAGCAGTTGAATATTTGGATAAGCAGATTTCCAGAACACTCTTGTAACAAATAATAAATAACAAATAACAGAAACAATAATAACAGTAACAAAACAAATGCTAAAGTTACTTACAACTTCATCTTCCAGAGCAAGAATTTTGTGCCATAGTTAAGTCATGTTAACACAGACTGTCCAATAACAAAACCATCTTAATGTAGACATTAAGCTGTGTGGCTATAGATCAACAATTCTCTAAGTGTGGTCTAAGGACCACTCAGATCCTGAAATCCTTTTAGTGAGTTCACAAGTTTGTCTCTTTTCCAACTATATGTCTGTGTGAGACCAGATTTTTGTCACATATTTCAACCAAAACAACATATTGCAAGAATAGAATGTATCAGATGCGAGAACTCAGCTCTCTACTACTAAGCTAGACATTGGAGATTTGCAAGAAAATGTTAATGCTGCTTTTCTCATTATATCATTTTGTTGTTGAAAATATAGTTATTGTCAAGAGCTGTAAAGAGTGTAAGGTTTTACACTATTTGCAAGTTAACAAATTAGCTTACCACAGTTCAATGAAGGCTGACAAAAGACATAAGACTCCTGTGTCAGAGTTGAAAGACTGTTACCACAAAACCTGTAGCCAGCATGTCCACGTGTTTACATCTGTTTCCCCCAATCAGTACCAGTTCCTCAAGGGAGGCACAGAACGGAACTAGGCCAACACACACAGTTGGTTGCATGATAGGAGAGGAAGACTGAGTTTGAAGAACCTGCCATTTATAGCAGGCAGTAAGCAAGCCTGCTATTTTTCTTGGAAGGACACATTGCCTTATCTCTCAAGGCTTCCTGCAGCCTTTGCTACCATGAGAAAACCTGGGTGAAGAACAATCAGAACCTTGCATTCCTGGTATATACTGCAAGATGTCACAGAGCATGAGACCTAGGGAGACAGGTCACCCAATAGTTATTTTTCATAAAAATATATCATTTATGGCAACATTCCCTAGATATACTCTTGTTATTTTAAATTAAGTAATATTTAAACTTTGTCTTGGTTTTGTTATTGGTAAATATCAATAGCAATAATGGATTTGAACAAGCTCTCTGGGGTCTCAGTAATTTTTGAGAGCATAAATATGTCGTGAGCAAAAGTTTGAAAACCACTGCTGTAGATGGTTTCACTTCTCACCTTTATATCCCTTTCAGTTATTTCCCTTCCACTTAGTCCTAGAGATAAGTTATTCACTGCTGCCAAGGGAACAATGCATGCTCTGTAATAAACTTTTAAAAATGTTCTCTCGATAACTCACCACTGCTGATCCTCACTGCACTGTTTGCCCCAGAGTACATGAAGAGTTAGGTGGCTTCTGACCTAGATGGCAATATTTTGCAGAGCAGCTTCTAGTTTTTTCATTCTCCATTCCTTGATTTCAGGATGGAAACAGTCAGTTCTGAACCTTGGCTGACTGCTATGTGTGCCATTAGTTAATCTTCAGTTATCTTTTATTAGAAATCTCTGAACTGTTTTTTGTTTTTTTTTTCTTGAGAATTCATTGTTCTTTTTGTGTTTATTCAATAAATATTCCTTTCTTTTTTATTATTTATTTAATACAATTTAAGTTCTAGGGTACTTGTGCACAACATGCAGGTTTGTTACATATGTATACATGTGCCATGTTGGTTTGCTGCACCCATCAACTCGTCATTTACATTAGGTATTTCTCCTAATGCTGTCCCTTCCCCCAGGCCCCCACCCCCAGACAGGCCCCAGTGTATGATGTTCCCCGCCCTGTGTCCAAGTATTCTCATTGTTCAGTTCACACATATGAGTGAGAACATGTGGTGTTTGGTTTTCTGTCCTTGTGATAGTTTGCTGAGAATGATGGTTTCCAGCTTCATCCATGTCACTGCAAAGGACATTATCTCATCATTTTTTATGACTGCATAGTATTCCATGGTGTATATGTGCCACATTTTCTTAAACCAGGCTATCAGTGATGGACATTTGGGTTGGTTCCAAGTCTTTACTATTGTGAAGAGTGCCACAATAAACATACATGTGCATGTGTCTTTATAGTAGCATGATTTATAATCCTTTGGGTATATAACAAGTAATGGAATTGCTGGGTCAAATGGTATTTCTAGTTCTAGATCCTTGAGGAATCACCACACTGTCTTCCACAATGGTTGAACTAATTTACACTCCCACCAACAGTGTAAAAGCATTTTATTTCTCCACATGCTCTTCAGCGTCTGTTGTTTCCTGACTTTTTAATGATAGCCATTCTAACTGGCGTGAGATGGTATCTCATTGTGGTTTTGATTTTCATTTCTCTGATGACCAGTGATGATGAGCTTTTTTTCATATGTTTGTTGGCTCCATAAACGTCTTCTGAGAATTGTGCGTTCATATCCTTTGCCTACCTTTTGATGGAGTTGTTTGTTTTTTTCTTGTAAATTTGTTTAAGTTCTTTGTAGATTCTGGATATTAGCCCTTTGTCAGACGGGTAGATTGCAGAAATTTTCTCCCATTTCATAGGTTGCCTGTTCACTCTGATGGTAGTTTCTTTTGCCATGCAGAAGCTCTTTAGTTTTATTAGATCTTATTTGTCTATTTTGGCTTTTGTTGCCATTGCTTTTGGTGTTTTATTCATGAAGTCCTTGCCCATGCCTATGTCCTGAATGGTATTGCCTAGGTTTTCTTCCAGAGTTTTTATGGTTTTAGGTCTAACATTTAAGTCTTTAATCCATCTTGAATTAATTTTTGTATAAGGTGTAAGGAAGGGATCCAGTTTCAGCTTTCTACATATGGCTAGCCAGTTTTCCCAGCACCACTTATTAAATAGGGAATCCTTTCCCCATTTCTTGTTTTTGTCAGGTTTGTCAAAGATCAGATGGTTGTAGATGTGTGGTGTTATTTTTGAGGGCTCTGTTCTGTTCCTTTGGTCTATAAATCTGTTTTGGTACCAGTACCATGCTGTTTTGGTTACTGTAGCCTTGTAGTATAGTTTGAAGTCAGGTAACATGATGTCTCCAGCTTTGTTCTTTTTGCTTAGGATTGTCTTGGCAATGCGGGTCTTTTTTGGTTCCATATGAACTTTAAAGTAGTTTTTTCCAATGCTGTGAAGAAAATCATTGGTAGCTTGATGGGGATGGCGTCGAATCTATAATTTACCTTGGGCAGTATGGCCATTTTCATGATATTGATTCTTCCTATCCATGAGCATGGAATATTCTTCCATTTGTTTGTGTCCTCTTTTGTTGAGCAGTGGTTTGTAGTTCTCCTTGAAGAAGTCTTTCACATCCCTTGTAAGTTGGATTCCCAGGTATTTTATTCTCTTGTAGCAATTGTGAATAGGAGTTCACTCATGATTTGGCTCCCTGTTTGTCTGTTATTGGTGTACAGGAATGCTTGTAATTTTTGCACATTGATTTTGTCTCCTGAGACTTTGCTGATGTTGCTTATCAGCTTAAGGAGATTTTGGTCTGAGACAATGGGGTTTTCTAAATATACAATCATGTCATCTACAAACAGGGACAATTTGACTTCCTCTTTTCCTAATTGAATACCCTTTATTTCTTTCTCCTGCCTGATTGCCCTGGCCAGAACTTCCAACACTATGAATAGGAGTGGTGAGAGAGGGCATCCTTGTCTTGTGCCAGTTTTCAGAGGGAATGCTTCCAGTTTTTGCCCATTCAGAATGATATTGGCTGTGGGTCTGTCATATATAGCTCTTATTATTTTGAGATACATTCCATCAATATCTAGTTTATTGACAGTTTTTAGCATGAAGGGCTGTTGAATTTTGTTGAGGGCCTTTTCTGCATCTATTGAGATAATCATGTGGTTTTTGTCATTAGTTCTGTTTAAGTAATGGATTACGTTACTGATTTGCGTATGTTGAACCAGTCTTGCATCCCAGGGATAAAGCTGACTTCATCATGGTGGATAAGCTTTTGATGTGCTGCTGGATTCGGTTTGCCAGTATTTTATTGAGAATTTTCGCATCAATGTTCATCAGGGATATTGGTCTAAAATTCTCTTTTTTTGGTTGTGTCTCTGCCAGGCTTTGGTATCAGGATGATGCTGGCCTCATAAATGAGTTAGGGAGGATTCCCTCTTTTTCTATTGATTGGAATAGTTTCAGAAGGAATTGTACCAGCTCCTTTTTGTACCTCTGTTACAATTCAACTGTGAATCCTTGTGGTCCTGGAATTTTTTTGGTCAGTAGGCTATTATTTCTTGCCTCAGTTTCAGAGCCTGTTATTGGTCTATTCAGAGATTCAACTTCTTCCTGGTTTAGTCTTGGGAGGGTGTATGCGTCCAGGAATTTATCCATTTCTTCTATATTTTCTAGTTTATTTGCATAGAGGTGTTTACAGTGTTCTCTGATGGTAGTTTGTATTTCTGTGGGATTGATGGTGATATCCCCTTTATCTTTTTTTATTGCATCTATTTGATTCTTCTCTCTTTTCTTCTTTATTAGTCTTGCTAGCGGTCTATCAATTTTGTTTATCTTTTCAAAAAACCAGTTCCTGGATTCATTGATTTTTTGAAGGGTATTTGTGTCTCTATCTCCTTCAGTTCTGCTCTGATCTTAGTTATTTCTTGCCTTCTGCTACCTTTTGAATTTGTTTGCTCTTGCTTGTCTAGTTCTTTTAATTGTGATGTGAGGGTGTCGATTTTAGATATTTCCTGCTTTCTCTTTTGGGCATTTAGTGCTATAAATTTCCCTCTACACATGGCTTTAAATGTGTCCCAGAGATTCTGGTACATTGTCTCTTTGTTCTCATTGGTTTCAAAGAACATCTTTATTTCTGCCTTTATTTCATTATTTATCCAGTAGTCATTCAGGAGCAGGTTGTTCAGTTTCCATGTGGTTGTGCGGTTTTGAGTGAGTTTCTTCATCCTGGGTTCTAATTTGATTGCATTGTTGTCTGAGAGACAGTTTGTTGTGATTTCTGTTCTTTTACATTTGCTGAGGAGTGCTTTACTTCCAATTATGGGGTCAATTTTAGAATAAGTGTGATGCGGTGCTAAGAAGAATGTATACTCTGTTGATTTGGGGTGGAGAGTTCTGTAGATGTCTATTAGGTCCGCTTGGTGCTGAGCTGAGTTCAAGTCCTGGATGTCTTTATTAACCTTCTGTCTTGTTGATCTGTCTGATATTGACAGTGGGGTGTTAGAGTCTCCCATTATTATTGTGTGGGAGTCTGAGTCTCTTTGTAGGCCTCTAAGGACTTGTTTTACGAATCTGGTTGCTCCTGTATTGGGTGCATATATATTTAGGATAGCTAGCTCTTCTTGTGGAATTAATCTCTTTGCCATTGATCTTTGTTGGTTTAAAGTCTGTTTTATCAGAGACTAGGATTGCAACCCCTGCTTTTTTTTTTTTTTTTTTTTTTTTTGCTTTCCATTTACTTGGTAGATCTTCCTCCATCCCTTTATTTTGAGCCTATTGTGTCTCTGCACATGAGATGGGTCTCCTGAATACAGCACACCAATGGGTCTTGACTCTTTATCCAGTTTACCAGTCTGTGTCTTTTAATTGGGGCATTTAGCCAATTTACATTTAAGGTTAATATTGTTATGTGTGAATTTGATCCTGTCATTATGATGTTGACTGGTTATTTTGCCTGTTAATTGATGCAGTTTCTTCATAGTATCAGTGGTCTTTACAATTCAGCATGTTTTTGTAGTGGCTAGTACTGGTTGTTCCTTTCCATGTTTAGTGCTTCCTTCAGGAGCTCTTGGAAGGCAGGCCTGGTGGTGACAAAATCTCTCAGCATTTGCTTGTCTGTAAAGGATTTTATTTCTCCTTCACTTATGAAGCTTAGTTTGGCTGGATATGAAATTCTGGGTTGAAAATTCTTTTCTTTAATAATGTTGAATATTGGCTCCCACACTCTTCTGGCTTGTAGGGTTTCTGCCAAGAGATCCACTGTTAGTCTGATGGGCTTCCCTTTGTGAGTAACCCGACCTTTCTCTCTGGCTGCCCTTAACATTTTTTCCTTCGTTTCAACCTTGGTGAATCTGACAATCATGTGTCTTGGGGTTGCTCTTCTCGTGGAGTATCTTTGTGGTGTTCTTTGTATTTCCTGAATTTAAATGTTGGCCTGCCTTGCTAGGTTGGGGAAGTTCTCCTGGATAATATCCTGAAGATTGTTTTCCAACTTGGTTCCAATCTCCCCATCACTTGCAGGTACACCAGTCAAACGTAGATTTGGTCTTTTCACTTAGTCCCATATTTCTTGAAGGCTTTGTTCATTTATTTTTACTTTTTTTTCTCTAAACTTGTCTTCTTGCGTTATTTCATTAATTTTATCTTTAATCACTGATACTCTTTCTTCCACTTGATCGAATCGACTATTGAAGCTTGTGCATGCGTCATGAAGTTGTCATGCCATGGTTTGCAGCTCCATCAGGTCATTTAAGGTCTTCTCTTCACTGTTTATTCTAGTTAGCCATTCATCTAACCCTTTTTCAAGGTTTTTAGCTTGTGATGGGTTAGAACATGCTCCTTTAGCTTGGAGAAGTTTGTTATTACCAACCTTCTGAAGCCTACTTCTGTCAGCTCATCAAAGACATTCTCCAACCAGGTTTGTTCCATTGCTGGTGAGGAGCTGTGATCCTTTGGGGGTGAAGAGGCGCCCTGGTTTTTAGAATTTTCAGCTTTTCTGCTCTGGTTTCTCCCCACCTTTGTGGTTTTATCTACCTTTGGTCTTTGATGTTGGTGATCTACAGATGGGGTTTTGGTGTAGATGTCCTTTTTGTTGATGTTGATGCTATTCCTTTCTGTTTGTTAGTTTTCCTTCTAACAGTCAGGTCCCTCAGCTGCAGGTCTGTTGGAGTTTCCTGGAGGTCCACTCCAGACCCTGTTTGCCTGGGTATTACCAGAAGAGGCTGCAGAACAGCAAATAATGCAGAACAGCAAATATCGCTGCCTGATCTTTCCTCTTGAAGCTTCGTCCCAGAGGGGCACCCACCTGTATGAGGTATCTGTCAGCCCCTACTGGGAGGTGTCTCCCAGTCAGGCCACACAGGGGTCAGGGACCCACTTGAGGAGGCAGTCTGTCCATTCTCAGAGCTCAAACGCCATGCTTGGAGAACCACTGCTCTCTTCAGAGCTGTCAGACAGGGATGTTTAAGTCTGCAGAAGTTTCTGCTGCCTTTTGTTCAGCTATGCTCTGCACACAGAGGGGGAGTCTACAGACACAGTAGGCCTTGCTAAGCTGCAGTGGGCTCCACCCAATTTGAGTTTCCCAGCTGCTTTGTTTACCCACTCAAGCCTCAGCAATGGCAGACGCCCCTCCCCCAGCCAGGCTGCCATCTTGCAGATGGATCTCAGACAGCTGCACTAGCAGTGAGCAAGGCTCCGTGGGTGTGGAACCCACTGAGCCAGGCACAGGAGAGAATCTCCTGATCTGTCAGTTGCTAAGACCATGGGAAAAGTGCAGTATTTGGGTGGCAGTGTCGTTTTTCCAGGTACAGTCTGTCACGGCTTCCCTTGGCTAGGAAAGGGAAATCCCCCGACCCCTTGCGCTTCCTGGGTGAGGTGATGCCCTGCCCTGCTTCAGCCCACTCTCCATGGGCTGCACCCACTGTCCAACCAGTTCCAGTGAGATGAACCAGGCACCTCAGTTGGAAATGCATAAATCAGCCATCTTCTGCATTGATCACGCTGGGAGCTGCAGACCGGAGCTGTTCCTATTTGGCCATCTTGGAACAGACTATCAAATATTCCTTTCTTTTAAGTTTGTCCAGCAGAAACTTTGGACATTCCTTGATTATATGTGTTTATATTTTGACAGCATCAGGTCTCTTGATTGGCTTCATTTCCTTTCTGATTTGTATTTTCTTAGGACAAGACATTCCAGATTCTTATTCCAAAATAGCCACTTAATGATCCTTTAGCACTGTCTAGAATATGGTCACACTGAAATATTTTATCATTGCAAACAATAGATGACACAAGTACAGAAAATTTACTTTCTAACTTGGACATTTCTGTAGTATTTCTTGAGTAATGAGAAGTATTTTTAAAACAAAAAATTACATTTAATTATAAAAGTAGAGGAAACTAGATCTCTTAATATAATAATTGCCAGGTCCGACCCACAGACCGTGACTGAGTGACAGATGAAAAAAATGCACTCAGACACAGATATCCAGTGAAAGAGTGGGCTAGGGGACGAGGCTGCTCACAGACACTGAGCAGCGTGCTGTAAAGAGTTGTAGCAGCCACGGCCCTGACAGGCTGGCATTGCGGGCATTTATTTAGTACAGATTTAATGACAAAGGATTTGAATCAATACACTTGTGGGTAATTAACATGGTCGGCCCCCAGAGAGAGTAGTCCTGCATGCAGATGATTAAAGGCCAGGTTCCGAGGCCTAAGTAAACTAACTTATCTAGATCAGTTTCTTTACATCTGCTGCTTAACTAACCTAAGCTCTTAAGAGAATTTAGCTGCCTTCAGCCAAATTTTCTTTCGAAGCTTTTGTAAAACCTCCCAGCCTTCCAAGAAGGTTTGCTTCTTTCTATAATTTCCTCTTATAGTTTCTCCTACCACCCTGACTGAACTCCTACATCTCCCCCTTTTCTGTTTTTTGCATCAGGTTTTGTTGATTGAAGATTACAGATGTGTGCAGCAACATGTCTGTCAGGCATGGCAGTTATAACTCATACTCCAGCTTTGCATCCTAGAATTAGTAAATAACATAAGACAAACATGAGTATAAATAGCAATATTCCTTTCTAATCAAGGAGGGACCCCCCAGGAGTGGGGGTCTATCCAGGAGGGATGTTCACGCACACCTTTCCATATGGCTGTTTGTTGGGCATGTAGATCTATGGCATTTAGGGATTCTTGAATTTTAGTTTTAAGTTGCTTTACATCTGCTGTTAAATTGTCATGAAAGGTTCCCCAGAGGTGTTGTTTCACCTCATCCCAACTATGTATCGGTTGATGGAATTGATGGTAGAGAGGTGACATAGATGTGCTTAAGCTCCCAGTCACAGTTTAATTGCTGTGGGAATGCCAGTGCATCTTGTCGCTCACTTACATATTCCAAGGCAGCCTCTAGGGCTTGCAGATGTGCAAGAATCTTTTGATCTGTACCATGCTCTAAGAAGTTTATTAGACACATTTCTGGCCAAATTATCTACAAAAGTAGCTGCTTGTACAGACTTAGTAATAGATGCTACAGCAACACAAGCAGTTGCTAGGATGACTATGGCTGAGACTATAAAGGCTGTAAGTGTAACTATGAATCTTTTGTGTCTGACTTTGGACAGGGAACATTCTAAGGTGGTGAGGGCAGAGGAACCTTGCCAATCACGTGTTAAATTGACTGGTAGGAAAGCCTTAGATTTTCTCCTCAATACCATGACACTAGTAATATTTAAATTAGACATATTATAATTATTGATACAAGTTAGGCAAACCAAGCCTGTCCCTGCACCCGAGTCACAAATCTGGAGTTTTGGGGTGTAACAGAAATATTGGTTCCCATAAGGAAAACATATGGATGGGTAGTGAACATCAGGCACTGATCAGTGTGATTATGGAAAAAGGTCATAGTATAATTGTGAGTGGAATTATGATGTCTCATGCCAGGTGTTAAGGGGGGTCCTAAGATGTCCCAGTCTCCATAAAGTGTCTTGGGGTGGCAGGGACTCTACTTGGGGTCTGGGATATCCCATTCCCCTATCAGTCCAAACTATAGGGGAATGGAACATGGCCACAAAACTGTCATTGATGCCATGATAGATGTGGACATCAGTATGATTGCCCTGCAAATGGCTGTGAGAACTCCAGTCTAAGATGTTATAATTGCCTAACTGGAGGCTATGGGCCTGCCCCCCATGACACCTCCCAGCTAAAGTGGAATCCATTACTTTCCCAGGTTTGTTCTTTATCACAGGGAGGAATGTTTGGGAAACTGGCATTGATTGCATTGTCCGCTTTGAGGCTACCTGCAGCTAAGACTGTTAAGGCATTTCCTTTGCCATGATGTAGCCATAATTGTGTTTGGGCAGCTACACAGTAAGGGTTAGAACTTTTATAACTTACACACAGTGTGTGGATAGTGGAGTGATATGTAGTGTTACCTGGCACCTTAGTCCAATGTGTGCCATTAATGAGGGACCCCACTGGGGGTAAATCTATCCCTCCTAGGCAAGCAGTTGCGTTCTTAGAGGCTGGGAAGGGAGTATCTGCCTAGGTGACACGGTGAAAGAAAGGCAGACCTAAGAGATTAGCCCAATAGAGTATAGTAGGTACAGGTTGCATACAAAGCGAGAGCATAAAAAGGATCAATGCCCTATGTGAGTTGCAATGTACAACAGAGAGCATAGCAAGGAACAAATTATCTGGACTGAATGGTGTCTGTGTCTGGAGCAGGATTCACTCAGCCTCCTGAGTTGTCTTCTTCAGCATCCCCCAGGTAATGTCCTGGGCTTGTGTCGTCTGAGGAAGCTGCATCATCCAGGGCTGTGGGTCCTGCAGGGTCATTTTCTTCATTTCTGGTACTGGGTTGGGTCCTAGCCATGCCATGGTATGGTTCAAAGTGTTGTCTTGGAATCCAAAGAGGACCCGAGGGAGTGTGAACACAAGCATATCCTCTTCCCCATGTTAACAATTCATTTGGACCACGCCATACATTACTGTTTACATCTTTCCATAAAACTGCAGGTTTTATGTCTTGAGAAGTTTTAGCAAAGTGCTTTTCTACAGCTGATTGAAATTTATCATTTAAATTTTAAAAATTAAGGGTAAATAAGGCTTGTGCCAATGGTGTTGCAGGGTCCTTACTCATATTCCCCCTTTTTTGTTTTCTGAGCATATTTTTAAGGGTGGAGTGGGTATGATCTACTATGGCCTGTCCTTGGGGGTTATACAGGATGCCTGCAGAATGTTGGATGTTCTATATGTGATGACATTGTTGAAATTATGAGCTGGCATAAGCCAGACCATTATCAGTTTTAATTTTTGTGGGATGCTCCATACATGCAAAAGTTAAAAGGAGATGTTTAATGACATATTGGGTGGACTCTCCAGGAATGGCACAAGCGCTAATTAAGTGAGAATTGGTATCAACGGATATATGTACATATCTAAGTTTTCCAAATTCAGGGATGTGTGTAACATTTGTTTGCCATAACTGATTAGGTTCTAGTCCTCTAGGGTTAACACCTGTTGAAGGAGGGGATGTGCCTATGAGCTGGCAATCTGGGCATTGCAGGATGATTTGTTTAGCTAGTCTCTGGGTAAGTTGAAATTGTTTAGATAAGTTTCTCCAGCCTTGGTGGAAAAATTGATGTGATTGGCAGACCTGTAGGTCTGCTTGATCATTGCCATAAGCCAATGGGCCAGGCAGTCAGCTGTAGGCTCGAATATGTGTGATAAAAATAGGATGTGTATGTTGATCTAGCAAATGCTGAAGTCAAAGAAAAAGTGCACATAGAGTGGGCTCCAGAGTCGACTTAATGAGGGCTGTCTCAAGGTTCTGCAACAAATGAACAGAGTAAGCAGAGTCACTAACAATATTGATGGGCTGAGTAGAAAAGTCTCCAGAGTCAATATTAAGGGTCCAACCTCAGCTCTCTGAGTGCTATTAAATCCAGAATGAGTGAGGGAATTATGCAGTCTCCACCAAACAGCCACTTTTCCATGTTTACCAGAGCCATTAGTAAACAGTGTTAAAGCATTAGGTGTGGGGGACTGAACTATTTTTTAGGCAAAACCACAGAAGTACAAGATAAGAACTGAAGGAGTTTGTCAGCAGGAAGGGCAGGCTCTATATGGCCTGTGTAATCAGACCGTGCTGTTTGCAGGTCGATATATAAGGGCAATACTGCTTCACATTGCTTTTTACTTAAAGGAATTCTGATGATATCAGGGTCATAACCTAGTAATAGATTGCATCGTCTGTGGCCTGAATAGATGACTTTACTAACTAACTGTATATAGGGAGAGAAGGGTTTAGTCCCAGTATGTGAGCAAAAAAACCCATTCCAGAAAGCGTAGCTCTGGGGCCATCTGTCCTACTAACCCTGTAGGGGAGTGTTTAGTGGGAAAAACAGACAATTGAACTGAATACCATGGATCAATATGATCTAGTTGCCTCTGAGAAATAGCTTGCTCTACTTCCTCAATTTCCCTTTGTGCTGCAGGAGTTAAATACCTGGGAGAGTCTAGAGCAGCATTGTCTTTTAAGATAGAAAACAGGTTCTGTAACTTATCAGTAGTTATGCCCAAGGTGGGGCAAAGCCAGTTAATATTGCCTAGTAATTTCTGATAATCATTTAAGGTGTGTAAGTTGCTAGTATTTAATTTAACCTTTTGAGGTCTTACTGACCACGAAGTTAGTATGTACCCAAGATATTTCCAAGGAGAGGACATCTGTACTTTTTCAGGTGCTATGATTAAACCTCTTAACTGTGTATTCTTTACAACAGAGGCACATAAACTTAAAAGTGCTGGATCCATTGGGGCTGCTAGTAAAATATCATCCATAAAATGAATAGTCTTGCAATTAGGAAATTCTTTTCTACTGAGGAGCAAAGCTTGATTTACATGATACTGACACATGGTAGGACTGTTTAGCATCCCTTCAGGAAGCACTTTCCAGTGAAATCGGGGAGCTGGCCTTTCGTTATTTATAGCTGGTATTATAAACACAAATTTTTCTCTGTCCTGTTCTGCAAAGGGAATAGTACAAATGCAGTATTTTAAGCCAATAACTATTATATGCCAATCTCAAGGAATCACTGAAGGGGAGGAGAACACCTGCTCAAGGGGTCCCATAGGTTTCAAATTAGCATTGATAGCATGTTAGTCATGCAAAAGTCTCTATTTACCAGACTTTTTGGGAATGATGAAAATGGGTGAATTCCAAGGTCTTTTTGATGGTTCTATATGACTGGCTTTTAATTGCTCTTCAACAAACTCATGGGCTCTTTGCAATTTCTCTCCCTTTAAAGGCCACTGGTCTACCCAAATTGGATCTTGAGAGAGCCTCATCAGAGGTAGGGGAGGGATAATAACAGTGGCCATTACTAGAAAGGGGTCCACAGAATGACCTCCCATTGAGCTAATAGGTCCCGTCCCCAAAGATTAGCAGGGATGGACGTTATTAGAAGTTGTATAACTGCATTTCTTTCCTCTGAATCACAACATGTTGGGGGGTACATGCTCTGCTTGGCTGTGTGAGCTTCCCCAGTGCTGACAATTTTTTGTTTCTGAGTGGCCCGAGGCCAAGTTTCTGGCCAGTTTTGATCACTAGTGATTGAAGTATCTTCCCCTGTGTCCAATAAGCTAGTAAAATTCTTATTTCCAATTTTTAAGGTAATCATGGGTCTCTGATCAGTGATTAATTGATTCCTGTATACTCCTGTGGCTCCTGTGCTTCCAAAACTTCCTTTTCCCCTTTCCTTTCCATGGGTGTTGGGGACCTAGTATGGTAAAAGCAGTAACTGAGCTATCTTTGATCCAGGGGGAAGAATATGCAGACCTTTACATTTCATCATAACTAATATCTCACCTTGATAATCACTATCAATCACCCCAGTGAGCACATTAATTCCTTTACTGGATAGGCTTGATCGCTCTAGGACTAATCCCACTGTTCCCAGAGGCAGTGGGCCCCAGATCCCAGTTGCAACCTTTTTAGGGTCTTCTCCTTCTTTTAGCACTAATTTGTTGGGGCAAAGTAAGTCCAGCTCTGCGCTCCTAGCAGTGACTGCTCTGAGAGAGAGGACTGTGGGCTTCCCATCTGACCAAAGCAAGCCGCTGGCATTGCCCCAGCTTTTAGCGGGGCCTGAGGCCAGCCCCTCATGAAGTTTCCCGCCTGGTTACTTATGGGGTTGCTGTTTTTGTCAAATTTGGACCTGAATTGATTTGCCCAATGTTTCTCCTTTTTACGTTGGGGGCATATAGAAGGAGTTTCTTTTCCTGAGTTACCTTGGTCTTTATTATTGGGGCATTCCGTCTGCACATAACCTGGCTCTCCGCATAGAAAACACTTTGGGTTTCTGTCCCTTTCCACTTTAGGAGGCCTTAATGCCATAGCCAATATTTTGGCTTTGTGTGTTTCAGTCCCCACCAGTTGACATGCTCGTATAAGTTCCTCGACTGTGGCTGCCTTTCCTCTGATTGTCTGCATTGCTTGTTGGCAATTGACATTAGCATTTTCATAAGCCAATTGCAAAAATAAGATATCAGCGGTCTGGGCATGACTAATTTGTCTCTTAATTGCCTGGGTTAACTGAATGATAATTTCAACAAATGGCTCCTGAGGCCCTTGTCGAACATTTGTAAAAGATCCCTGTTGAACTCCGCTTTTGGGAATTTGTCAAGCCCTAAGATCACACAAAGACACATGTACATAGGCCTGGGGATCAAAATTTAGTTGTTGTTGTACATCGGCATGGGGACTCCTCCCCTGGAGCATATCAGCATTATGTCTTGCCTAGCCAACTGATTCTGGTAGGCTTGTTGTTCACACGACTCATCATATTCTGCCCTCCAGAGGAGGTATTGGCTGGGCTCCAAAGTTGTTTTAGCTAGCACTGACCAGTCCCATGGGAAGTTGTCTGCCATGGCTTCAATAATTCCTTTCATAAATGGGCTAGTGGCTCTGTTTTCTTTAATACTTTTTCTTAGCTCTTTATAAGAGTTAAAAGAAATGGGTTCATGTACCTGATTGCCTTGTTGATCTTGCACTACCTGGCAGGGTTAGAGTTCCCCTTCTAATGCCGCTTGCCTGAGACAGGGTCCCATAGCTGTAGCGTATCCCTTGTCTTTTTTCCAATTTATTGGAGGAGGGGGCTCAGGCAAAACCTTCATTTCCTCTTTGTTATTTTGGCCCAGTGTTAGCGGGGCTGAGGGATAAGGAGGTGGTAAGGTAGGTGACGGTTCCTCCTCCCTTCCCTTTTTAGGCTCTTCTGCATAGAGCGGGACTACAGCCACCCTAAATAAAGCCCATAATGTTAGAGATGTTACTGGGACCTGTTGCCCTTGTGCATGATGTTGTTTAAGATTTCTCCCCACTTGTTCCCACAGCTCTACGTCTAGTGTACCTTCTTCTAGGAACCATGGGTTATGGGAAACAACAGTTTGCATTAGGTCCCTTAATTGAGCCTGTGAAACTGAGGCTCCACTAGCTTTAAGCAGCTGTTTCAATACTTCTGTATACTGTTGCTGTTGAGCTGATAACTGTTGTCCCATGATGAAACCCTAACCTGAACAATTCCCTTGAACTTGGAAATCCCTAGTGGGCACCAATGACTTACTGACTTACTGACTGTACAGTCTCTTCACCTTTGTTTTCAAGGGTTCTGTCATGAACCGTTGCAGCATTCCTCATGCGGGCCATCACCTGCTGGGTTCAACCTGCAGATCGTGACCAAGTGACAGACGAAAAAATGCACTTAGACACAGGTATCCAGTGAAAGAGCGGTCTAGGGGACTGGGCCACTCACAGACACCAAAGAGTGTGCTGTAAAGAGTTGTAGCAGCTGTGGTCGTGACGAGCTGGTGCTGCAGGCATTTATTTGGTACAGATTTAATGACAAAGGCCTTGAGTCAACACACTTGTGGATAATTAATATGGTCGCCCCCGGAGTAGTCCTGCGTGCAGATGATTAAAGGCCAGGTTCGGAGGCCTAAGTAAACTAACTTATCTAGATCAGTTTCTTTACATCCCCTTCTTATCTAACCTAAGCTCTTAAGAGAATTTGGCTGCCTTCAGCCAAATTCTCTTTCGAAGCTTTTGCAAAACCTCCCAGCATTCCAAGAAGGTTTGCTTCTTTCTATAACTTCCTCTTATAATTTCTTCCACCACCCTGACTGGACTTCTACAAATAATTGGTTGGTAGAGCAGACTTTAAAGCTAATGTTTCCATTCAAATTCAAATGGAATGTAGGCCATTGGACTGCAAGTTCCTTAAGGTAATGAGTTACATCTTATTCATCTTTCTATCCTGAACACCAAGAAAGTGTTTGAGCACCCTACAGGTGCTCAATAAGTGTAGTATTGAAAGGATGAATAATAACACAAATGTATTAAATGCTAATATAATGGAAATCATAGACATCCCCATGGAGTTATCTTCTTACTAGATCACTCAAATGTTCTCATTCCAACCTCTAAATCCCTGAACGTAATTTTTCAATAGATTTCTACCATGACTGAATATACTCAGCTTTTCTGTTGAACCACATAAAATTCATGTTTCTGTAGAATGGCCAAATAATAGCTATTACCAGTGACTTATCCTAAATAGATCTAGGTTAATGTTAATTTTTTGTTATATATAATTTGGTAGGGGTAAAGTAAAGAAAATGAAACAGGCGGATGGTCCCTCAAATGAAATAACTTCATCATGTTTCCACATTGCTGGAAAGTGGTTGGATTCAGGATGGGAGATATTATCACTTGTTAGAGACACAGGAAGCATTTGTGAGTGGATCAGCAAACCCTAATCAGACATATTTTGTTTCTGAACCACTCATGCTAATGTTAATGGCAGTCTAAAGGGAGGAGAATAAGAATTTGGATTAGAGTTCTGGAACAAATACAGAATGCTGTAGAGTTATATAGTTCTCCTGAAAATTGAACTGTATAGATGCACAATATTTCATTTTGTACTTGGGATTTTAAAAGACACTACATAGTTCCATTTATCATAGGAAATGCAATCCAAGAAAAGGAAGTTCTACTTGAATCAGTGATAACCATTCTGGGCAATGATTACTCAAGTAACTGGCCAATCTCTTGGTTTCAATTATCCCACTGAAACCTTTCTTTCTGGAAATAATGTGCTTTTTGGCTGGCATCGTTTGGATTCTTAGAAATGTCGGATTTTCCTACCTTTTATCTCCAAATAAACAAACATGGGAGTATTTTATTGGTAAAGCAAATGCTGGATACAAGACATGCAAGTTTCTGGGTGGCATATTTGAGGCAGCAAATATGCTTAGAACAATGTATTTCAAACTTTTTTACTGCAAACCTCAATAGGAAATTTATTGCATATCATGACCCCAACACACACACACACACACACACACACACACACACACACATACACAACTGAAACAAAAGTTTCATAAAGTAGTACTTACCTTTGATATTCAGGATTCATACTAATAACATTAGTGTGAATGAATGTTTATTTTTATTTTATTCTATTTTATTAAAAAATAGCCACAACCCACTATATTAGTTTCCTGAAGCACCAGTAATTCCCCACCAATAATTGGGAAACAAGAAACAATTCATATATAAACCCATAACATTTGTATTTCAATAAGAGCTGATACAAAAAAATGTAAACAGGTACAGTTGTCTACAGAAATGAAAACTTGTGGGAGAACCTCCTTAGTGGAACAGAAAGCCTCTGCAATATTTTTTGAACAATTGGAGGAAATTTAGAAGGACTGCCTGAGGGTGGGATTTTATTATTGTTTAATCTAGGTTGTTTGGAAGCAGATGCCTTCTATAACTTCTATTTACTGTGTTTCAGATCTACATATGTAATGTTATTTTGATTATTTTTAAAATGTATCATCTATTTTCTGAGACCTTGTTATTGCTAACCATGGTTTTAATAATCATAGTATTTTTTCAGAAATGCAATTCTTGTGGCTTGCAAAGGATTACTAAAGATATATAAAACAATCTATTGCTGACCATGTCTATACATATGTGTACAGTCAGCCCACAGTATCTAAAAGGGGAATGGTTCCAGGACCACTGCAGATTACTAAAAGCTGCAGATGATCAAGCCCCTGTATAAAAGGGTGCGGTATTGCATGTAACTAACACACATCCTCTCATATACTTTAAATCATCTTTAGATTGCTTTTAATACCTAATACAATGTAAATGCTATGTAAATAGTTGTTATATTGTATTATTCTATTTGTATTATTTTTATTATTGTATTATTATTTATTTTTATCTTTATATTTTTAATCCTCAGTTGGCTGAATCTGCAGTGGTTGAATCTGGGTTGGCTCAGTTCACAGACCTGAAACCCATGGATATGGAGGCTTGACTGTATCTGTATCTATATTTATGTTTTCTGTATATAAGTAAATATATATATATATATATAACATTAAATGGTCATAAGTCTAAAAGCAAAGCAGGGAAAGGATATAGGGAGTGCTGGAGGGAAACAGTTGTAATTTTACAATGGTCAGGGAAAGTCTCAATGAGGTCACATTACCTAAAGTGAGAAGAGTGAGCCATGTGAATGAATATCTTGAGGAAGAGTTTTTAAGACAGAGAGAACTGTGACTGCGAAGAACTTGATACAGAGGCTGTCTACTGTGTTGAAAGAGGACCAAAGGGGCCACCTTGGTGAGGCAGAGTGAGTGAAAAGATGAGTAGTAGGAGATACCAGAGAGGTCACCCTGGGCCAATTGTACAGGATGCTGTGAGTCACAGTAATGATTTTGGCTTTTACTTGGAGTAAAATGTGAAGCCTCTGGAGAGCTGGGAACAGAGGAATCATATAATTTATCCTACAATTGGATACGATCTCTCTGGCTGCTGTGTGCTCTATAGACTGAATGAGGGATAAGGATAGTATGGGAGAAGGGAGACCATTTGCTTGGCCTTGCAAGAATCTATACAAAAGATGACAAAATCTTACATTTTGAAATTGAAGATATCTAGGTGGTAGCAATGAAGTGGGGAGAAGTGGTAGGATTATGGATTTATATTGAAGGTGCTGCTGAGAGTATTTGCCTACATATTGGATATAAGTGTAATAAAAATAGAGGAGTCAAGGATGACTCCAAGGATTTTGACTTGAATTGCTGGAAGAGCTCTAATAGATCAATTAAACAATAATGAACACCTCAATGACAAAAAGCACCAAAATAGAATTGAAATTTAACAAAGAGTGATTTTTCTTTTTAAGCAGTATTTTCTAGTACACTTTAATTGAGGAAAAGTGCACAAATCATAAGTATACAACTGCAGAAACTTTCACAAACTAAGCAAATACAGCATGTAGCCAGAACCTAGATCAAGAAACAGAACATCACCTGCACTCAAGAAGCACTCCAAAAAGTCATTATTTTTAAAATTAACTCTGTATTTATCTTAAACTTTTTCTAAATAGCAGTTGATGTAGAGCAACAAACCACAGAGCGGAGGAATCTTCAGTAATAAGGGGAAGAAGTATTAAGAAAGTCATCCTGCAATCCTGTAATGGGAATTAGTCACCCGCTTCATCTCATGAAATTCATACTGAAAAGTTCTTTCCTAATAATACAATGTGAGACAGGCAGATGGTAAAAATAGATACATTTTCCTGCATAGGTTTCAGAGTTAGAAAGTTCACAGGAGTTGCTAAAAAGAAAAGAACCCTGAGTTGACAAAAAAAAAAAAAAAAAAAAAAAAAAAAGCTTTTAAAAAGTCAAGTTGAATATACTAAGGTCAAATGATTTTTACTTTTAAAGTAAAATATTATCTAGAAAGGCTGGTAATGATGAGCATCTGAATAAGAAGCTTTAGATGCTGAGACTAAAAACAGAACATGCAACACAGAAACTATGGTTTTCTCAGAAGTTACATATGAAAAAAAAATGAGCCAAATTGGGTGTGTGAGAGGCTGGAGAGAGAAGGACAGGAAAAATAGGAAATAAAATTAAGTTCCTAGGTGACTACTTCAGTCTCCCACACCAAAAAAAAAGTACTTTGGAAATAAAAATCTTACATTTTGAAATTGAAGATATCTTCTGTAGATTCTGAAAATGCAAACTAATTATAGAAATTTTTCATTTCCTTGTTTTGGTAGCATTGAAAATGTTAAGTACATCTAAAAAGTCGCTGTTTTTATATTTGGTTAAAAAAATGGCTGTCAAAACACATTCATGTGACCTTTCAGTCAACGATGGACTGAATACACGATGGTGGAACCATAAGATTATAAGATTATAATACTGTATTTTTACTGTACCTTTTCTATGTTTAGATACACAAATACTTAACCATTGAGTTACAGTTGCCTTCAGTTTTTAGTACAGTAACAAGCTATACAGGTTTGTAGCCTAGGAGCAATAAGCTTTACCATGAAGCCTAGGTATGAAGTGGGCTGTACTATCTAGGTTTGTGTACCTACACTCCATGATGTTTGCACAATGACGCACAATGACGAAATCACCTAATGACACATTTCTCACAGTGTATCCCCATCATTAACTGATCTGTGACTGTAACAGAAATTCAGCATTAGGAAGAGCAAATCTTGATTTCTTTATTTAAAAAAAAACTAAGAAAATTACATGCTACAATTATTATATTGAGATTTTTTATTTTTGTTTATTTATTTTTGCCTCCCAGTACTCATTAGCCCTTCTTTGGGTAAGACACACCTATTTTGTCCCGAGGAAATTATTTATTCCTGATTGTGTACAGTCTGTAAGGGGGAAGTTAAAGTACCTTAAACTCCCTTGACAGCAAATGGACCTGTGCCCCAAAGGAAGTGAATTATGCTCTCTCTCTCTCTCTCTCTGGTATATTAATTGTGAGCTAAGTGACTGAAGACAGTATGTGGTTAATGCTGGTTCATTGAGGAGGTTGCCCACCAAAGACAGTGTCCCTCATTTCCTGAACCTGCCTTCATTCCTGCTGTTTTTGAGATCGGTTCCTCAACTTTTCTTTCACCTCTAGGAGCCACCTTATGTCCTTTAACTTTCTTTTTTTGCCAGAGATAATCAGTTGTTTTCTATATCTTGCAATCAGAGAATACCAACTGATAACATTCTAATACTATTCATCACAGAAAGACTCCCTTTCCAACATTTAACTAGCAATGACAATTTGGCTGAATGTTGAATGAACATTTAGAAGAAGAAGAGGAATTCTTTTTTGCTATTTATTTATTTATTTATTTATTTATTTATTTTTCATTATACTTCAAGTTCTAGGGTACATGTGCACAACGTGCAGGTGTGTTACATAGGAATACATGTGCCATGTTGGTTTGCTGCACCCATCAACTCATCATATACCTTAGGTATTTCTCCTAACGCTATCTCTCCCTCAGCCCCCCACCCCCAAACAGGCCCCGGTGTGTGATGTTCCCCTCCCTGTGTCCATGTGTTCTCATTGTTCAACTCCCACTTATGAGTGAGAACATGCGGTGTTTGGTTTTCTGTCCTTGTGATATTTTGCTCAGAATGATGGCTTCCAGCTGATGAGGAAATATTTTATATTTATAAATAGAAATGTTTTAAGGAAAAATATTAATTAGTGACTTCCTATTTGAGATACATAAATATTTAAGAATAAATTTGATAATTACTAATTTATATGTATACACACGTGTATGGATGTGTGTGTATAGTAAATGCAGCTATGAAGTTTTTCATTTTAAAAAGACTAAAAGCAGTATGAATTATATTGTTTTCATATTGCCACAATTTCTAGAGGGCAAGATCTACCATGCTGTTTATGCATAAGAATTTGATATCTATTCTTTGATGGTGATAAAGGTAGTGAAACTAAACCATAATCCTGCCAGAAAAAATATCCCTGTTGGATGTTTGTGGAGTCTATTTCTTACAATGACTGAAACTTCATAACTATAATATGAAAGTATTTCAAATAACATGCAAGCAGTCATTTAAATTTTTGTTCAAAACAAAACCTTTCTGGGCAAGCATGTGAATTTTGAAGTAAGAGACTTAGGTTCAGACCCTAACTCCTAGCTCTGTAGCAATGAGAAAGTTAATTGTCTGCCCTGGGCCCAAGTTTCCTCAACAGAAAATTGAGAATACTTACCTTATTTCTAAAGTATCCTTGAAAACTATCACTTGATATTATTAATAATTATGTTTATAGATAAAAACTAGTATTTCCAGACACTACTTGTATCAGAAATCAGTTTATAAAATTTGCATGTTTGGAAGATAAACTTCGAAGCAAAAAGATTTTCATATTTAAATTCAAACCATGGCTATCTAGAAGTTGAGATTTTTTTTTTTAAAGAAGAGTTTTTATTTTGGAAATAATTTAGAAAATTACTTATTTCTGATTGGAAAAAAGACATCTGTAAGTATTTAATGCTGACAACACAGGATGCAGCTGTGCAAATATAATTTTTTATCATTCTTCTCAGGCAATATAGAAAAAAAAATTTTAGAACACTAAGAAATGACTAGAAACATTGAAAAGCCAACTAAGGTGCTTTCAATAATTGGCAGACAGCAGATAAATGAGCCTGTGAATTACAGCCAAAGAAAGCCTCCTTCATATTGATTTAAATATATATTGATCTTATTCTGCCCAGAAAAACTACTCTACTTGATATACCTAAATATTCTTGATATCATCTTCCTTAATTTTACAGGCTGTAGTTCTATTACTTTGAGTCTGATACTGTGTCTTTTGATGTCAGTTAACACACTTGACAATTCAAAACCAGAAAACAGAGATATCAGGTATACAAATCATCTAGATATTTTATCTTTAAAAAGCCAACTTAAAAAGACACTCATGCTTGGAATCCTGGATTCCTGAAATTAGGTCTCCAGAAAATGATAATTCTAAATTCTAAACAAACTGTGACCATCAGGCTTTCAAGAATCACCTGAATAAGAGATCTGTTATGTAGAAGGTTTTATATTCAGGAAATCTTCCAACCATTCTAAACTTCATGGTTTATTTTACCCATTTAAGTGATAGTTGTGGCTACATGTTCATATACATTTTATTGCAAAAGCATAATTGTCATCAGATATTTTAGGTATCTTCAGTGGATGTCTACTCACCTTGAGGTATGTTCATGGGTTTATCCAGTCTTCTTTTATTGTTACTGTCCTAATCACCTTTTTAAGAACTAACTTTCTGACACTAGAATGGCCCATATGTTCCATGATGCCAAGAACCACACTGACTTTGTTTACTGCCGTATTCTAGCTAGCAACCATACAGTCTACCACAAAGTTGGTGCTTAATAAATGTTTATTGAATGATAAATTTCAAACTTGTGGAAGCCCATGCACTTGGTGAGAAACCAACCATGACAGTACTCCTAGATTTGTCTTTATTTTCCTTAGCAGTCTTCTGGTGTTGACACTATCCACTTACAGCATTCTGTCAGGAGGCCTATATGATGACTGGGAAACATGAAGTCTTAAATTACCCAAACTCTGTTTGCCAGGTATTCTTATGCCAAGCCTAGCAATGTACCTGGCTCTGCCTCAAATATTCATGTGTTACTGCAGACACATAATGGAGTGGGTGGGATTATGTGCAAACATGCTTTTGAAATTGTTGAACTGTGAAATATTTCAATGCAATCGCATTCACCCATCCTTCACTTAATCTCAGATATCTGTATCTGAAAAATGTAGTCTATTTTATAGCCACATAATTTTTATCAAAAATTAAATAAGTAAGAGGCAGAGATGGTGCCCTCCCATCCCTGGAGCCAGCTATACACATTGTCCACTATAAAACAAAAAAGAAGAAAGAAAAGAAAAGGAAAAAAGAAAAGAAGAAAAAGAAAGGAGAGAGAAAGCTAGCCAAAATCATACAATGAACATTTCTAATATTTTGATTCCTCCTGTTGCCCTTCCCCCAATTATTCCTCAAGAAAGGAAAGGGGACACTCAATATTTAAGTGTCCCTATGTGACAGATGCTTTATGTGTAGGATCTAATTTAACACTTACAACAATGCTGGCATATAGATATTACTTACACTAATTTACACATGAGACTCCTGGAAATGAAGTGAACTTCCCAAATTAGTGAACATCAGAGCTAGAATTTGAATCTTTGCGTGTTTGATTCTAAAACCTATGTATTACATCTCAATATAATAAATGTGCACTAAAGTTTACTACCCTTAAAGAAATATCAGACCTGTTTAACCATTTTTTTTTCTCACCTGTATTTTAATTACTGTGCTGTTTTTAGACTTTTTCATGGTGAGAGCAGAATAGTGTGGGGACCCCATTAAGGGAACTTTTCAAAAAGGGAATTTATAATGTGTAGCTAAAAACTATGTAAGTGTTTAAGTATCTATTTTGCTACTTCAGTTTCAAAGATTATTTAGTTCCAAACGTCAGAATTATTGAAATAAACTTTTCACTGTGTAGAAATTTTCTCTCAAGAAAAAAACTTCCTTGCTTTTTGAAAGTATTATTGGAGCAACCTAAAGGGTAGTACAGAAGCCTTGTTAGAACAGATTACTTCAGTCAGCAACTCTGTACAGACACAATCTGAAAGATTTGTGAATTTGGGTAAACACTTCTGGATACCGAATATTTCTGGGTTCCAGCCTGGTTTAGGGGCATATTTTAAATAAACAGGTATCAGTCATTGCTCTTTTCTATCTGTGACTATAATTTCTTAAACTGTTGAAAGAATGGGCTAACCTTTCCATGCAGCACAAACATAATCATTCCCCATGAGTTATTTGGGCTGGGGATTAGATATAATTTTGTTGTCTATTATTTCATAAAATTCAGGTCAAAAACCAATAACAGTATGTAATATGATGTTTGCTTCTAAATGTTTCCTGGAAACTCATTCATATTTATATGTCCACTTTGCATATTTTTACTCATAGTAAGTATGCAGTATATATTTAATTGAATTATAATCTTATATTTTGTCACAGTTGTACACAAATTGCAATCCTTTCTACTCTAATCAGATATACTACATCTAAAGCAGAATGAATTTTGTATATTTCATTAATTACCTTTTTCACATATAGGGATTTATTTTAAATAAATTGAATTTGGAAACTTTAAGACACTAATAGTATTATTTTTATTTTACCTTCCAGCAAGGAGAAAAGAAAGAAAACCAACTTTTATTGATACTTATTATGTGCTGTTCCAAACAACTTGCACAAATATTATCAGTCATAGCGTTGTTCATATACCAGTAGATGGTGCTGTTATTACCTAACTTCACTAAAACCATACCATCTTGCTTTTGCTTACATTCATTGCAGTGGGTTTTAGGTTGCAAAGCTTATACATCCAAATAATGATTCGCTATTTTGTTAATATGAAATAAAAATTATATTTTAGAACTATGGAATTTAGAATAGTGTCCAAATAGCAACCTATGTCTTGAATTTTCTTCATACAAATTCTTCCTGATGGGAAGAAGCAAGAACCTTCTTCCTCTAAAATCCAGTCACTGGTCTTGAATTGATCCCTGAGGCTCATGTAGAAACAATCTGTTAATTTATTATTCAGTAATTATTCATGGAGCATATTCATTTCCTAGGGTTGTTGTAACAAAGTACTGCAAACTGGGTTGCATATAACAACATATATTTATTTTCTCCCAGTTCCAGAGATTAGAAGAACAGAATCAATATGTTAGCAGGGACATCCTATCCCTGAAGGCTCTAGGGCAGAATCTGTTCCATGCCGTTTTCTTAGCTTCTTGTATTCCCAGCAATCCTTGGCATTCCATGGCTTATAGGTGCATCACTTCCATTTCTGCCTCCATCATCCCATGGTGTGTGTCTGTGCATTTCTCTTCTTTTTTTATTTTTATTTTATTATTATTATACTTTAAGTTTTAGGGTACATGTGCACAATGTGCAGGTTAGTTACATATGTATACATGTGCCATGCTGGTGTGCTGCACCCATTAACTCGTCATTTAGCATTAGGTATACCTCCTAATGCTATCCCTCCCCCCTCCCCCCACCCCACAACAGTCCCCAGAGTGTGATGTTCCCCTTCCTGTGTCCATGTGTTCTCATTGTTCAATTCCCACCTATGAGTGAGAATATGTGGTGTTTGGTTTTTTGTTCTTGTGATAGTTTACTGAGAATGATGATTTCCAATTTCATCCATGTCCCTACAAAGGACATGAACTCATCATTTTTTATGGCTGCATAGTATTCCATGGTGTATATGTGCCACATTTTCTTAATCCAGTCTATCATTGTTGGACATTTGGGTTGGTTCCAAGTCTTTGCTATTGTGAATAGAGCCACAATAAACATACATGTGCATGTGTCTTTATAGCAGCATGATTTATAGTCCTTTGGGTATATACCCAGTAATGGGATGGCTGGTTCAAATGGTATTTCTAGTTCTAGATCCCTGAGGAATCGCCACACTGACTTCCACAATGGTTGAACTAGTTTACAGTCCCACCAACACTGTAAAATGTTCCTATTTCTCCACATCCTCTCCAGCACCTGTTGTTTCCTGACTTTTTAATGATCGCCATTCTAACTGATGTGAGATGGTATCTCATTGTGGTTTTGATTTGCATTTCTCTGATGGCCAGTGATTGTGAGCATTTCTTCATGTGTCTGTTGGCTGCATAAATGTCTTCTTTTGAGAAGTGTCTGTTCATGTCCTTCGCCGACTTTTTGATGAGGTTGTTTGTTTTTTTCTTGTAAATTTGTTTGAGTTCATTGTAGATTCTGGATATTAGCCCTTTGTCAGATGAGTAGGTTGTGAAAATTTTCTCCCATTTTGTGGGTTGCCTGTTCACTCTGATGGTAGTTTCTTTTGTTGTGCAGAAGCTCTTTAGTTTAATTAGATCCCATTTGTCAATTTTGGCTTTTGTTGCCATTGCTTTTGGTGTTTTAGACATGAAGTCCTTGCCCATGCCTATGTCCTGAATGGTAATGCCTAGGTTTTCTTCTAGGGTGTTTATGGTTTTAGGTCTAACATTTAAGTCTTTAATCCATCTTGAATTGATTTTTGTATGAGGTGTAAGGAAGGGATCCAGTTTCAGCTTTCTACATATGGCTAGCCAGTTTTCCCAGCGCCATTTATTAAATAGGGAATACTTTCCCCATTGCTTGTTTTTCTCAGGTATGTCAAAGATCAGATAGTTGTAGATATGCGGCGTTATTTCTGAGGGATCTGTTCTGTTCCATTGATCTATATCTCTGTTTTGGTACCAGTACCATGCTGTTTTGGTTACTGTAGCCTTGTAGTATAGTTTGAAGTCAGGTAGTGTGATGCCTCCAGCTTTGTTCTTTTGTCTTAGGATTGACTTGGTGATGTGGGCTCTGTTTTGGTTCCATATTAACTTTAAAGTAGTTTTTTCCAATTCTGTGAAGAAAGTCATTCTTATAGAGACACCAGTTATATTGGATTAGGGCGCCTCCTAACGATATCATCTGAACTTCATTACCTCTGTAAACATCCTATTTCCAAATATCACATTCACAGCTACTCTGGGTTAGGATCTCAACATATTTTTTGAGAGACAATTCAACTCAGAACACTGAGTCTGTATTCTACTATGGGGTTTGGATTAGTAACTGAGGAGCAAAAAGGAGAACACAGAGATGAAATAACTCCACTTTGAAGGATCTCAGTGGAAAGAAAAGTCCATAAATGATCAGTACATGTTTAAAACAGATAAGCCAAAATGTTACAAGAATGTAGAGGAAGAAGTAACCCAGATTAACTAGGTAAGTGGACCAAGACTTCACAGAGGAAGTTCATTCTAGCTGGGTTTTTCTTCCTCTCATTAATTTTCTGCTTGATTATAAAATAACTCCAAGTTCAATGTTGATCATTGGAGAATATGAAAAAGATAAAGCAAATAAAAATTATGTATTGAACTTTCACCCAACAATACAATAGCTACTAATTTAGTGAACATTTTTCAGTGTTTTTCCTATGCATAAATAAAAACTTTAATGCAAAAAAGCCAGATTTAACATAATGTTTTGTAAGCCTTTTTTTAAAGTTAATAACAATAATATATTTTTTAATTCATTAAAATATTCCTTTTAGGTGTTTTTTGAGTTATATAGTAGTCCGTTTTGCAAATAGATCTCAATTTACTTAAATTCTGTTACAGAAATAAAACATTGTTTTAAATTTTTTACTCTTAGAAATAATGCAGAACTTTTCATCATCATGATCAAAATATTCCATGCACCACTGAATATTTTCTAAGAGTAAACTATAAGCAATTGAATTATTGGATAAAATAATTTTAAAAACTATTTAGATAAATATTACCAAATTGCCATCCAAAAACTACCTCTAATTTCTCTTACTGGTAAAGAATCTAATTCACTGCCTTGTCAACATTGTGTATTTTTTAAAATCTTGGATGTTTGATTGGTCAAAAATTATATATTGATTTGATTTTCATATCTTTGACTTTTACTGAGGAAATTTTTTTCATGTCTATTGATCATATATATTTCTGCTTTTATCAATATCCCAAAAGATAAGATTCATGAAGTCGAATACTTTACCTGTCTTTTTTAAAGACAGATACGTCTACACAGCAAAAGAAACAATCAACAAAGTAAACTGACAACCTGCAGAATGGGAAAAATATTTACAAACTATGCATCTGATGGAAAGCTACCATCTGGAATCTACAAGAAAATCAAACAACTCAACAAAATAACCCCATTAAAAATAACTCCATTAAAATATGGGCAAAGGACATGAAACAGACATTTTCCAAAAGAAGACATACAAGTGGCCAACAAACATAGGAAAAAATGCTCAACATGACTAACCAGAGAATGCAAATTAAAACCACAGTGAGATACCATCTTACACCAGTCAGAATGGCTATTGTTAAAAAGTCTAAAAACAATAGCTGTTGGTGAGGATGCAGAGATAAGGGAATGCTTATCCACTGTTGGAGGGAATGTAAATTAGTACAACCTTTATGGAAAACTGTATGGAGATTTCTCAAAGAATTAAAAAATAGAACTACCATTTGATCCAGGAATCCCATTACTGGGTATATACCTGAAGGGAAAGAAACTATTATATCAAAAAGATACTGGCATTCAGATGTTTATCACAGCCCTATTCACAATAGCAAGGATATGGAATCAACCTAAGTGTCTATCAATGGAGGATTGGATAAAGAAAATTTGAGAAACACACACACCCACACGCACACACACACACACCATGGAATACTACTCAGCAATAAAAAATAAAATCATGTCTTGTGCAGCAACATGGATGGAGTTGGAGTCCATTATATTAAATGAAATAACTCAGAAACAAAAGGTCAAATACCACATATTCTCAGTTATGAGTGGGAGCTAAACAGTGGGTATCATGGATATGCAGGGCGAAATAATAGACATTGGAGACACAAAAGGCGGGAGGGGCCCAGCCCAGTGGCTCATGCCTGTAATCCCAGCACTTTGGGAGGCCGAGGCAGGCAGATTACTTGAGGCCAGGAGTAAAACCAGCCTGGCCAACATTGCTAAACCCCATCTCTACTAAAAATACAAAAATTAGCTGGGTGTGGTGGCATGCGCCTGTAATCCCAGCTACTAGGGAAGCTGAGGCATGAGAATCACTTGAACCTGAGAGGCAGAGGTTGCAGTGAGCCAAGATCACGCCACTGCACTCCAGCCTTGTTGACAGAGTGAGACTCTGTATCAAAAAAAAAAAAAAAAAAAAAAAAAAAAAAAAAAAAAAAAGGTAGGAAGATGGGAGGGTGGGAAAGGAGTGAATATTGAACAATTCCCTACTGGGTATGATGTTCACTATTTGGGTGATGGGTACACTGAAAGCTCAGGCCTCACCACTATGCAACATATGTGTGTAAGTAACCTGCACTTGTACCCCACAAATATATAAAAATTTAAAGAATTCAAGTATATATAAATATGGAGCTGGAGGCCATTATCCTAAAGGAAATAACTCAGAAACAAAAAGTCAAATGTCACATATTCTCACTTATGAGTGGGAGCTAAACAACAGGTACCATGGACATGTAGAGTGGAATAATAGACACTGGAGACTACAAAAGGTGGGAGGGGCCAGGTGTAGTGGCTCAGGCCTGTAATCCCAGTAGTAGGCATTTATTGAGCAAGTACTAAACATATATTTATTGAATGCATTCAAGCATTACTTAATTTCTTTTTTAAGAAATTAAAAAATCAATGTGTTTGGATTTTTAAGCAATGTGTTTGTATTTTTCTTATTAAATAGTAAGTTCTGTGTATGTTTTACAAATACTTAAATTCCCAATTGTGTTGTTGAATATTTTCCCCACATTTTTGTTTGCCATTAAGTCTTGCTTAATATGTTTTTGGTTGATTAAAAATTTTTATTTTTATTTCTTGTAGCAAAATCAGATATTATTTTCCCTATTCATCATGTCTTTGGTGTTTTCTGAAAAAGACTTTATTCTTAGGTTAACCATTCGTTATCAATTGCAGGAAGTAATTTAGAAAGTAATGGTCAAACTCATTTTCTCTCAAATTCTTAATATTATAGGATCATTTCCTAAGTGATTTAAAATTCCAGCTTCATTATATCAAAGTAATATTTTGATAATAGTAATCCTAAAGCAAGGAATTATTGGTGCTTATTGTGTTACTCATTTTAATATAAATTAGCCTGCTTAAAATTGTAATGCTTTTAGTATCTTGTATTATGTGTTACTATCATCATCATCTCTGCTTTACAACCAAGAAAACAGGAGCTAAGGGAAATAAATAAAACTCATATATAAGTTTGTTTCTGAAATAGTGCTTTCTGATCATTGTTGCATCAAAACATTGATTATTAGATGCTTTGATTATTATAGCTTTATCATTTTCACATCAAGTAGAAGGATGGATGAGGTTTTCGAATATAGGTGTCTGTTGGTGGACATGTTCTCCAGACACAGTCTAGCCTAGCCTTCATCCCTGGTGTTTTGTTCACATTTTTTCAGTTGAAATAGCAGCTTAAGAACTCCAAGAGATCCAATCACAGCTACTTTTGAATATTGTTGAGCGCTCATAGCAAAAGAAATTCTTGGAGCTCTGCTCCTTGTCTGTATCATGAGGAACATCTTGGATCTCCTCAACTTGCTCTCTGAAATACCAGCTAACTTAAAGGAGGAAAGTGGCAGATTGGTTTTGGTGTATTTTCTCTACCTGGTCCCACATGCAGCATATCTAACAGACATCCCTAGAGTTTCCGGCATGTATGAACTATTCATCCCTATTTTCCTTTCCCAAGTTAGGTTTTCTTTTCTTTTCTTTTTTTTTTTTTGTATTCCTTTGGTCATTTCAGTGAGGATTTCGGTGTACAATAGGAAGTTATTTTTTTATACAAGTTTATACAAGTCCAAAATTATCTTTTAAGGATGAGTAAGTGTCCTTAGGCAGAAAAAAGGATAAAGCATTCTAGGTAGGAAAATAATAAGTGGCAAAGTGTAGGAGTAAGAAAGAAGTCTGGAACTGATGTAGTTGCAATTAGAAAGACATAATTTGGAAAACTGGAATCAGATTATGCAAGATTTCATATGCCCGACTGAGATGTATAGGCTTTGTTCTTCAAGAAGCCAGGAGCCATCAGAATCTATTCTCTCTACAAATGATGATGCTGCCAACACATGAAACAGCTAGCATATTTCCCTTGAGATTGTCTTGGCAAACTAATATGCCTGGTTTCTTTCTTTTTTCCTCACATAATATAATTTGATTTCTTCATTTTTTGATAGTTCTTCTATAAACATACTTGAGCTTATATGTGACAGTTGCTAAATATAGTTTTTCCTGTATCCTTCCGCATTTTAAAAATGTTGCGTTCTCATATAAAATATCTTGGAAGCAGAGACTTTAGTATTTTCCTCTTCTGTATTCTCTCTCCTCCCACAACACATAAAATACTTGAATAATCTTATTTACTGAATAGACATATTATTAATTATTGTTCGATGAATAAAGAAGTGTTATTGCTAAATTACCAACCAATTTATATCTGGTAGTGATGCTGCAGACCTCTTATTCTCTTTCTCTCTGTCCAACAAAGTATCAGAGTAGATGTTTTTATTAGTGTCTGAAATGAGGTGATACTCAAATATCAAAAGTAGGAGAGAGTCAAGCTCTCAGTCGGGCCCATCAATTAAATACTGACTTCTAAAATTTCAATGTTTTTATCCTGAATGCAAAAGGACAATTTATTTAGAAATTTAAAATATTTTATTCTATTGTTTTCTGAAAGCTGGGCTTATAGCAAAGCTAAATCATTACCATACACTCATTAAACCAAAATAGAAAGTTCAATTTTCCAGAAAAATTTTCTACTTGTTACATCCCTTAAATTGTCTCTAGCCATGCAGAGTATCTTTAATGACTTTGTTATTAACTTGGACATGGCATGGAAAAACTTTTGCAGATGAACCAAATTAATTGGGAAAAAAAAACAATGGCTGTGATACAAAAAGGGCAGGGTAAAAACAAACACACCCCAAATACTCTAAGCAAATTTCCTGAAAGTCAGCCAATGGAAATTTGGAATGTTGTCTAATTATCTAAGTGCAACACCCACTATTCTTGTTCAGAGGTAAAATGTAACATATTAAAGTGATTTTCTTTTCTTTCTTTCTTTTTTTTTTTTTTGAGACAGCATCTCACCGTGTCACTCAGGCTAGTGCGCAATGGTGTAATCTCGGCTCACTGCAATCTCTGCCTCCCAGGTTCAAGCAATTCTCCTGACCCAGCCTCCTGATTAGCTGGGATTACAGGTGCCTGCCTCAACGCCCAGCTAAGTTCTGTATTTTTAGTAGAGAATGGGTTTCACTACGTTGGCCAGGATGGTCTCGAACTCTTGATCTCAAGTGATCCATCTCCCTCAGCCACCCAAAGTGCTGGGATTACAGGCCTGAGTCACCACATCCGGTCTAATTCTTTGAAAGTGATTGTTTACTGAAATACCTGGCTCAAGAAGAACTTGGAGAAAAAATAAAAATCTCCTTGTGAAAATTAGTAACGAAAGACATACTTTAGGAATAGTTGGCAAGTCTGCTATAGCAAAGGATAGCTCCCTGAAATTTAAAGTCATCTTTGGCTGTAAGGGATGCTGTGTGAGTACATGGGGGTGGAGAGGAGTCTTGACAAACACCTCACTGTGCTGTCCTATCATGGTCAGTGGGTGGCATCATTTTTGATAATGAAGCTTGTTACTATAAGCAAATGAGAACGATTATAAGAAAAAATTCAACAAGGAATATCAGAACATGGTGAAATCTGAATTTTAAAAAGAATGTAGATGAGTGTGATTATGATTGAATGTTGAAATTAAAGCACTTAAGCCTTAGCTTTGGCTGAGTCCTTAACAGGTATGTGCAAACTACTCCATGCTTCAAAATGAGATGTGCAATTACTAGATGAGGCTTGCAAAGAACATGGTCAAAAGCTAGTTTTCTGTAGGAATTCACCCACACTGAAGTTACAAAAGGGCAGAAATGGAGATTAAAAGAGGTTTTATGGCAAGAACTATCAGAGAATTGTGAGTCCTCTACCTCCCACCCCCTTATTCTACCCAGTAAAATAGGCATCAGAAAAAAAAAAAAAAAGAAGAAGAGGAAGAAAAGGAAGAAGAAGGAGGAGGAGGAAGAGAAGGAGAGGGAGAAGAAGATGGAGAAGGAAGAAAAAGAAGAAGGAAGAGGAGGAGAGATAAAGGAGGAAGAGGAAGAAGCAGCAGAACAATAACAACAACTATACCAAGAGCTTTGCATGTCCTTTGCTGCTTGGAAAGTACAGGACACACTCAGGCCAAACAAATTCAAGAGTAGCCGACTGACTGTGACTGGATAAAGGAACTAAGAGAAGCTGATACATTGGGGTAGACTATTCTTCCAGAATTTGTTGAGGGAAAGAATGCATAAGAGTCTTTCATCAGGGGCCGGGTGCGGTGGCTCATGCCTGTAATCCCAGCACTTTGGGAGGCCGAGGCAGGTAGATCATGAGGTCAGGAGTTCAATACCAACCTGGCCAAGATGGTGAAACCCTGTCTCTACTAAAAATGCAAAAAAAATAGCTGGGCGTGGTGGCGGGCACCTGTAATCCCAGCTACTCAGGAGGCTGAGGCAGAGAATTGCTTGAACCCAAGAGGCGGAGGTTGCAGTGAGCCGAGATCACGCCACTGTACTCCAGCCTGGGTGACATAGTGAGACTCCATCTCAAAAAAAAAAAAAAAAAAAAAAAGAGTCTCTCATCTAGTAGATAAGAGAAGGAGTGAGGAAAGGAGAAGCAGGTTGAGTAACATTGATCTTCAAGAAGATTGCCTGGAGACATGATCAAACTAGAGAAGAGAGGAGCAGGAAGTGTAAAGTGGATGTTTAGGAGCTGAGGATATGCACTGCCCTGCACCACAGGAACTTTGAATAAATGATCCTCAGCAATGTGCTTATCTCCAAAGAACCTTAAAAAGCATCTCAAAAGAGAAATAGAGCTTTAAACACCTACCACGCCCAGAGGACATCAGCTACAGTTCTCTATGTCATTGTCTGACAAGGAAAACATTTTCCCTTCCCTCATCTTTTCCCCAAACCCCAGCAGCCTCACCTTGAATGGAAACCATGGGTTAGCTAGCTGGGAGAAGAGAGATACAAGCATAAAACATGAAAATGGAGAAGAAGATGATCCTCCCTTGAACAGGTTCAAGCTAAGGAAGAGAGAAGAGTTGATATAGATGTAATTGGAAGTTTTTACAATTACATGGGGATTGGTCATTTTAATATTAGAACTGTGACTTAGGAAACTAAAATGACCAGAGGTTATTCTGAGAGTGACCAGAAAAGTCAACAGTATTTGTTCTAAAATGCATTTAAAGCCAGAGTCGAACCAGCCTCACAGAATGGGTTTGAGTGAGCAACTCTTTCCTGGTTGCACTTGAATCCTTTTTGTTCAGTATGTGATTAGCTGCCTGCCTCTCGCTAAAGCCTTCTAGGTTCTGGATGTGAGGCCAATTGGACCCCATTCACGATCTCAACATCCTTCTAGACCCAAGAATAAAAGGACCCCTGCATCCCTACATAGTTCAGTAGCTCAGGATCCAGTTACCTTATTTATCCAAGGGAAATATTGCTCTAAGGCCCCTCTAACCTTGTTCTTTATACCTGGTCTGAATAGCCAGTCTTTTACATCCTTCCTCATCACCAAGCCTCCATTTTGTTTTCCAAATCTAAGTTCAGTTTGTTATTTGTCCTGACATTCTCCAGCTGTTCTTACTGAGGCCTAAGCTGGAGTCCCTCTAGTTAGACTAACACCACATGTTGCCAATCCACCTGCCAGCCAGCCCTCCTCACAGCTTGTTTCTAGACTTCTTGAGCTCTGCAGAGTTCACCTGCCAGGACACCTTACTCCCTTACGAACCTCCCTGATAAAAGATTTCTGCCCAAACTTCTCCCTGTCCCTGGCTCTACATTCCATGTCTTTGCTGAAGCAGACTCTTTCTGTCTATGTTGAGCCTCTCTGACGATCTTTACTTGCTACTTAAAAAGCCCAAGTTACTGTCCCATGACAATGGTTCTACTTCCTCTCCTGGCCCAAGAGCCCCTAATGACCAGGCACAAGCTCCCTCCTTCAGTCTGCTATGCTTTGATTAAGCCTGTGTAAGACATTTTCCTCAATTTAAGAAATACTTAATTAGTTCATCCTCTGGTTTAGGTGTTTTAGAGTAACAAATAAACGTATCTTTGAGTGCCTTATATGACAAATGCCCATTTATGTATCTGTAAATTGACTGAAAGTTCAATTTAAATAAAAATCTACTTCTTAATTAATTGCTCTTATGCTTTTCTATTCCCTTCTCACCAAACCCTCCTGAATGACAGTTACAACAGAGAGAGGCCTCTTCTATAATCTCAGGCCAATTTACCAGGTACCAGGAGAATAATCCTCTTCCACATCCAAGGCTGCTTCTAGGTAGCAGTGACACCTTGTAGAACAGGTATAACAACATGTCTAGATTTTATTGTATACTCAGATTTATGATTTATTACCTACACCAACTTGATCAGCAGGAGAAGCAATATATCTGTAATACTAAAGATGTCAAAAATATAGGCTTGGATTTACACATTTGTACCAAGCAAATTCTCTTCCTTTTTGTTCTCTTTTTGTTCCGCTCAGATCCTACCCAGTATCTCCCTACAGCAGTTTTATAGTAAAGCCTACCCTGAAACCATATCTCACATTCTGGGTTCCTTCAGTTCTCATGGCATTTGACAATAAAGTGCTAGAACAATATTAAATTCTAAAGATCAGGTTTGGCTGCAAGTGATGGAAAACCAAAACAACAGTGATTTAAACAAGATTCATTTTTTTTTATTTATCTGATTTGTATTCTCCACGAGTACTATGATGACTCCATGATCATCAGAGATCCAGACTCCTCTTGGATTTTTGCTTTGCCGTCTTCAATACCTGGCTTTTATCTTCAGTGCAAGGTGGCTGCTTAGGTTCCAGCCATGAGGTCCACAGTCCAGCTGGCAGGAAGAGAAGTGGCAGAGCACACTCCTTCCCTTTAAGGATGTTTTCTAGAAGTCACACAGGACACTTTTGCTAAATCTCATTCACCAGACTTTAATGGCATGACATCATCTGGCTACAAGGAAAGCTGGGAAGTATAACTTTGATTCTGGGGAACGCATGCCTTGATAAATTTGGGGGTTTTATTACTAAAATGGAAAGGGAGGAAAGATTCTCAGGTGACAATTAGCAGTTCCTAAGACAATTTTCCATTTTGGCAGAAATCTGTTTTCCTTAGATTACTTTTTTATTTATATCTACTTGCTTATAAAACACTATGAGATTTTTAGTTGTCTTATATTTTATTTTATACCCATGAATTGAATATCATGTCAGTAATGATACAATTATTTTTAATTTTATTGTCACCATAATTAACCTTTAATATGACATCTTGCCTGGGTTTTAAGTAAGGAGATACTGAATAAATTTTTTTTTATTTGTTTGTAATGCAAAACATTGTATTAAGTATGCAGATATATTAATAAAATAAAGCATGTCACCAGTCTAGATTATCCTTTATTATTACTCACTTAGACGCTTTTAATAATTACCCATCTCAAACTCTTTCTCTTAAATATATTGAAAACATCACTACTGGAAAACTTTCCCTGAAATGTTATTATGACAATATACTTCTCCATGTAAAAACCACAATGATTTCCCTATTTCCTATAGAATAAATCAATTTTCTTAGCCTAGAATTTATTGCTCCTCATAATCTGATCCAAATAGCTGCCTTTAGGTTTGTCCTTCATTACATCCTTTGTAAAAAACTCATCCTTAGTGGAAATATTCCTTACTCCCCATAAGTACCTGATTCTTACGATCTCTCTAACATTGCTTATGAAGTTTTTTTCTGCTTTGACTAAGCACCCCATCCCATCCCCATCACCAGTTTCTTCTCCATCTACATATTTTATCATTTCTTTAAGGATCTGTGAAATGCCACCTTCTCCGCTACATCTCTGGCTCACCACCAATACTTCTTGTAAACTTACTACTATAGGAGTTTGCACATCTCTTATTCTCTTACTGTATCACACATTTATTAAGTAAATAAATTTCATTTAATTTCAGTTCACCCCACAGCACGTTGTAGATAAAATTTATGCAGTAAATATTTACTGAATGAATGAATAACATAATTCATTGGCTTTGTCAACAAGTTAGAGCTCCTTAGAAGCAAAACTTGTATCACAAGCGATAAAAGAGCATATTTAGTCTCTCAATTTGTACTTTCAGTTTAAATTTAGTACCACACAATAGGAAGCATTATTACATGATATCAAATGAATAATTCTCAAATGAATTTGGAATCAGTCTAGGCTCTTTTGCAAGAACAATAACAACAAATTTACATTTCAAACTCTACATATTTTATCCCCATAAATAGTGTATCTTTATTAGTCACGTTATTCCTTCAACAGGATAGTTTAAATTTATAGGTAAATACTTTCTCAACAGTCAAAAAAGAAAAAAAGGTGGAAACCATCAATTTAGACCAACCTGCTTGCCATCAAATTTGGGAGGCACTCAGCATAGGTAATTGAACAGATAACTTGTGAACACTTCAAGTAGAATGCGGTAGTGATCAGAAGCCATAAAATACAAGT
The DNA here is from genome assembly GCF_000001405.40 of Homo sapiens. Lineage (NCBI taxonomy): Eukaryota > Metazoa > Chordata > Mammalia > Primates > Hominidae > Homo > Homo sapiens. The sequence continues at coordinate 118,092,054 of NC_000007.14, read as the reverse complement.
TACAGCAAATTAGACTTGCTTCCTCTTTTGATCAAGTTATCAAAACAGAAAATCAGGGAAACATTATGTACCAAGTACATCTTGCTATCTTTTTGTAGTTATTTTAAAGTGTTCTTTATATAATATAGAAAATAGTACTATAACAACAATAAAAGAAATAAAAGAGAAACTAATATTACCCCATTCACCACCTAATAATCACTTCTCTTTATTTTCTCAAGTTCTTTCTAGTTCCTAATTCATTATTTATTCATCAAACATTTGTTGAATACTTCCTATATTACATATAGAATATATTAATATTAAGTTAATTTGACTGCCTAGATATTCATATGGACAATATGATCAAATATGAATGTAATAATAATGTGGCCAGATTAATTCCCAATTTGTTATATCACACCTAAACATGTAGATTAATTACTGATTCGATATCAATCTGAAGGAATGCCAAAATCTTTATTCCTACCTCAATTTTAATCAATATGTTCACCACAGTCTTAAATGTTGAAAGAAATAATGCTTATCATGTATGCAGACACACAAATGAAACAAAATTTTAAGTGACAGATAACATTATAGAGAATAAAATGGGAATTCAATTTTTCTCCCATTATCATGTTATAAGCTCCAGGAATTGGGTCTATATTATTATTAATAATAATATTGATGGTAGTTAATGCTTTTAAAATAGAACTAATTATGTATCAACTATCAACCATTGGGCTAAATATTTTTCCAATTTTATTTCATTCTTACTAGAAATTTTGGGGTGCGGTAACCATTTCATAGGTGAGGAATAAGGGTCAAATTGGTTAGGTAACAAAATTCCCAGCTATTCATGAGCAAATCAGGATTCCAGTCTGTTCTTCTGATCATGAAGTCTATCCTACTTTTTCTGCAATGTCTTTTTATCTGAGTACACCTAAAAAGTTCTCTTTAACTTCTCAGTTTTTTCCCCAATCTTTAATTCATTCTGAAGGATTTCTGGTCTACTCATATGATATCTACAGATCTCAGCCTTCTTGACCTTTAAAATAAAAAACAAAAGGATGAATTCAGCACAGACCTCCCTATGTAGACACCGATGACTTCAGGTTCTTCTCTCTCTGTTCTCCCTCTGAAGGGATTCTTTTGTAACAGTGTTCCTACTCCTTCCTACTCTCCTTAATCCATCATGAGTGACTGTAGGGGGGCCAGTCTAGTTTCTTTGGAGTTTTTGACTGTTAACTTTTTCAAACACTAGTGACCTTAATGCCTATGCCCAATACAAGCTTTTTTGACTGTTAAACATTCTAAAATGTCATGTTCCCAAGGTTTCTGTCAGTTTCTCTTCATCAACCCTCTGCAGTCTTCGTAACTGAATTTATTGCTGTCTCTAAAATTTGAAAAATGAAATTGTCTTGAACACAAGTCAACCATTTACCAGATGCGCTGATTTTTAGCAGGATGTAGCTTTAGAAAATGCCTGGGCCATTAGCTTTTTCCATTAGGCATACATTTTGTTTCTGGAACAGCTTTGTGATTGCCTTTGGCAGCACCTTCCACACCTCCCATCTGACTAAATAGTCCCAGTTCATAGTTCTCGCACCATTGCATCATCGTTCATTTTTATCTTCATCAAGATGTGGTTCTCTCATCTCTATTCTTCAAGGATATCCAAAATTTCTTCCAAAACCAAGATTCTATTATTTGTGTTTTCTACTGTTAAAAGCATATCACTAAGGAGAGATGTCCTGAAGGGATAACTTTGATATTTATTTATTTATTTGTGGTTTTCTTCTTAAATAATAGTAATCATTATTAATTGTATAATTATGGTAGGACAGAGTAGTAGCATATGCAAACTTATCTTGACTATTTTAAACACATTGCTACTATTTATTAATTGCATTTATACATGTAAATATCTAATTGAATTTTCCTAAATGAATTTTTCAGAGAATCACAAAGCAACCTCTCCTTTAGTAAAAAGAGACTCAGATTCATAATGTCATGAAGGAACCCAGGATTTAACTCCAAACATCCTTGACTCAACACAAAGATCCTAATTCTATATCTTTTCCATAATTCCTGTAGCAGAAAGTGCAGGTTAGATGTTACTATTGATAAGATCATTTTCTGTGCAATTTGAATAGCCTTGTCCAATCAACAATGAAAGAGTGAAAAGTGCCTGGAAAATAAGAGTTATTTTTGATATTTAAAAAATGTTGGTTCAATATTAATTGAGTTCATAGATATTCACAGAACTAGTTTCCAAAGCAACGGTAACTGAGTTGCCCCTAGAAATTCAACTTTTGAATTATTTATTTCTCAGACAGTTTTCAGTAGGGAAAATAAAAACATACTACTAATAATATAAACATACTACTACTAATAAAAACATAAGTACATAGGAGCTATCCCATATTTACAGCAGCTGATATTTGAAAGAAAAATAATCTTGTATTTAGAAGAAATAAATATTCGGAACCACTACAGTTTGTACATGATTCTTCCTATTTACCTTATCTTAACAGTATGGAAAAATATGTGCAAGAGGAGAGATGGATGGTGGGCTTTTTATGTCATGCACAGGTTAAGCAGGGATATTGTGTTCAACAGAGATACATAGCTAATGGGGAGTAAAAGATCTAAGCACCATTCTACCAGCAAGCCTCTCTATTTGGGTGGAGAGGGAACTCTTATTCTCCATGAAGCAGGGCCATTTTGTCCACTCTTCCTACTGATGAGTGGGCAGTGATTCAATAGGTAATAGACAGCAGGAGTGAGGGAGGTGATTTCACCAGCTGAGGCCAAAAAGATCCAAGTTTTAGATGCATTTATGCAACCTGTGATACCTGTCCACCATCACTGAGGGGTGATATTTTTCTCTATAGTCCTTCCATAGGTCCCTCAGAATGATCTCTGAGAACATATTTTGTTTAGGGGTTTATTTTTGTTTCATGGATTTTTTGTTTTTTGGGTTTTTGTTTTGTTTTGTTTTTGAGACAGAGCCTCGCTCTGTTGCCCAGGCTGGAGTGCAGTGGTGTGATCTTCGCTCACTGCAACCTCCACCTCCCAGGTTCAAGCAATTCTCCTTCCTTAGCCTCCTGAGTAGCTAGGACTACAGGTGTGCACCACCACGCCTGGCTAAATTTTGTATTTTTAGTAGAGACAGGGTTTCACCATGTTGACCAGGCTGGCCTCGAACTCCTGACCTCAAGTGATCTGTTCACCTCGGCCTCCCAAAGTGTTGGGATTACAGGCATGAGCCACTGCGCCTGGCTGAGAATATATTTTATTCTCTTCAAGTCTTTAAACCTGCTTTCTCCATATGCAAAGCTGAGTGATAGTGCTGAATATTTAGCATTTCCTGTATTAGCACCTCTTAGGCATACACTTCAAATGTTAGTCTTATAGCCTAACGTCTCTTTTCTCTCAATCTGTAACTCTAACAAAAATTACATTGTAGCATGAGGTTTTCTATCTAGCTCAGTTTTCTGACAAGGACATGAACATGATGCCATGCTTTCCCCAGGCTGTTAAAGGGCTCTCATTCAGCTCTGTCACTGGTTCAATGTTACTAAGAACAATAGATATTAAAGGCTGATTCAATGACTTCAGTCTTGGTGTTCTCTCTTGGACAGAAAAAAGCAAAGGATGATGGAAACACAGCATGGCTGCTCAGAAACATCTAATACATATGTTGTCCTAAAAAAGGTAGCTGAATTGAGCAAAATGCAACCTCTATCTGTCCAGGATCTGTGTATTGGAAATACAGGCAAACTATTAAAAGTAATTTTAATATTTTGTAGTTGTTCTTTTTAAAACTGCCTTAATGATGAAAAACACTTCCTTTCTGTGAAATAGAAAATTGACATTTTTTGAAGAACGTTTGGACTGCCTGTTTGTTTCCTCAGGTGACATTCCATTTATATTTAATTTTCCAAAGTGTGTTTATTGATATTTAGCAATTAATTAATTGTGATCATTTGAGTAATCAGTCTCCCCAAAATGATGATAAATAGTTCTTCTTAAAATGGAGTCTACCAGCAGCAACAGTCCATTGAAGTTATATGACTTTGACACTTAATTAAAAGGTAGTAAATGGCAGCTATTTCACTACTGGCCTAGAACTCCAAAAATTAAAATCTTCCCAATTTTCAGCAATTCTAGTTTTCCTACAAATTCCATGGACTGAGTATCACAACCCAGAATAATTGGTTCTCAAATAGATGCTATCCTGTCTAGATGTCTCTACTCCTAGGCATAGTATCATAGTATCCCAGTATTAATTATAAAAGAGAGCAAAGATCTGAAAACATATTCCAAATCTTTTGCTAGCAATGGATCAATATAGATATTGCTTACAACTGTCATAAATACTTTCCTGTACCTGTCTCATTCCAATAAGGTTTGCAGGCATTATTTTATAATCACTGAGGAGAGGAAGAAGGAGGAATGAATAAAAGCTGATTACAATTAGTTACCCAATTTACTACCATTATGCTGCAACAAATATGAAGGAAAAGTGTTTTAATTTAATAATCTGAATTAGTTCTGTGCTCAGCTAAGTACAATATTTGAGCACAGGATTAGTGCTTAATGATGGAAAGAATGTCCACCATTGGACATTGGAATGGTGGAAAGAAGAGGAAAGGGCTCCTGGAGAGAGAAATGGAGCCAAAGTTAGGGAATGGGGTGGGAGGTTTGCCAAAGGCATACTTCCCCCGCTGAAAACTCAGATTGGGGAGAGAATGGGGAGTCATACTATGGCACATATTAATCATAGTTGTTATGAATGATTCATAGAAATGTGATGAACTCAAATGTAAATGAAAACCCGATTTGTTCACTTGAATTTCAAACTTTCTCATTTTTCTGTCCATCCAAAAATTTTATTCATTGTATGTCTGCAGTAAATTCACTTGTTCATTCATTCATATATTTTAAGAGCCTTACTGTGTTTCAGGAATTGTGCTAGACACAGGAAGTAGGGAAACCTTGTTCGCCCAAGGTTTGCAGTAGGGTAAAAATGTTGTTGTTGTTTGTTTTGAGATGGAGTCTCGCTCTGTCGCCCAGGCTGGAGTGCAGTGGTGCCATCTTGGCTCGCTGCAAGCTCTGCCTCCCAGGTTCAAGCGATTCTCCTTCCTTAGCCTCCCAGGTAGCTGGGACTACAGGTGCTCGCCACCACACCACCACGCCCAACTAATTTTTTGTATTTTTAGTAGAGACGGGGTTTCACCGTGTTAGCCAGGATGGTCTCGATCTCCTGACCTCGTGATCCACCCACCTCGGCCTCCAAAGTGCTGGGATTACAGGCATGAGCCACCGCACCCGGCTGCAGTAGGGTAAAAATGTTATGGTAGAGATCAACAAATAGTGGTGGGGGTAAGGCAGGGGGGATCCAGGAAAATTTAACTTAGGAAGAAACATATGAACTGGTGAAGAGCATTCCAGCCCAAGAAAACCACAGATGAAACCCCAAACCCATAAAGATGATGTGATGGGGGAGTACACCCAAGGTACAGTTACTTGGCAGGTTTAGGAGCATAAAAAGGAGAAATAAAGAAAATGCAGCTGGAAAGGTAGGCTGAAGAGAAAGGACTCTGAAAGTCAGGGGTTGGCATTTTATCTTCTGGGCACGAGGGAGACCCTACAATTTTTTAAAGCAGAGGAATAAAATGATAAGATGGGTATCTTTGGACAAAAGATAGACTTAAAAGAGGAGAAAATGAGTGAAAAGAAACCAGTAGTCAGGCTAATTTTTGTGTGTGTCTTATTTGGTGCAATGTATAGACTCAGTGGATAACTGAGGAAAGAGTATATAGTCACTGGTTAAAAATACAGATGTGAAGCTCAGAAGAGAGATGGAGATACATAGGAATGGCTGATAATATCAGTTGGGTGAGGCATCTAGGAAGAGGAAGAAAACATGGGATAGGGCTGTAGAAAACACCAGTATAGAGCAGTAGGCAAAAAACGAGAAATGGGCCAGAGGTCTAGTAGAATGGGGAAAAACCAGGAGAATTTAGTGCTCATGAACCTGATGGAAGCAAATTTTAATTAAGAAAAATGAACAAAATAAAACGGCACAGCAAGGTCCAGTAAGATGAGTGTTGGTTTAGTTTTTCGAAGGCCATTGCCGACCATAATGACAGCGGCTGCAGCAGTGACAACAGAAGGAAGCAACCTGCAGTGAGGCAGGTAAGAAAAGAAAGTGAAGGTATGTATAGTGGAGGGAGGAGAACGATGGGATTGCAGCGGAAGTGGGAGAGAGTGTTAAGTAGTGTGAAGGCTTTTATTTTTAATTTAACATGGAAAGAGCTGGACCTGTTTACAAACTGGGATGAGTGGTCAATGGAAAAGGAATAACTGAAGAAGGGAGAGAGAGACAGAGGCAAAGACAGAAGGAGAGAATAATTAATGGATCAAATCCCAGAGAAGGCCATATACTTACCAAGGAACTAGATACTACTAAATTGATTGAAAGATGTTTTATGAGAAGGATATCAGCTTAAAAAATGTTGAAAATGGAGGAGGAGTAGGGGACAGAATTGAGCCATGACAACTTATTCATACATCTGACATTAAAAAGTTGATCTAAATTGAATCCCTAATTCTGGTAAGAAGGGTAAAACATTCAATTTGAATGGCTAGTTTTTATCTTATTAATTATTTGTAGATTTGTAGATTTGTTGATTTTAGATTTGAAAGGGACTTTAGAAGGTCTCTTAAAGCTCCTGTCAGGTCAGAGAGGCATTGGTAATGGAGGGAAATCCTGACTTTAGGGTCTCTTTGTTTTTTGGATCTTGCTTCTAGTGGTTGCCACTGTTAATGGACCGGGGGAGGTGCTCCTCTCTGCCTTCTCCTGCTGCTCCCATAGCTGCAGGGAGGTCCAGATGGTAGGTGGGAGAAGTTGGGGGCTGAGATCTGTCTGGATCTGCTCCTAAGCGCAGTGAGGATTTATTTTCATTGCTTTTGATTAGTGGTCTCTCTGTCGAGAAAGGGTTGCAAGAGTCCTTTGGGCCTCATAGCAGAAAATCAAAACCACTTTTTAAACACTTCAATGGGAATAAGGTAATACGAAGTTATAAACTATAAGATAGAAATTTCAGATGCAAGTACAAAGTGATGTCACCATAGCAACTCAGCTTGCACACAGGAAACTGGATATAATGTCAGGAATTTCACAAACACCCAATATTTTAAAAAGCTAAATATTATAGAGGAACAAAAATTATTTTTAATTTTACTTCATCAAAAAGTTGATTTGCATTAAAAAATATAGTTTTTGTAATATAACTTTCAACCCTGAGAAATAACGAATGTTTGAAATGTTTCAAGATCTGCTTTTCAATTAGCAAAGAAAATAATTTTATTTTTCTTGATTATACACTATAATTAAGACATTAAATATGTATTATAATAATACAAAGAATGTTTTTAAAAATTGTATAAAATACCACCACCTAGAGATAAACACGATTTTTATTTAGGTGAGTATCTCCTCAGATCTATTACTGTAAAGCACACAAACATAGAGTTATCATAACTTTACTAAATGATTCTTTAATATTTAATGACCTTATGAAGCATTGAAGAATATAAATTCCTGGGGGATGAGACCATAGGTTCTAAACATCCTCAGTATTAGGGCCTATACTGAAATGTGGATATTCAGAAACATTTGGCATGTAAGGATATTTTATGTTGGTCACATTAGTAGCCATTGCTTTTTTTTTTTTTTTTTTTTGGAGACAGTGGCGCTATCTCAGCTCACTGCAGCCTCTGCCTCCAGATTCAAGTGATTCTCCTGCCTCAGCCTCTGGAGTAGTTGGGACTACATACGGTACACCACCATGCGTGGCTAATTTTTGTATTTTTAGTAGAAATGGTGTTTCACCATGCTGCCCAAGTTAGTCTCAAACTCCTGACCTCAAGTGATCTGCCTGTCTTGGCCTCCCAAAGTGCTAGGATTAGAGGCGTGAGCCACCACAACCGGCTGCCACTGTTTTCAATAAGGAAAGGACCAGTTCAGCAGAAGTTCTTTTGTGTTTCAAAGTGATTCTCCTCCACCACCCACCCTGACCTTTTTCATATAAATCTTTATGACACCTTCCATTTCCTATCAGCCGTGTTTTTCATCAGTAAACAGAAAGAAGGGCACAGCACTCAACAATGATGATATTTATTTTCCATGCCAGGACATAAAAATTGTCATGAAAATAATTGTATTTGCTTAGACAAAGAAGTTTTAGTCACAGCTTGAAGACATGATGTGGGGAGACTTACTCAAAATGAAAAAGGGAATCATATTTTTGTCTGTTGAAGGGATTGCAGGAAAAAAAGTCATTACTATGTGACTTAGGAGTTGTCCTCTGCCAGACAAAAGGAGGAACCAAAAGACATCTGAGACAGGTCGGGGAGGCTTCCTAAATTCCCAAAGAGAGATGATAGTGCATCCTCTTCAGTGCGGTGCTTCAAGGAGAGCTAACCTATTTTGGTTAACTCTCCTTGGTTTAAAAGAGTCAAGAAAATAATGAAAAGTGAGGGAGAGCAGGAAGATATAAAAGAAAAGAGAGAGAGGAAAAAAAAACAGAAGCAGAGGTGGTACAGGGGAGCCAGCACTGCCAACTCCCAGGACCCCTAGTTCCTTTCTCTGCCTGGCAGGGGTGAGCTCCTTGTTCCAGGATCCAGCCCTGGAAACAATTGCTTCTGATCATTAGACCACATGGATTTGCTCCATTTGTGCCAGTGTTGACAGTGTTTTGATTTGCTGTCTGGTCTTAGATTCCTATCCTTCACTTGGCCTTTCTTGTGTTTACCAAGAAAAGTAAGATTAAAGGCCTTAAAGATGAGTATCAGGATAAAGATACCTGAGGAAGACCAGACATCATGCATGGCCGGGGTAGTGACCTGTGTGCATCTCAGATTTCTGTTCAGAATAAGTCTCCTGACTTCCATCTTGAGTCAAATAAGCATCGAGCAGTGACCCTTAGCCTTCCTAGATAGGATGGTGGCCAGGAGCAAAGAGTAAGAAGATCATTGCAAAAGTTCCATCTTGGTTGCATAAAGTTATAACTCTACCACTGTTTTCAGCATTTGGTGTTACATATTCTGCCAATATTTACCCATTTGTACTATTTACTGTTTTTTAAAAGAGACTCTTGAAAGATATTTGTGAATAACCTGTCCTTTTTCCTATTGTGGTTTCAATTGACTGGCAGCTTTGAAGTAGCTTTTCTATGTGGATTTTAATCAAATGGAAACAACAGGAGAAATAAAGTGCTTTCTTAGGGTTTTCTGATACATGAAAAGAATTGGTGGTTTGGCTTTTCTACAGAAACTAAAATAAAAATTTAACCCTTTGACCCCTTCACAGGCTAACTAAATCATGCTCTGCTGAAGTAAACATGCAGTAAAGCTAAAGCCCAGAGGGTAATCACCCCAGTCTCTGGGGTAATCTTACACTCTGGGCCTGATTATTTCTAATTTAAGAGATGATTAAATGTACTTCAGTATATAGCCTTTGCCATCCTCCTCCTTTTCTGCAGATACACATGTACACAATAATTTTTACAGAAAATAAAATGTTATGAAGTAATATTTTGCCTCAAAAAATGACTGAAAGTAAATAAGAAAATATTAGTTGTTATTTATTCTAGTTAGAGGGTAGAGGGAATATAGGCATTGTGTTATTCTTATGCTTTTCTAAGAGCTTTAAATATTTCAAAAGAACTTTTTGCTGATTTCAGTTTTTTATTTTAACATTATTTTGTAATTACAGAATAATTGCAAGAATAGTAGAAAAGTTCCTATATACCCTTTGCTCATATTCTCAAAAATTAGCATTTTATCACATTACCTTTAGCACTCAGTCTTTATACATATAGAGGTTTATTTTTCCTGAACCATTTGAGGGTAAGTTGTATATCCTTTTTCCCATAAATACTTCAGTGTATGTTTACTGAAAATCAAGGACATTCTCTTACATTACGACAGCACAATTAACAAAATCCGAAAATGAATACAATATTAGTATTGTGGTGATAAAATACTGGTTGCTAATCTACAGACTGTACTCAAATTTTTCCAACTGTCAATAATGTTCTTTGTAAAGAAAGGAAATTCTGGATTATGAGTGTATTTGACTATCAAATCTACTCAGTCTTCTTTAATCTGGAAGAATTCTTTAGTCTTCCCATGTCTGTTATGACTCTGGCATTTTTGAAGAGTATGAACCAGCTATTTTTTGTAAAATGCCCTTAAACTTGGGTCCTCAAAAAAAATTGTTTTACGGTTCTAGAGACAATTTGTTCCTGTTTCTTAAGCTATTAAAACTGCATTTAAAATTGCATGCACTTACCCTCCATCAGAACTAATTCTCTTCTATATCTTCTTTCCGTAAAAGTTTTTATCAGTTACCAGTCGTTCAATCCAAAAACCTGGGAATTACCCTTCTTCTCCTCATTCAGCCTTCATGGCAGAGATTATATCTTATAAACACGGTTTTGTCATCCTCTCCTCTTCTTCCTCCCCACCACTATTCCTGAGTTTGAGTATGCCTCCTTTCAGTAGCCTCTAGGTCATCTCCAGTCTGCACCAACTCACCCCGTGTCAGTGCTTCATCCCTAAAGCTCTCAAAACAATTCTTTAAATCTCAAATAGAAGTCTTTTGGAGTTTCCTCACCATTTAAGATACTTCAAAGATTATACAGAGTTTGTGGAATAAATTACAAATGTCTTTTTAGTGCATCCCAAGCCTACCTTGGGGGCTTTAACTCCCAGCAAGCCACACCTCCAAAGCCAAGCCACACCTCCAAGCCACACCTCCAATGCGTCTGTCATACTGAACTTCTTGGAAATTCCCAACCAACCCCATTGGTTTATGACTCATAGTCTCTGCATATGCTGTTCCTTTGGCCTGAAACATGCTCCTCCCTCCCCACCCACACATTCTTTTTTATACAGCTGTGTTTTTTTCTATTAAAACTCACCTCAAGTAGCACTTCCTTAGCCAGGACTTCCCTATCTTTATCCTCCACCGCTAATCCATCCAATCCAACAGAAGCTTGTCTTTTTTTTTCTCTGCTCTCTGCGGGGAGAGGGAGCAAGTTTATGACGAGTAAAACCATCAAAGAACATTTCCTCATAGATGAAACCATTCCTGAACCAAACTAACAGTCCAGAAGCCAGAACTCAACTGTGTCACCCTAAAAAGCATAAAGAGTTTACTGATTTTATTCTCCCTATTTTGCCCTGCAAAAGTTAGCTTCATTTATGACTACTCTAACATGTATTTACCTGTATGTCTGATTATGTGAAGTTTCTTATGATTTTGCTGTTATACTTTAAGCTCTCAAACTGAGGGTTTTCCTCCTGGAAGTGGACCCCTGTTCGTCTTTTTAAAATCACTTCACTACTAATTGTCATAGATATTGGAATTGTAAGAATAGTGAATGGTAGCAATGTTACCACTGTAAAGATTAATTACCTAGGAAAAAAGTTCCATGTGATTATTATTGTCAATGTGTTTCGGAAAGCACAATTGGTTGTTATAAATGGTTTATGGGTACCTGGCTAGGCGTTCTCTATTCTAGGTCATTTTGCGCCTAGCAGCTGCCTAGAACGCAATAAATATTTGTGAACTAAATAGTGCCTTTGTCAAGCCTAAGATCCAATCAAGGCTGTGAAGAAATGGAGAAACTATTATTCAAGTTTTCTGCCTCAAAGAAAATACTCAGTGCTGTAGGCATTAAAACCAATTTTGACATACTTTCACCCAGACTCCTGAAACTGTGGCCAAAGTCTTGCACTGAGCTTGTGTTTGCTGTAAACTTACTCCAGCTTGTGTTTCATTCCTAATTTTCTTTCCTGCAAGTCACTGATTTTCTGCTTTCACATGAGAATCATCTAGGATGCTTTGAAAAAAAATACTGATGCCTGGGACCCACCCCTAGAGGTTCTGATTTGACTATCTCCAGCACTAGTATTTTTGGAAATTGAGCATTTTAATACAAAGTGCCAGTTGAAAATGACAGCTGGAAAAGAATCTATATTCTTTCTGTGTGATGTTAGAAGAAAAAAATCTTTTATAATTTCACTGTTGTGTAAGTTGGGTTTACTTTTTAGAGTTTGCATGGGGCTACCATGCTAGTTAGACCTTGCATAATCATCTTTTATGTAGATACAGACATCACTATGTTTAGCATATGATTTTTTAGAGAACAGCAACATGGAAACCCTAGAGAGATTTGACATTTAATCATTTGAAACTCCACATAAGAGTTCTGGAAAAACATCAGTATAATTATAACACTGAAGTTATCATTGCTTAAATAAAGACATATCCTAAACTTCCATAGTTTTTTTGAGTTATACTATGAAAACTACTAATGGGCTTTTATGAGTTCTAGGAAAAATAAAATAGCTAGGAACTCTAGTAGCTAAGAATCTGAACACAGTTTAAAGTAGATAGAAGGCCTTTAACTGATGAATGATTGTTGAGTCATCTAGTTCTTTTTCAAGTGGCCACATGTCTAGTCTTTCATGAAATAAGGAGTTTTCACTGATAGAAAAATAAAACAATTAACTTTTAAACTATCAAATTGCATAGCAATTGCAAAACAAAACTTGTTAAATAGCACTGGTTCTTTTGCTGATGTATAGTTTAGATGTCAATCCAAAACTCGAAATTGGAAAACACATTCTTTTTATTAGATTTCATTGTTTTTCCATATTGCAGTTGCTTTTTTGTTTTTCAAATTATACTCTAAATTCATAGTCTATTTCAGCTGGACACATGAAAAGATTAAAGAAAGTCTGAACAAATTATAGTTAGATTTGGCAAGGTTTGACACCAGATTAATGAATTACAAAGTAAAAGTAGGGTTATGAACATTTTTACTATGTTTGAAGTAACTCAAACTGTACCTAGGGAGAATTGAGAGTGCTTAAAATAATTTATAATGGGCCAAATTCAAGTCCCTGATTCTAAGATGCTAATAGGAAAACCATCTTAAATAATATTATTATCATTTAGTTGTAAATGAGTTGGAAACATGTATTCTGTTTTTATTAAAACACAATTATTAAAAGACTGGCAAAAGTGTAGAAGAGAACAAAGGAGTGGCCGGTCTTCAATTGACACTTGCGCACACACGGATGCTCGTCTTGATTTGACCTTTTCAGATGGGCCCAAACTTCTTGGCATAATGTTCCAGTGGAAATACTGTTTCTAAGTATTCTCTGCCAGCAAACAAGGAAAGTGCTGGTAAATTGATCAATGGTTGTAATACGCATACTGTTTACAAAACTAATGGGAAAGTCTCCAATGTGTCCTGTATCACCAAATTGGAACATAATGATTGTAAACACACAATGAAAGAGCTGCTTTGGAGGTTGTGTGACTTATTTGATAATATCCATCCTGTGGGAACTCCCTTGCTTGGCACCCAGTTATCTTCCCCCTTTGGCTCTGACTTTATGGTTGGGAGGTATAAGAGACAATTTGCTGCTAGGATTTCAAATTTTAAATCACAGCTCATTTACAGGAGGAATTGCTGTTTCTGTGGCTCTGCCTGCAGAGTATTCAAATATCCCATTTTATTTGAGTATCCAAATATCCCCTTCACAATTATTTCTAAAACAGTGATGATTGTATGATTATAACACAGGGAGTATGAGAATTGTATTTTACTTACAAATGGCTCTAAGAATCTTATTTTATATCATGTAAATATAACTAGCCAAATTGAAAACTTTATAAGCTATGGAGCAACTGTCAGTTGACATTCTTCATGTACAAAATTGCAATGCCTCCTAGGCATATGTGATTTTTAAACAACAGTGAGGTCATGCTTAAATTTTTCTGCAGTGTTTCTGTTGCCTGGCCATAGGAATAATTGTCATGACTCCTACTTACTGAGAGCTTCTGCTGGAGAGTACCATAGTTTCTCTTCATCCATAATCAGGGAGAATCTGATTGTCTAAGACCAGAGGCAGTATAAGTTAGTGGGTTTTGAGAGCACTCTCAGTGATGTCTTGGAGGGCTCCTCTAAAGTGTTCTGTGTTCATAGGAATTGAATATTCAGACATGGCTTGATAAGCTGATATAGGAGATTTGAAATGAAAATTGTTTTTTTTTAAAAAAAGAGGCAGTTTTCACCAGTCAGTCTGTTCATTCATCCCCTACCGGTGATGATACAATGGTGAGGGGTGTTAATGGCATTACATGGAGTCATTTGCTCGGGGGAAGTAGGTACAGTTGTGATAACTCAAATGGAAGTGATTTTGTTGACATTTTTGCACAGTTGAAGGCAAAGCAGACTTGCTGCCACTCAAAGAGGAAGAAGCTGAGGAGAACATTGCAGTGGGGGTGGGTTCAAATGCTAGGAGAAGAGAAAGAAACTCCATTTTCTATCCCTCAAATCTGTAAAATGAAACAGGTTGTGTTTCGGTTAATATTTTAAAAAATAAAATAATTTCAAAATAAAGTATTATTTTGAGGAGTCTGAGGAGAAACGTTTACATTTAATATTTTGTAGAAGAGTTTACATACATTGGCCAAAGTAGGAAAGTACTCTTCTCAGTCAACCGCCTGAGCTACCTTACATTCATCACCACAAAACATGGCTTCACCAGCACACAGAGAAAGAATGGTTGAGCTTTCCACAAAACCCCTAGGAGTTGCTATCTGTTTCTTATCGAGTATCATAGAATTTTAATCTGTTCAGCAAGGAACTATAGTAACAATGGGTACTACTGTATTATAAAAAAGATTTTTTAATAGACAAAAGACCATCACCTAAAGGACTTCCATTTCTATTGGTTGTCTGCTCACCACTCTAATTTTAAAAATAAAGAAATAAAACTGTTTTACAAAAAAAGAGTGCATCTTCATCTTGGCTATTTTAAAAAAAACATTTATCACAGCATGTTTTAAGTACCCTGACTCCTCCCCAGACTAAACATCCTGCAGTATTATGAATTTGGATATGACATAAATTTGGATACAATGTGATCAGTGGTTGGCCAGCTTTCCCCAAGCTCCTCATTTCATTAACCTAGAAAATCATTACCCCCACATTTTACTCAACTGAAGATTTTGGACTCCTCGTAATATATGATGAGTTTTTACTATATTGCTAAATTGTGTTTCAGAACTAAACACTAAAACTTAGGATGTTACATATTTCCCATTTTCCTCAAAAATATTTGGAGGGGAAGAAATAGTCATAAGGAGTGTCAGATAAAGTCATCATGATTTATAGTCATTATGATTCAGATGGGAAGAACTGGAGTGCTAGTGTTGTGTAACTGAACTGAACTCTCTCTGAAGACCTTGTTTCTATAAATGAGTGAAGGCTGGAGGGATTGGGGATGGGCATGAGAGTCCTTAATTTTTCTTTTTTCTTTTTTGAGACTGAGCCTCACTCTGTCAGCCAGGCTGGAGTGCAGTGGCGTGATCTCAGCTCACTGCAACCTCCGCCTCCTGGGTTCAAGTGATTCTTCTACTTCAGCCTCCCAAGCAGTTGGAATTACTGGCACGCGCCATCACCCGGCTAATTTTTGTATTTTTAGTAGAGACAGGTTTCACCATGTTGGCCAGGCTGGTCTTGAATTCCTGACCTCAAGTGATCCACCTACCTCAGCCTCCCAAGGTGCTGGGATTACAGGCATGAGCCACGGTGCTTAGGCCAATTTTTCTAATTAAAGGGAATTTTTTTTTTAAAATATATCTCTCCCGGATTAGTTCATCTTATTGGGAAAAATGCTCCAGCTTTCATAGTTCTTTCCCCTCCTTTTCCTCCTTCTCTTCCAGCCAAAGGCATGTGAGCAGCAAGAAATTTTGAAACCTCATGGCCTCAGAGGGTTGTGTGACACATGCTGACCTGGGGTGTTCTCTGGCCTCTCTGGTGTGTTTTATCCCCAGGGGTCTTTACAATACTCTGTAATCATGGATGCTACATACATTTGGGGCAAGTCATCCAAATATATCCAGCAGTTGTTGCCTCTGATGTCTGCGGTCCTTCCTGTGGCTTCTGGTAGTAACATCTACACTCTTCTTTAACTCAAGAATCTTCCAATATACATGCCCTCTTGGCATTTTAAAAAATCCTCCCTGGGGTGAAATTCTGGAGCTTTCCCTGACGTGGGGAACCCAGAACAGATACTCATGAGACCTCTGGGTACCTGAACACAGCTAATTGCTGTTTCTACTCAATAACAGCTAGCCCATGTCATCGCTGGTTGCCAGTTGGGAGGTGAGGCATAAATCCTATCTGCCCTTAGATTCCTCTGCCCCCAGTACCCTCCTCATCCCCAATCAAGGTTTTCATTCTAGAAGAGGGGCAGGACTAAGCCCTTCTCAGAAGCACCACATTCACCTCACAGACTCTTCTCTCATCACTCTCCAGGCTGTCATGCCCTGTGTGACAAAACATTGTCTTCAGAAAAATCATAATGAATGTCCTTTCTCTTCCACAGCTTGCAGCAAATTTCTATGCTCTATGATTTTTTTTTATATTTAAAGGGGAGCTTTAGGAATTTAGGGAAGACTTTCCCTTCTCAGGCGCAAGGCTGTTACAAGAAGCCTTTGTTTTCATGACCATCTCTAGTTAACTTCCTGTTAGTTTATTTTGTAACGTTGTTCTTGGTTGGTTCTGCTCATGCTCTCAAGTAATGGTCACTTCATCTTTGATGAGTAAAGGGCTGAGTACAGCAAAAATTACTAGAATGGAAAATTATATCCAGTGATATTTTAAAATTTTATTTATAATACAATGATTAACAACTTGTAATTATTCCCTAACAAAAGTATTTTCTTTTTCAGGGACAAGCATGATAGGCAAGTTACAAACAATGAAAGGACTATTTGGTGATAGACTGAAACCATCTTATGAAATAAGTTTAAGGAATGCAGGCTTTCTGCTTCTTAAACCATATGGGCCCAGTGGAAGAGGGGGGCATATTAATGTGTTAGCAGGTATTACATAACTAGTTACAACATGAATTTTATATGTTGGCCAAATTAGTTCATTCACATTATTCCTATTCCCTCAAGACTTCTTTTTGGAATCCAAATGTCTGGATTTAGTGACAGACAGCTGACAGCAGTAAAATTAATGTCTCACCAGGAATAACTTCATTAATCAGCTTGAAGCAGAGACCACCTTTGAGGCAACCATCTTTGCCAGCACTATAGCCTAGAAGTTCCCATTTATAATCGATATCAAGGTGAGGGTGGAAATAGCAAAAAACATTTTAATCTCTTATTTCTTAACCTCATTTTCTTTTAAAAAGTAAGCAACTCTGAGCAGCAACTTGACTTGTTATTAAAGAACCACTGATATGCTGATATATCTATGTTCTCTGATTGCTTCACAGGAGAAGTTTTTCCCTTTATAATAAAATTAAGAGACTTTAAGAGCAGTGACCATGTTATAGATGTATTGTGCATTTTGGGGAATGTCCAACCAATACTAGGCATGTTCTAAATTAATTGTTATACTCAATTGATAGATTGAGTTTTCATA
Organism: Homo sapiens; assembly: GCF_000001405.40. NCBI lineage: Eukaryota > Metazoa > Chordata > Mammalia > Primates > Hominidae > Homo > Homo sapiens. Next base: position 118,074,532 of record NC_000007.14, on the reverse strand, counting down.
ATTTCATGGTGGATACTCACAGAGGAATCATGGAAATCATTTTGCATGATACATGGAAAGTAAGACAAGATTTCCCTTCTACTTTGAACATTGATAGGCATTAGTTAAGGAGTGAGAGGACAGTTATATTCAGTGAGAAGGCTGGGGAGAGTGAATGCAGTGCATTAAGAGAGAGTATGCACATCCATTTGAATATAGATGGGACAGAACAGAATTAGAAGCTGACTGTTGGAATGTTCAAATATAGACAATAAAGAGTAGTGAGGTGACATGATGGAAGCAGGTAAGGTTCATATTTCCCACACTTCCACCTACGTGGAGGATTAATGGGGCCCCAATAGTACAAAAGAAACAAAGAAGATGCATTCTGGCTTTGGTACCAGCTTTCCTCAAGTCATTTAGAAAGACTCTGAGGTGTATTATAAGTAACTCTGATTGGCTTCTTCCTGCCTATCTTGTGTTCCTTCCCACTCCCTGTGATAGACCCTACCAATGGCTGCAGGTGTCCTGAACCATTGCTAAGACATCACCTGTCATCTCTGGTGTAGACGTTGTGGCACCCAGATCATGGTCATCTCTCCTGCTTTTAATGTACTTCTGGTGGCCATAACACTCAGCTCCTCCCTAGTCCCTTTGCTGAAGTGGGATAACTCCCACTCATATTATACTCCGTTACTTGGTCCATGAAGTAGCAGGTTCTCTCTTCTCAGAGTCTTGTTGAAAATTATTATCGCAGCCTGTTGCCCCCTGGGCTCTGACCACAAGTTGTAGGGGATAAGGAGGACACCAGAAAGCAAGGTGGATTTATACATACTAAACTGTTATATTAGTTATCTATTGTTGCATAACAAATTATCCTGAAAGTTAGAAGCTTGAAACAATAAGCATTTATTATCTCATGGTTTCTGTCAGTGAGGAATCTAGGCATGGCTTACCTGGGTCCCCTGGCTTGGGGTCCCTTCTAAGGCTCCAGTTAAGATATTAACAAGGGTTGTAGTCATCTCAACGCTCAAATGGGGAAGGATCTACTTCCAAGCTTACTCACATGGCTGTTGGCAGGGCTCGGGTCTCCTATTGACTAGACACCAGCTCCTTGCCACATTGGCCTATCATACAGTAGCTCAGAACATGACAGCTGGCTTCTCTCAGAGCAAGTGAGGAAACGAGTGAATGAGAGCAAGCAAGAGGAAAATCACTGTTTGTTTTTTGTAAATTGATCTCTGAAATGACGTCTCCTCACTTTTGTCATATTCTGTTTGTTACATGCAAACCAGTAGGTCCAGCCTACATTCAAGGGGAGGGAATTACATAAGGGTATGAATACCAGAAAGGAGAGATCACAGGGGCCATTTTAGAGGCTGCCTATCACAACTATTGAGAATTTCCCTTCTTTTCAGGTGACGGTAACCTTTGAAGATCTGAAGTTCCTTATGTAACTATCAGGCAAACTCAGACAAGTCTGAATTTGTCTAGGTGTTCACTCTCAGACCTGGTTTTACAATTTTTTTTTTTCAGAAAAGGAATCTGGCAGCAAGGTACTAGATGGATTAAAGAGAACTTGTGGTTGGAGATGTAAACCAAGGGACTATTGTAATAGTCTTTACAGGAAGTAATAAAAATATAAACCAGGATGCTGGTAGGAAACTTGAATGAAGGAGAGGGACACAAAAGAGGGCAGAAAAGCAAGAATCAAAAATACTTCATGCCAGACTGAATACTGAAAGTGGTAACAAAGGAACAACAATGCCTTGGATTCCCAGGTGCCTCCAGAGTATTGGTGACATTTATGAAAAAGGGGAAAGTTTGGAGAAAGAAAATCCAGGTTTGGGAAAAAAATGGCTAGATTTGATGTGTTAAATTGAGGTTTTATTTAAATTATGAATGAGCAAATACAGTCTCCCTAGTTTTGTTCTGGTTGGTTGGTCTGAGACATGCGAAGACATAGAAAAGAGTTCCATGACCTTGAGGATGTTATAATGTCTGGACAGTTGAACCGGTGACTGAAGCTAGAAACAGAGGTCACAATAGGAGTTTTATAGTTATTTGTCATCAATACAGAAACTCTGAGAGAAGATAAGGTAAAGAGGAAGGCTCAAAGTTGAGAGACAGGAGAAACAAGAGCCCTCAGATAATCTTTTAGATTCAAAATCACTCTGTGATTTACAACGTACTCTAACTTACATGATTTTTTCTTTGATATAGCAGTTACAGTTATATCCATGTTTTGCATGAGTACAGAAAGGATGGATCAAAGGTTAAGGAGTGACCTCCCTAAGGTCGCACAATTTGTAAATAATAAAACTGGGATTGACTGCAGATCTTTTGATGTCCTGCCCAGTGTTTTTTTCCACTCCCCTGGAACCACCATTTTAAAATATGTGGGAAAATAAAAAAAGAGAAAAGTATTTTAGCATAATATGGTGTTATGAAAAAAAAAACAGAAAGCAGAGCGGTCCGCTTGTAAAGGAGTTTATTATTAGTCACAAACATTTCAGAATATTTGCAGAGAATTACTATGAAAAAAGACCATTGATGAAAATAATGATTTCATTACTTGAGGAGTGAAACGATCTAATCTTTTACACATTCAAACAGCAGCAGATTGGGAGTGCATGGTGCAAGCTGTTAGGTCACTCTGATTCTTAGGAAGAGTAATTCTTACAAAAATGTTCTCAAAGCTCTGAGTGGTAAAGCCAGAATTGTGAACAGCATATTCAAGGAGTTACTGTAGGATTTGATGTTTTATATTATAATGGAAAAAATATCAATTATAAGGCATACACAGCAATGGAAAGTATATTTCACCAATGTTATAAGTTCAGAGTTTGAAACATATTTGTATGAGCTAAATCCATGAATATTTCCCTTTTTTTTTTTTTGGTACTTTAAGACCTAGAGTTTGTTTTGAACATTTAATCTTTTCTATGTCCTAACTCTTACACAATTCAAGATTTTTAATATTTCATTGACAAAGAAGACAGCCATTTCTTTCTTCATGGTATCAATGTTGTTTACATATTAAAGTTGTATCAGACCATAAGAAAATAAAATAGAGTTCCATGCCACTTCTAACAATGACCTAATTGGAAATATCACATAAAAAATAAGCAGGAGCATTTTCTCCTTTGGCACATAAAAACGTTGCATATAGAATTATATCTATAGTATGAAGAATTAAATGCCCAAGAGTGGCTTATGAATCAGTTTCATTAAGTCAGCATGTCCTGATTTTGAAGGAAGTATCAATATCTGGGGTTCTTTTGGCAGCAAAGTAGAGTAGTAAATTTCTTCACCCTTTCTTCTTCTATTGGCCCCTCTCTCCCTCACAGACCCACACTTCCAAATCCAGTGCAGCTCCAGGAATAAAAGGCCTCTGTCTACTGATTCCTATATGATTTTTTACATTTCATGTTATTGTAAATTAAAACATCAGTATTCTTATTTTTGAAGTGATACAAAATATTTCATGATTTAAACAACCCAAATTCTGAACCATTTATAACTTGACTTCAAAGAACATTCACTTAATTATTCAATGCATGCACAAGAGAAACCAAGGCCCAGTGTGCAAGTCTAGACCACTGCTCTGCCCGAAGAGCCAGTTAGCATCTGTGTAATGGCTTAGTGAAGCTGCTAGGCCACAATGCTGCTACGTCTAGTCAGACACTTGCCAAGTGAGTGGATTATCAACATGACAGTGATGACATGAGCACAACCAGAGCTGCATGGCCGTTCCACCTGCCTGCAGGGAAACTAACGAAGATGAAGAGGTGCAGAAATGCTTCATCTGAAAGAAAATCTCCAGTTTGCTGTTGATAGAAAGATTGCAGTCCTTGCAGCAAAAGGGAAATAAAACAGCTCTTCTAATTAAAAAAGAACCAAAACAACAAGCAAAAATGAAACTAACCAACCAATCAAACAAAAATCCCTGAAAGGTTTTTTTTTTATACCTTAAGTTCTGGGATACATGTGCAGAACGTGCAGGTTCTTTACGTAGGTATACACGTGCCGTGGTGTTTGCTGCACCCATCAACCCGTCATCTACATTAGCTATTTCTCCTAATGTTATCCCTCCCCTAGTCCCCCATCCCCCAACAGGCCCCGGTGTGTGATGTTCCCCTCCCTGTGTCCATGTGTTCTTATTGTTCAACTGCCACCTATGAATGAGAACATGCAGTGTTTGGTTTTCTGTTCTTGTTTTAGTTTGCTGAAAATGATGGTTTCCAGCTGCATCTATGTCCCTACAAAGGACATGAACTCATCCTTTTTATGGTTGCATAGTATTCCATGGTGTATATGTGCCATATATTCTTTTTCCAGTCTATCATTGATAGGCATTTGGGTTGGTTCCAAGTTTTTGCTATTGTGAACAGTGCCACAATAAACATATGTGTGCATGTGTCTTTATAGTAAAATGATTTATAATCCTTTGTATATATACCCAGTAATGGGATTGCTGGGTCAAATGGTATTTCTGGTCCTAAATCCCTGGGGAATCACCACACTGTCTTTCACAATGGTTGAACTAATTTACACTCCCACCAACAGTATAAAAGCGTTCCTATTTCTCCATATCCTCTCCAGCATCTGTTGTTTCTGGACTTTTTAATGATCGCCATTCTAACTGGCATGAGATAATATCTTATTGTGGCTTTGATTTGCATTTCTGATAGGATTAATTAAACAAATCTGAGAACAATATTTGGATGCAGCTTATTTTAAACTCTTCCCTATTTCTCCCCTCTCCTACCTCTTTACCTTTTTCACTGTTTTCTCTCCTGCCCCCTCATCTTCTCTCTTTCTCCTGAATTCTCCTCTCCTTCCTTCCCTTCCTCCCCTGCAGACCTTCCTATCCTTCAATGTCTAATTCCCACAACCAACTAATTTTGGGGTGTAGCCTCTCAGAAGGGAGAGTTGGTGGGTGGGGGGCAGACTCCGAATCAAGACCTCAACTATGGACTCTGTCCCATGAGGGTAAGAATCCTAAGCTGCTCCTGGCAGCTAGCAAGGAGAAAGTTTACAGATTTTCTATTCTCTCTGAACTCATTTACAGCAAAGTTGAACAAATGGTAAACAAAAGGTTTTCTGGAGAATTATAAACTATTGTAAAATATAAATATAAAATATTAGACAATGCTATAAAGGTGGAATGCTTCATTTCTAATTTGTTTTTGTAAATGGATTGTTAGTATAAGGAATATTCTTTAGACAGCTTTTCTTAAAAAATTGAAGTCTTATAGAATATGGAAGTGATCAAAAGCATTAACATAAAATTTAATTATGAATATTTTGTAGGAAATAATTCAAAATGTCAAAAGTATTTTTAGTACAGCGTTTTTAGTATAGTACAAAATGTGTTACAGAAATGTGTAAAAATGGAGCTGTAGATCCATAAATCATGGTGTATACATACAATGAAATCTTGTGCAGCTTCTAAAAATGATTCTTTCCAAGTTTTCAATGAAAAATGGAGGTGCCTAAGTAGGAAGAAAAAAGTGTGGATACATTATACAGCCAGCTAAAAAATGTCATTAATCTACATGTATTGATCTGCAGCCATCTTCAAGACAGATGATGTAACAAGATTTTCATACTCACAAGCTTTGTTGAGCAAAAATATAATTTTACTTTTTTCATTGCTTGCTATAATATCTGACTCTTATTTCCAGTTAGAGTTGAGGAAGATATAATCTAGTCATTTCTAGGTAGCCTCCAATAAAGGCAGTGATTTCTTAGTCATTTCAAAATTTAGACCCAAGCAAATCAAGTAACTGGAGGCTAAAACTCTGCCATGGCTAACCCTGAAATACCTAGATGTCTTCACCACTGTACTTGCTGCCAGGCCCATGTCCATTCTCTCATGCACTCACTTCTATGTCCAAATCTCACTGTGGGTTCATCTGATTGCCAAATTAAGCTACACACCTGCCCAATTTCAAGGGGATCTCAGAATATAATTTGTTGTTTTGTTTTACTTTCCAGCATTTCTGGTAAGGAATGGAACCCATAAGAGGTTGGAACCATTTGGTAATAGAACCATAAGTGACTTCAGCATCATTTCAATTAAAATGGCCAGAATGGTCTACTGTTTGCAGTTACCCAAAGTGTACCAGCCCCTTGTTACCTAATAATTGATATTAATGATCAAATCTGATTATTCAACTGACTGCAAAAAGAATGACTTTAGTATATTTCCCTTTCCAAATATGTCAGATTTACTCCTGTGGAATTATAAATCATTCGTAGAATGATAACATTTGTCAAATGACAAGCTTTCATTTAGCAATCATCAGTATCCACTAAGCACCATGTGCAAGACATAAAACAGAAATGAATCATGCCTTATATTTGTACAATGTTTAGATTTTATAGAATACACCTGTATGTTTTCTTACTGGATCCTAAAAATAAGTTTGTGAAGTGAACTGAGTTTGGATCCCATTTTATAGATGAGGAAACTAAGAAGAGTCAGAGTTGAACCACTTGCCCTAAGTCAAATTGCTAATAAATGATGAAATTGAGGCCAGGAATTAGTTGTTTGTACATTGAGTACTGTTTCCAATATACCACATCATCACACTTTCTATTGACTCTGTAAAGAGGTTTTGTTAGGGACACAAGAAATCCTAGGGAATGGGAAGGAGTTATCCCTGGAGTGAGGAAGATGAAGGAGGGCACCTTTTAAAAAGAGAAGCCAGTGGAGCTGAGTGCTATGCTTTCACCAATGTCCCAACATGCCCAAGACCAGCTCTGCTGGCTCCCGCTGTGAGTAGGTACATTTCCAGCTTAGGCTCTGTTCTTTCTTTTATTCTGTTCGTTTTTATGTCTCTCTGGCCAAAAGTAGCCTGATTGTTAGGAAAAAAAAAGTTACAAGATGCAAATATGAGATCCCACAAGATCCCACTTTCAAAAAGCAATGCTTATAAAAAGCTGTGGAACATTGGCCCTGGTGAGGGTGCTTTTCTTCGTTTTCAGAGTAACTCAGCTACCTTCTACCTCTGGGATCTGCAAACACAGCATTGTCTTTAAAGCCAAGGATGTCTTTGGAGTGTGTTGAAAGGATGATAAAGACTGTAAACACCAGCCCTCTAATTCTGAGGACCTAAAAATTACAGTTTCCCTGCTAATATTTGTATTTTAATGTTTGTCACAGAGGTTGGGAATAATTCCAGAAGGCTTGATTAGATTTAAAGACAGCAGGCTTTCTGAAATCACAAGTGAGGAGTGGGTGGGAAAAATAGAGGTAAAGAGAACAAGACTGCCTTTGCAGCATAGTGTAAGCCAAAAGAGAAACGCAATGCACCTCTTTTGCCCAGTTTTCTATAGAAGCCCAACATCCAATGTCAGCAAAGGAAAGGAACAAAGGGATGAAAACAAGAAACACCCATCTCTTTCACAGTAGAAAGGAATGAAGAGACACATTATGTTAATAATTTTAACTGTGTTCTGTCAATCTGAAGATAGAAAGGCAATTGACCTGCTTAGAAAATCCTCCCGCTTCTCTTGATTGAGCACAGGTGGTAGTGGTGGTTCTTCCCATGCATTTGGTTTGGGAACATGTTTTCACATCGGCAGTTACTAAGTTTAGTCAGCACATTGTGACAGCGAAGCCAAAGTCGTGGGTTTGGTTGGTTACTTGTTTATTCATTTACACCTTGTCTTGTTCCAAAAATGGTGTGAGGTGGCAGTATCCAATAATGAGTTGTGCTTTGTGCCTCGTTCATATCTAGTGAGTTATTAAAAGCACAAGTGATCATTTCAAAGGACACTTGGGTGAATAGAAGGGTACAGATATCACTATGATTAGGAAAATAAGCCAGATTTTTAAAAATTAAACTAATAGTAGGTCTGTAGCAGTTTCAGCAATGGATGAAGGACAGCAAACTTTAGTTAAATGTAATAAACAGTGTGCTGTACTCTGAGGCATCATGAAGGCCTGCTGAGACCAAACTACCCCAGAAGTGTACTCCTGTGAGCCTCAGCCTCAGAGAATTTTAACCCAAACCAGTGTCTCTTAAACCAGAAAAATTATGGTATAGAGACACTGGATGTGTCACTAAGGCCTGAAGTAGATTTTTGTATAACTACTGATAATTCTACTCAAGCTAATTTTAATTTCATACTAAATCAGGATCTCTCTCTGAGGTTCAAGAACAAAACATTTATTATGGCAGAATTGGAAAATGGTTAAAAGTGAAGTCTCTATCTTTAGAGAGATGAGATTGAGGACTGCTGCCACCATTTTCTACTAGTTGTATGGACTTAGACAAGTCACTTAAATTCCCAGTGCCTCCATTTCCTCATTTGAAAATGCGATAGTAAGAGTACCTGCTTCATTGCCTTGTTGTATCAAATGAAACAACACTTATAAAATGCTCAGAAAATTGTAAACACTTGTTGATGTTGACTATTTTTACCATGCGCCTCATACTGTCTTGGGCCTTACAGATGCCAAGATGACTAAATACAAAATACTCAACAAGCTGGTAACATGGTGTAGACAGATGGTACATAAGTTACTACAATTGAATGAGGAAAGTGCAATAATGAAAGAATATACAAAGAGTTTTCATAGTCCTGAGAAGGAAGATGCTAATCAACCCGGGGTAGTTGGACAAGGTTTCTAGCAGTTGTGTATTTGAACTTGCAATCTGGGGAGTTGTTTTCTGTGTCCAGTGAATGGAGGGACACATAGAATTCTAGGCTATTTCTTGCCTAGTTGGTTGCTAGCATGCCAGTCTAAGTGATCATCATTTTCACTACACTATTTCATTAGACTTCTAACTGGCCTCCCTGCTTTGATTTTTGTGCCTGTACAATCAATTTTTCATACAGCAGCCAACAGGAGCCTCTAAATCCACAAATCAGCCCATGATACACCCTGCTCTCGATACTCCAATAATTTTCCACCACACTGGGTAGAAAATTCCTAACACCGCAATGCCCTATACAGTATGACACTTCCTTACCTCTCCAACCTAATTTCCTGTAAATTTCCTTCTCTGTTGCTGGCTTCAGCTACACTGAGCTCCTTCATGAGCCTGACAAACTTGCTTTGCTTTCAGGGCATTTTTTTCTAATGTGGAACATTTATCCTATAAATATTCATATAGCTGTCTTCCTCACTTCATTCAAGTCTCTGCTCAAAGTCAGCAGCTTTAAATGACACAATATGCCTGTTATCAACCTATGCTTCTTCCTTTGGTTTCGCTTGTTTTTTGTTATTATTGTTTTGCACACCTCTAGAAAGTTTCCAGCATGAGATGATGCTTGAGTTGCATCTTTAAGAATGGGTTAGCAGGTGAGAAAGGGAGAGAAGATAATCCTAGGTCAAAGGACCAGCATGTGAAAAGGCTCGGCAGCAAGAAGCAGAATGCCACCTTGGGGAAATGCAGGTGGTTCAGCTAGCACAAAAGGTGCTGTGCAGGTGACTGAGTGAAAGGAAGCTGGGGAGGAAGACAGGACCATTTGGTGAACATGCAAATGTGGATGCCTATAGGTCCTGCTTCTCTTGCCCATGTCTTCCAGCACCACATCCTTCTTTATGAGGTGCTAGTCTCATATTTCATGTCTTACAACAGTGTTTCTCAACTTCTTTTTCATATCATTCCCCTGAGTTTATTTAAACATTTTTTCCTAATGCCACTTTCTATGAAATTTTAATACCACAGATATGCCGTGTATCTATTTATGTACTGTATGTATATCTGCACTTTCTACATTGAAATGATAAGATTTTTCATCTCCTCTAGAGAGCCAGTTTTCACTCCCGTTGAGAATACATGTCTTGCATGTCTTACAGATTTTACTGACAGCATTGTTACGTTTCTTTCTCCCTTTCTCGCTCTGTCTCTCTCTGTCTCTTTCTTTCTCTTTCTTGATTTCCCTTGGACATACAGTTTCCAAGGAGCATCTGAATATCACAGAAAATCATAGCATCACAAGAACTGAGCCACTTTTGCATTTAAATTCACATAAATCATGGTATGACTTTTCTTTTGCTACTGTAAAAGGTTAATGGTACTTTGCTAATTCTGTCCCATCTCCCATACATGGAACTTATTCTGTATCAATGCTTCTTAAGTGGCATTTGGGACTCTGAAACATTCTGAATGATAACAGATACCAGGCTCTTAAAGTTCTACCTTCAGTAGTTATTCAATCATTCGGAGGTTAGTCACCCTTAAAGTCACCCTCTGCTCCCACTCAGGACAGAGCTGAAGATGCATGGCACAGGAGGAAAGCAAAAAGGACTGGGAGAAACTAGCCTCAATACCACACTGTCCATGCAGCAAAGTTTGTGTATTTCTTTTACACCAATTGTTTACACAATATTTATTTACATTTAATGCACACACAATCCTATTAAGATTGGTAATCTAAATTCATGATTGAGTTGAGGTGGCAAAATAGAAAAGAGAACAAAGGGCTGATGCAGGCAAGCATGTGACAATGAAAAGTGGGGGATGATGACAACCTGAAAAATAAAATACAGAAATGCTGTGAAAAATCACATCTAATAATATAAAACACATCAGTCTAAGGCCAGTTTGTATAGGTGCAAATGTTCCCAGGGATGTTAATACACAGAGCTTTACTGGTATTTATAATGGTATTCCTAAATGATCACCATATTACCTCTAATTTAGGAATATAGACAATGTGAAACTTATTTTCGTAAATTTACAATGAAAATGGTTAAAATGAAGTACACCGCTTAAAGGAATAATGCTTCATCTAACTGGATAATTTTGTTATCTGTAAAGACTTATGCAAATAGATGGATGGTAATCAAAGCTCCCATGAGACAAAATATAGACCTTGTTCATTTTGAATAATGACTTATAGTATGTGTGAGTCTCAAATGAAAAGTTTAAAAGTTATTTGGTTTACATAATCCATTATCACAAGTAGCTATTACATGGGTCAGCACATGCTGTGATGAAAGCTGTCAGTAATTCTCTTAGTAGTGATATTGGAAACTAAATGTGTACAGAGATTTACTTATATCGATATATGTAGATGAGTTGACTCAGTGATTGAGCAATGTAATGTGGCTAGCAGAATTGTGTTCAGGGTAAGCACTTTATCAAGAAGAATGTTGCCCGCAAAGATATTAAGCCATTAGGATAAATTCATTTCCAATTAATACCTGAGCTTCACTGAGAAAAAAAAAAGCAATGCCTTAGTGGCAGGGGGATTAGCCAGGCGTGGTGGTGGGCACCTGTAATCTGGACTACTCCAGAGGCTGAGGCAGGAGAATTGCTTGAACCCAGGAGGCAGAAGTTGCAGTGAGCCAAGATCATGCCACTGCACTCCAACCTGGGTGACAGAGTGAGACTCCATCTCAAAAAACAAAACAAAACAAAACAAAAAACTGTCGTCCCTAACATAGAGCAACATGGTAAACACCCTCAGTGGGCCTCAGGGTCTCAGGGAGAGTAATTGTAGCTGGAGAAAAGGGAACAGACCTAAAGGGAAAAATGAAATGCTATTGGTTCTTCTTGCCCACTCTTTGAAAGCTGCTGCTTTCCTCACCAGCCTGCTTACTAGACATGATAGACATGAGACTCAGAAAGTTCTGAAGAGCTTCTTTATTTGGAGGAGATTAAAATGAAACTTTAGCCAGACATGATGGTGCATACCTACAGACCAGCTGCTTGATAGGCTGAGGCAGGACGATTCCTTGAGCCCAGGAGTTTAAGGCTGTAGTGTGCTATAATTATGCCTGTGACTAGCCACTACACTCCAGCCTGGAGAATATAGAAAGACCCTGTCTTCAAAAAAATAAATAAATAAAAGAAAGAAAACTTTGAGGAGAGGATGTTTGGCAATCCAACATAAAACCTTGACAAAGACTGGCCTAAAACTTACAATCATGTTGTATTAACAAGAGACAAATTCACACTGGTCAGGCTAATTGCCCTGACCATTTCCTTTATTTCTATTTTGCTATAATCTTTCTAAATTGTAATTTTTGGAAGAACGTCCAAACTTCAAAATTTTTTAAATCTTGGAGAGTCATTCCTGTGTAGACAATCCTTGAATTCCAAGCAGTGAATTTTAAGAGGTAATTTCATGAGTTAATGTTTTGAAAATACAGAATTTGAGGCTCTGCTCATTTTCCTTAAAACTTTCTTCTCCCTGAGTTATATGGCACCAATTTCTGGTTCTCTCCTCCCTCCCTGACTATTCCTACTGCTTACATTCACAAGTTCCTCATCAGAGCCCACCTGTGGATTTCCCATCTTTATATCTTTGGCAGTTCCTCTCTTCTTACTCTAAATACTCTGTCTTGGCAGTTCAACTTTATGTTATTGATTGGACTCTTTTCCATATTCTATGAGTATTCTATACAAAAAGAGAAAAAGCTTTCCCAAGAGTATTCCTTATACTAACAATCACCAGTTATAAGAGAATCTAGAAATGAAATGTTCCCCTGTATGACATTCTGTAAGATAGAAACTCTACAATAGTTTCTATTTATATTTATATGTGTACAGAAAGCATTTAATTCACCCTTCTTTTGACTCTGCTGTAAATGAGTTCAGAGACAATAGAGAACCTTTAAAATCTCTCTGTCATGATTGATGACCACCTAAGGTCTCATATACAAGTTACTCTTGGGGTATACCGTAGTAGAACCACATGACAAAGCCATCTGGTCTTTATTTAGATAATACTTTATTACTTTTAAAATTCAGAATCTATCTTATTTTTCTTGATCTCAGAAACCAAAGACTTAAAATACTAAAATTTATAAAACTTTTACAAAATAAAATAAAAATATATAAATGTTTAAAAATAGAAGCTCCGTGGTTGAACTAGGAAGGTGCAGACTTTTCTTATCTGCTTACAAAGACAGCCCAGATGGTGGCTCAGTGCCTGGGTCCTGGCGACTCATGGGATTGGGGCCTCCTAGACCTGCCCACCTTCGCCACCCTGGGTGATTTCCTATCAAACGCTGGACTTGCTTATCTTTCAAGTACCAAGGCCCCAAATCCAAACTGGGAAGGAAAAGATTGGCACTTGGTGGCTGCTGGGACCAGATCGGAATTTCTGTCCCCACCAGATTCCTGGGAATCAGAGCCCACAGTTCGTCCTCTCACACAATCCACCCCTGGAGGGGATTTAACCCAACTTCATCCACACCCACCACCTTACATTAGTTACTTGCGGGAAGTAGAGACTGGAAGTGGGGAGAGGAGGTGTGAGGAGGGAAGAGCAAAGATGAGGGGGCAGGAGAGAAAAAAAATTCAAGAAGGCTAAAAACATGAGAGAGGGAAAAAGGGAAGGACTATGAAGAAGAATCCCATCTCTGGTTTAATAACTTTGAAGATTCTTTATAAACAGTTTTTGGATTTCTTGTTTGGTTGGTTGGTGAGTTTGGATTTGTGTTGGTTGGTTGATTTCATTTCATTTTAAATGTTAACAGTTGTTTTATTTCGTTTTGTGGCAAGGACTGCAGGAAGCATTTCCTGAAGCCCTGTCTAATGAGATGTCCTTATCTGTGCCCCACTGGAGTGTGCCCCTAACACTACTGTGGCACTTACAGCTCTCTGTTCTGCCATGTTTGTTGTCAGTTTAAACCACCAGGAAAGCAAGGGCTGATCTGTCATATGTGTGTGGGTGTGTGTGTGTGGGTGTGTGTGTGTGTATGTGTGTGTTTGCTTTTTGTTTTTTATGTCATGCATTCACCAGAAAATATCTTTTCTGCAATGTAGAACCTGCCCATAGAAATACTCAATACATAATATGTGAAGAATGAGAGGAAAGTACAAATATCTGGGAGTGTGTTTATTATTATTATGGCTCAATGAAAGACATGCTCAAATTATATCTCTTTGGTCTTCCCTTTGAAACACTCCCTAATTGATAACATATTTGGCTATCCCCTCTACTAGGTTGTGAATACTTTAAAACTGGAGAATTTTTTAAACATTAGCAGAACATCTGGGTAGTTGTGAAAACTGATTTTGGCTGAATTTGCAACTGTAGGGTCTCTTTGCTTTGTTCAAGAGTGTTTGTTCCCGTATGGTTGCGCTTGCATCTAACTTCTACCAAACCTAAATAACAAGGAATTTTACCTATAGCAACCTTTCTTATTCCCCCTCCAAAACCTAGAAACCTAAACACCAATCTTTTCTCCTTATTTTCAGCTTATTTCCAATCTTTCCTTCTTATTAAGCCCATTCCTGAGCCTTGGCATTTATTAGTTTCTCATGCTAAACATTTTAATCCATATATAACTTTGCTTATGTCTATAAGTTATGTCATCCTCTAATTCATTCGTGTATGCACACATTCATTCATGTGTTCAATAAATATTAAGGAGTTGTCTTGGCACCAATAGAGATAAAACTAATGGTTTCTGTTCTCAAGAAGTTTACTATGGGGAAATAGTCAGATACGCAGCGCATTACAGTACAATACCCTAAATGATATTAATATTTATTAAGTCAAGTGGTTTCAGAGCTCCTACTTTGTCCAGACACTGTGCAAAATAGAAGTTATGAATAGATTTCATGCAGAGGGGGCATTTAAATGGGGGTAGAGGGAGTCTTCAGAAGAGGTCCTCCCCATGTGTGGTCCTAAATGATAAGGAGGCTTTAATTAGAAAGGTTGGGACAGGGGAGCAGGGGAGGGATGGGCATATTCCAAACAAAGAGAGCAGCACCTGAAAAGTTTTAGAAGCAGGAAAAATCTGCTGGGGCATTGCAAGCTCTTGGCTGTGGCTGGCCCTTAGACAAGTAGGAACTGAGTTCTGGGTCTGTCATAGCAGCATTTCTTCAAATGTTTGTTGAATGAAGAAATAGAGCAAAATGGGGCTAGAGAGGCAAGCAAGAATGAAGACTTGCAAAGCCTCATAAGCAATGCTAAGGAGTTTTGACTTCATCTTGACAATTATAGGGGTCCATTGAAAAGAATGGTAGCATGGGTGGAGCTGGAACTGGGGGTAAGAAAGAGATGTTATCAAACTTATATTTTAATTTCTTACTTTGTTGTTACTGTCAAGAATGATATAGGCAAGGGTGGAGTCAGGGAGCCCATGAATGAGGTTACTGCTGTAATCTAGATTTTAGTAACCCAAAATGTGGTCCTAGAACAAGAGCATCATTTGAATCGCCCTGGAACTTGTTAGAAACGTAGAATCTTGGACCATAGCCAGACCTGATGAGTCAGATTCTGCATTTTAATAAGTTCATCTAGTGATTCAAATTCATATTAAAGTTTGAGATGCATGGGTCTAGACTTTATCATGTTAGTGGTAGGAGGGTAGGAAGAATGGAAAGATTTGAGAGGTATGTCACTGTAACACTTGACCAGACTTTGGGAATTAATGATGAGGAGAGGAAGATGGGTGGGCAAATATGATAACTCTAAGTGAAGAAAAATGGTTAGGGAGAGAGCTGATATTAATAATCTCTTGGGCCTATACTTTTTCAAATTGATTTGCAATCTATACATAGTAGTAGTAAAATTGATATATAGCTAATCTCTACTCTAAAAACTACAGCCAGGGGAATGTTTAGAATGGTAACATAGGAAGTATCATGGAACCAAAAGATGTCAGCTCAGTAGGGTAGCATTTTTTAGATTACACCTACCTCAAAACGTCTCTCTTCATGGCAACATATCTGGGGCTGAAATAATACTTTGTCTTAGTTCATCTCAGCAAGAGACAGGCAGATCAGAGAGGGAGAAAGAAATCAGAAAAAAAGAAATAGACCAATCAAAGCCTTTTCAAAGCCATAGGTACAGCCACCATTTTTTGGAGTATGTTGGAGAAAAGTGAATTTCCTCGTACATAAAGTTGACACAAATCCTAAATCTAAGGTAATTTCTCCTTAAAAACTGAAGGGAATTGATAAGATACCTAATGCCTACTATGTGCTCATCACTACCAAGTCACTGTATGTATTTAATCTCATTTATTTCGCTTAACAATCCTGTAAGATAGGAATTCCCCTCCCTCCTTACAGTTAAGGAGCTGACTATAATAAGTGTGCAGGTGTTTGCCCAAGGCAGATCAGCCAATGGAACTTCAACCCCAGATTTCAACCCAGGGAGTGCAGCCTTCCCTACCATGTCACATTGCCTTTTAAAACAAATAACTCTGCATTTGACAAAACAGAAAAACAAAAATGAAACAAAACACTTACAAAGAACAAACATTCCAGCAGAGGCAAAGCAGGACATAGATGCTACGTGCAGAGGGACACATCACATCCAGCCCAAGACAAGAAGAAGATGCAACCAGACACAGTCAGAAACATTCCCCTTAGCCACAGAACTGCAAATGTCATCAGTTCCTAGGAGAGCAAAGGTTAGAAAAGTTAACGCTAGATCCATAATGCATATTATTTGAACTTATATATAATTGTATTTTATTAGTTATATGTCACTATCATTGCCTTGTACATTGTTAGTCTCAACATTTCCTTTTGTAGTCTTTGTATTATCTCAATGTAACAAGATGCTTTTAATTTAATTAAAGCAGGTGAATTCAGTTGACAATTATAGCCAGGAATTTGGAGACAGACAAAAGTAGAATGATGCTTTCACAGGGCTAATTCTTGTCTATGCTGGAATTTACAAATTCACTCAAATTTTGAGCACATTTTAGGGCAAGGCATTGTGGAAGATACAAAAATCAATAAGCTGTAGGTTCTGCCATCAAAGACCTAGTGATCTAGGATGGGAGATAGGGTATGTTTAGTAATGACAACAGTGAAAGAATAGGTTAAGTACCAAATGCAAGACAGAGATAAAAGAAAAATGAGAGTTTTCATTATTAAGACTGTGTTACAAGCTTTCCCAAGACTTAGTGGTATGCAATACCCACTTACTATTCTGTGGCTCAGGAATGACGACAGGGTACAGCAGGTACAGTTTGTCTCTGGTTCGTGATGTCTGGGGCCTCAGCTGGATGACTCAAAGTCTGAGGTCTGGAGTCATCTGAAGTCTTGTTTGTTTGCATGTCTGGCAGTTGAGGGTGACTAGGTTCAAAGGGCTGGTGGGCTGGAATCGCTGAGGCTCCTCAGGCATCTCACCCTGTCTTTTTGTGTGCTCTTCACCTGTTTCCTCCATCTTGGCGTGTGTCTGGAGAGAGTGCCTAGCGAAAGCTGTATGACTTCATGCAGCCTTTCTTTATAGTATGACTTTATAGTAACATCTACCACATTCTATTCTTTAGCATCAATTCACTAAGGCTAGCCCATGTTTAAAGGGAAGAGAATTAGACTCCACCTTTTTTGGGAGTAGTAGGAAAGAATTTGCAGGCATGTTGAAAACCACCACACTGGGGGATCAGAAAAGCTCCTTGAAAGTACTACCAGTTGATCTGGGTATTGAAAGATGAATGTAATTTGAATAAGCAGAGGTGAGATAAGTGGAAGTAAACACGGGGATCTACCTCATCAGCAGGTGAGCAATGCGCGAAAAGAAAGACTAGTTAGTCTTTCTGCAAGTGTAGGAAATGAGGCTGAAACCATAGATGAGAGCAAGCTGTGGCAAGATGTAAATGCCAAGCTAAGGAGCTTGGATTCGAGTCACCTGGGAATGGAAAACTATTACAGTAGTGGTTTTCAACCTTGGCTACCATTGGAATCATCTGGGGAGCTATAAAAACACTAAGGCCTGAGTCCTACCCCCAGAGATTCTAACTTAATTGTTCTGAAATATGGCCTAAGCAGCAGGACTTTCGAAGGCTTCACAGGTGAATCTAATCTTGGCCAAGGTCGAGAACTGCTCCACCCAAGGATTTTGAGGAGAGGAGTGACATTATCCGAGATCATTTGGAACTTTCTCTGGAAAACCAGTAAGTAGTTTACAGCAGAGCTGTTTTCATTTGTCTGTTTGTCAATAAAGCCAGACTCCTGAAGGCTCTTATGGCAGTTTGAATGAGGTGACCCGGGGGGTCAATAATTCTGAATTCACTAAAATGTAGGCTTCTCCTTTTAAATATTAGATATTATAGTTTTAATGTAATCTTGAAGAAAAAAACCTACTAGTGCGTTGCACTTCTCCAGAAGCCAGCACTTCTGAGCAGCTCACTCCATCACCAGGACCCTGGCAGATCTTCTTAGCCGTGAAAACGAAGTGCTCATTCAGTAAACTTTATACCACCCCATTGTATCACTCATCTCAGGGTTTTTAGGAATTCTAATATCCTCAGGCCTTTTTTTTTTTTTTTTTTTTTTTTGAGACGGAGCCTCGCTCTGTCGCCCAGACTGGAGTGCAGTGGCGCGATCTCGGCTCACTGCAGGCTCCGCCCCCCGGGGTTCACGTCATTCTCCTGCCTCAGCCTCCCGCGTAGCTGGGACTACAGGCACCCGCCACCTCACCTGGCTAATTTTTTGTATTTTTAGTAGAGACGGGGTTTCACTGTGTTAGCCAGGATGGTCTCGATCTCCTGACCTCGTGATCTGCCTGCCTCGGCCTCCCAAAGTGCTGGGATTACAGGCGTGAGCCACCACGCCCAGCCTCCTCAGGCATTTTTTAAAGCCATCAGAATCCTCACATTTTCCCCTCTGTATTAGGGTTATCCAGGGAAACATTTATTATGAGGAATTGGCTCACGTAATTATGGAGGCTGAGAAGTCCCATGATCTGCCATCTGCAAGCTGGTGACTCAGGAAAGCCAGTGGTGTCATTCAGTCCAAGTTCAAAGGCCTGATAACTAAGGGAGATGATGACATACATCTCAGTCCGAGGGTCTATGAGATGATGAGATGATGATGAGATGTCCCAGCTCAAGTCTTTTGTTCAATTCAGGCCCTCAGTGGATTCATTGGATGATGCCCACCCACATTTGGGAGGGCAATCTACTTTACTGAGCCCACTGAGTCGAATGCTAATCATGTCCAGAAGCATGCTCACAGACACATCCAGAAATGTTTAATCCGGACATGCAGCGGTCAGTCATGCTGACATATAAAATTAACCACCATACCCACCTACCTTACAATCTAGCTCCACATTCTAAGAATAAAAGGTAACTGTACTAAGGTACCCACAGAAGAGATGCCTAGTGGCATAAAGTAAGTATATTCTTAAAAGACTGCAAATTGGAAAGCTGATAAATGGAAACTTCAGACACTGAACTCAAGAACCATCAATGTAATATTGTGTCATCCTGATATTCTACATCTCAGTGGTATAGAGGATATTATTTCACACCTTATGTATAAACGTCAATTTGTGGTTAATATACTTTCAAGTGTGTTATATTTATTATTCAACAATTCTCTAAGGAAAGTCTTACTATCCTTATTTCACAGATGAGGAAAATTTAGATTTATAAGGATGTAACTTGGTCAACATCATAAAGGTAAGTAGGTGGCCGAATGAAATTTGAGTACAGCTCTTCTGACTTTAGTGTTCTTTGTAACATAGCATACTTTCTGTTTTGAGAGAATTGGAACATAATTTTTTTTACCATTATAGCAATCTCAGAAATGTAGTGACACATGTAGTGAAGTGTAGTGAAAACATTCTTGTTTTCTTTAATATGTTTTTTAGATTATATTAAATCCTATTAAAGTTTCATATACATTTTCAACACATCTACTTTATAAAGTAATGAGATATATACATTTACTGTGTGCTTTTGTAAGTTCTTTTTATTTGACCTATATTTATGTCTTTTAAATTTCAAAAAATACCTTGTATTTATTACACACTGAATTTTGGGGGAGAGAAAATCCATCTGTGTTATGTGCCAGTAGCTGTGATGAGTAAATCTGTAAGGCTTTTCCAGAATGACTCTCTTCCTGGAGATAAAATGACAATAAATTCATGAGACAGTTCCGGTGAGGCTAAAGCTGGTGTGGACAAGGAGTTGTTAAGGATTTCTGTCTGATATTCACCCTTACTATACTCATCTCTTAGCCTTCTTGATTGTCAAGTTAATGCCTTCAGTAAATGGTCTTCAACGCATTTTAGATGATTTTCTTATAAGAAATTAATAGGTCAAACATACCTTCTTGTAAATCATAATTTTAAAATTTTACAAGTGTAATTTTTATTTAATCCTTGATGAGTAATCTTACATTTTCCCATATTAAAACTATTTTGTCACTTTACCCACTGACAACACCTTGTGCTATCTAGTGGCCCAAATCCAGAAAAACCTGTTGTTCTTTTAATTGCTAGAGCATGATTATCTGCTCCACTTATTTTATTTTTAATTTTTTATTTTATTTTACTTTATTTATTTATTTATTTATTTATTTATTTATTTATTTATTTATTTATTGAGATGGAGTTTCACTCTTGTTGCCCAGGCTGGAGTGCAATGGCATGATCTTGGCTCCCTGCAACCTCCGCCTCTGGAGTTCAAGTGATTCTTCTGCCTCAGCCTCCCAAGTAGCTGGGATCACAGGTGCATGCCACCATGCCCGGCTAATTTTGTATTTTTAGTAGAGATGGGATTTCACTATGTTGGATAGGCTGGTCTTGAACTCCCGACCTCAGGTGATCCACCTGCCTCGTTCTCCCAAAGTGCTGGGATTACAGGTGTGAGCCACCATGCCAGGCCTGCTCCACTTATTTTATACTGACCTTATGTTGCTAACTACTTTTACTCATCTCTTGTTGAAGGTACTCTGTCATTCCTGCTAGATCTCAATCTTATTATAAAGGACCATGTCAGTCCGGGCGTGGTGGCTCATGCCTGTAATCCCAGCACTTTGGGAGGCCGAGGCAGGTGAACCACGAAGTCAGAAGTTCAAGACCAGCCTGGCTAACATGGAGAAACCCCGTCTCTACTAAAAATACAAAAATAAAAACTCGCTGGGTGTGGTGGCAGGTGCCTGTAATCTCAGCTACCTGGGAGGCTGAGGCAGGAGACTCGCTTGAACCCAGGAGGCAGAGGTTGCAGTGAAACGAGATCACACCACCGCACTCCAGCCTGGGTGACAGTGTGAGACTCTGTCTCAAAAATAAATAAAAAAGTACTGTGTCTTGGCTTTCTCTCTGTCCTCAGCATCTGGCTCAGTGCCCAGCACACAATCATCACCCAGTGAAAGCTTATTGGTGGTGATCTTACATAATACCATGAGAATCACTTAAATATTATTGACTGCATATTATTTGAGAGATGTATTGTCTGAATGTGTTGACAAGAGCACCATTTCTTCATTCATAAGGAAATCAGCCTTGCAACTTTAAACACTAGCTAATGGATGTCCAGAAGTTGAGTCTATTGAATATTTGCTCTGGACATGAAATGGTTTTAGTAATTGTCAAAATGACCAGTACAAATTACCTAGTAGATTTCACAGAACTTACGTGTTTTTTAATCTTGGAGGTATTAAATGTCACCAAGATCCCTAACTGTAAGTCTGCTTCTATGTTAGTAAAAGGAAATATAAAATAAAAATAGGTTACATTCATAGAATATTTTACATATACTTATTTAATATTTACAACAACCCTTGGAGGTAGGTAATAATATTATTGCCATTTTATAGATGAAGACACAGGATACAGAATGGTTAGGTAACTTGCTCAAGGTTACACTGCTGATAAAAAAGAGAGCTGGGATTTGACTAGACAGCCTGACTCCAGAGTCTGTACTCCTAACTACAACATACTGCCTTTGAGAAATAAAATAAAGGATTTAATTCCCATCCTCAGGAAACTCATAATGTAATTAGGGTAAAATGAATACGCCATGAAATATTTTGGTTTCTCATATCTTAGAATGAATGGTCAGATATGAACCAGCAAAATTTATTAAAGAAATCTGAGTATGAGGTAGGTGCCTTTTTCAATTGGGAATGAAGACCATGTGAGTGGTGAAAAAGCCCCTGAGAGGAAATGCATCACACAGCTCAAGGTCAGCCTGTGATCCTCAGTTACTTTCCCATCTTTAAGTTATTTTCCATCAGTGTAAAAGCAGAAACAGAAGCCCTGGCTGAGGTGAAGAGGGCCTTTCATCTTCCCAGGCAGGGGACCACTTGGGAAGGCAGGCTGATGAGAGCTGCGGGGGAGCTGAGCCATTTTAAAAACACATGAAAGTAAGAGCTTAAGAGACAATTTTTATGAGGATGGCAAAGTCGAGGGTGTACGCTTGTGCATGCGTGCAGGAAACGTGGGTTAAAACTGATCAGTGATTAAAATTCCTTAGACCTTTAAAATGCAAATGATTTGAAAAATGTCATATATTTGAAAAGTAAGCATTCTCGTTTATGGGAGATATAATGTGGCACTCTATTTTAGAGAATATTTGAAGTTGCATGGAATTCACCAGGTCTCCAGTACAAATTATCAGATAAAAATATTGCCTGCTGGGCTTGGGAAATAATTCTATTGATTTCTCATCCCTACCTTTTTATCCTTCAGAAAGTGGTGGGGCAATTAAACTTTTCCTTTTTTAACCTTTATGCAGATAATGCCATGACTGCTTCAGTATAAATTGGGAAGACAATGTCACAGGCCTCTGCTTTTCAAAGCAAATTTCAACTTACTGCTTTGGTTTCTTGGAGATCGAAGTCAGGCACACAACATTTTCAATGCCACCCATTTTTTATTTGTCCTTCTGGACTTGCTGCTGCAGTTTTCTCTAACTAATGCATGCTGCCAGCCAGGTTCTATGTGAATAGCAACTACTCTGTCTCTCTCACTGGGAACCTCTAATTATAAGGCTAAGTTTGAAGATTTCAACTTATTTTGTCACACAGGGTGGTGACTCAAGATTTAATTCTCTCCTCAGGCTATCTAATTAATAAAACTCCCTAATTTTTGTCAGGATACATTCAGCAGGGGTTTAAATAACTAGTTCTCAAAGAGCCATATTTTGCTATTGTCTAAAACCGTTCTTTAGATCTGCTAAAAATATTCCAGAATACAGTAAAAGGAATGCACAGCTTCTTCCCCTTGTGAAAATATGGAGAGTTTCTTTGCATTTGGCTGTTTTAAATATATGGCAAGAGGAGAGGGAAGAGGAGGTGGGGAATTTGGGGCACCAAAAACTATAGGGCTCAAGTGACTAAAGTTGTTCTTCATCCAAAGGAGTTGGGAGAAGTTTTGAATTTTTAGGCGTGACCTTTCTTCCTTTCTCTCCTTTATTTGAAATCTGCACATTCTACCTGAATAAATGATTTTCACCAAAAAACAAATTAAGTTGCAGTTGCATTCTTCTTCCAAGAAATAAAGTAGGGAATTTTCCCTTTGGTTTTGCCTTAACTAGATTCTACTATAATTAGCAGTCAAGGATAGGAAATCAAATCAATCACTGACCAACAGAAATTACATGTGAGGGTCAAGAAATATACTATTATTTTGAAAATATCTACATTATGAAAAGATTCCAAATCTTTATGGTGCTTATGATTCACCTACAGAATGATACTCTGTGTAATTGCAGTGAAGCAAACAGCATTTTGTGTCTCTTGTTCACTGCAATGAAATTGGCTCATGTACATTTCTTAAAAGTCATCTTAGGAAAATAATTCATTAATTAATTTAATGAATATTTACTGAAATTTTTATATATGCCAGACAGTAAAATTTGGCTCTCATGCTACTTTATTTTAGAAAAGTTATCAATTCAATGAATATCTGTTGAACATCTTCTGTGTAACAGACGGGATTCTAGGTGCTGAAAAACAGCAGAGAATGAAACAGACAAATATCTCTTCCTTCACTGAGTGTGCATTATCATGGGGGAGACAACTGACAAGCAAGCAAAATACAAATTAATATTAGATAGTAACAACTGCTAAGGAGAAAAAATAGGGAGTGGGAAATACAAAGTGTCCTAGGGAAAGGTTATTACAGTTAGAGAGAGTGGCCAGAGAAGGTCTAGTTGAGAAGTTGACATTTAGATAAAAACTGGAGAGAAGTGAGGGGAAGAAGGTTCCCTGCAAGGGAACCAATGCAGAGACCCTCTGAAGTTGGTGCAAGCCAAGTGGTCCCAGATACATCAAGGAAACTGTGATTGGCACAGAGTAAGCAAGGAGAGGAGAGGGGATGAGTCAGAGAGATACTGGGGGCCCTGTCTTGAGGGTTTTATACATAATGAGGACTTTGTCTTTTGCTCAGAGATAAGATTTTTGAGCAGATGGAGGTTTGAGGCAGAAGAAAAATATGATCTGACAGCTTTTAATAGGATTGCTCTGGCAGCTGTTTTGAGAATAAGGTGAAGGTAGGGCAGAAGCAGGGAAAGGAGATTGGAGATTTCTGCAGTAATTCAGGTGAGAGATGTTGATGCACTGGACTAGCGTGGATCAAGGGAGGTGGCAAGATGTGGTCAGATTACATATATACACATGTATATATATGTATAGATGATATATACATATATATGTATGTCTGTGTGTATATGTGTATATATGTATATGTGTGTGTATGTATGTTTATATGTGTATACATATACATATATACGTGTATATATACACACACACATATATATACACGTGTATATATATATAGAGAGAGAAGTTATAGATGACAGTCTTTAGTGATGACCAGCAGTGATGAGAGAGAGTGAGCCAAGAATGGCCACGGTAACTAGAAGGATAAGATTGCCTTACTGAGATGAACTGCACGAGGAGCAAGTTTTGGGGAAAATGTTAGTTTTGGAAATGTTAAATTTGAGAGATTCCCATCAGACATCTGAATGAATGAGATATTCAGTGTGGAGTTAATGTCTTCAATATACAGATGGTATATAAAGCCATAAGATCGAACCAGATCTCCAAGGGAATGAGTATGGAAAAGAGAAGTCTAAAGACTAATTCCTGGGTCATGTCAGCACTTCGACTTCAGGTAGATAAAGAGTCACCACTCAAAGAGATTGAAATGGGGTGATGACAGAGGTAGGGGTGTGTCAAGCAAGTGTGGGTAGGTTAACCCATGTCCTCCGTGCAGAAGCCAAGACAGAATTAAATATGCAAGTATTTTATTAGGGAAAAGTCCATGAGTGAAAGTAAAGGAGGGAACCACACAAGACCAGGATATCTGAGAGATTGTATTGCAAGTCTGACCATGAGTGAAGAAGAGAAGGAAGGTTGAGTGGATGCAGTTTACAGAAGGTTCAGTGGTCCACTGGAAAGTCCTCAAGCCAAAGTCATCCATCTGGGGGGTGCTGTGCTTCCCAGGAATGGATCTGCTTAATACCCCTGCCATATCTAGCCATTGGGAAGCTTAGTCTTGATGCAAACATGATAGTGTATTTCAGAGGCAGCAGTTTGGGGCCCCTGACCAATTAAGCTTCCTCTAGTTGGAGGCATGTCTTCATGTCTGCCAAATGTGGTGACCTATTTATTGCTGTGTGATAAACCAACTCAAAATGTTGTGTCTTAAGCCAACAATGTATTATTATATGTAAGGGTTCTATGAATTGACTGGGCTCGGTTAGGTGATTGTTGCTTTAGATGCCTGTCATCCAGGTGCAGTCAGATATTGGCTGGATCTGGAGTTATCTGACACAGCTGATCTGGGCTGAAAGGCTAAAATGTCTTCTCTATCCACTTATCTGGCACTTCACATGTAACTCTTCCACGTGGTCTCCTGGTTTTACTACATGGTAACTCAGGGATACAGGAGGCAGGAAACAGGATCTTCCAATCCTCTTAAAGGCTAGATCCTAACTTAAAGTGTTATTTCTACTGTATTCTATTTCTCAAAAATAAACAGCCCAACCCAGATTTAAGGGAGTGGAGGAATGCACACCATTTCTCAATGAGGTTGTGGTGTGCACTTACAGGGAGGGAAAGAATTGATCATAGCTATCTTTGGAGATAAGCTACCTCAGCAAGTAAAGAAAATGTTTGAAGGAAGAAGACAGTAATCAATTATGTCAAATACCACTGAGAGGTGGTTAACAATGAGGGAAAGATGTACTTTGCAATGTAACTTTGTTAAGAAAATATTCCCTGTGATAAAATAGGTGAAAGTTGACTAAAGTGGTTTGAAGAGAATATGGGGGGGTGGAAATTGGAGATAGATAGTATAGACAGTTTTTTCAAGGAGTTTTGTTGGAAAAGGAATGAGAAAAATGAGAGTGGCAAAAACAGGAAGAGGGATCAAGAGAAGGTTATTTTAAACTTTGAGGAATAGCATCATGTTATGCCCATGGTAATGATCCAATAGAGAAAGGGAAATTGACAATGAAGAAAAAGGAAAAATTTCTAAGTGATTTCTTAAGCAGGCCAAGAGGGTGGAAATAAAGTACAAGTGGAAAGTTTGGCCTTAGGTACAAGGACAGCTTATGAGCACAGATGTATGTAGTTGGGTAGATGTAGCTGAGTTGCTGGGGGATTTCTTTTCCAATTACAGATATTTTCTCAATAAAATAGGAAGAAAGGTGATCCATTGTGAATAAGGATGGGGAAAAGGTGTTCAAGTTTTGTGAAGAGAAGAGAGACATGACAGTTATCCCAAAGAGTGAGAGAAAAAAATATTTAGGAAATAGAATGATTGCTGTTCAACCTTAGAGACCCTCTGAGGTTCATGATATTAAAGGGTAACCAGTGAGCATAGGTTTGTATTTTACTCATGCATATCAGAAGCACAGTGCAGGCATGGACTAGTAGAAGAGATAGACTTAACCAGGGTTGTGGCTTAGCCAAGGGAGTAAGACAAAGCTAGAGTGAAGCAAGAGAATTGTACATACATGCAAAAGGGTGATTATAATGATTGTGCAGTTTAAGATGTTGGCTTTTATCACCAAAGTGGTGTCCATCTCAAAAAGCTATACTTGTGACTTTTTACATTTTGCCTGTTTTGTTTCTTCCTTAAGTGAATTAAAACTTCCCAACAACTAAATGAGTGTGCCCAGAAGGCAATGAGTTACTTAGCTTTGGAAGTATCCATGCAGAAACTCAGCAGATGCCTTGTGTGAGATAGTTAAAAGAATTCATATTTCAGAAAAATATTGGACTGAAACATTTTTAGGAGTTTCCTGGAGTTCAACTCTGACAGTCTATGTTTCTCCTAAAGATTGTGCATCTGTTATGTGTAGTTCTCTATGGTGGGGGGAGGGTGCCACCAGGACTTATAAAGATATATTAGATATACTGTCTGACCACAGAATGGTAATAATTTAGTATTTTTGAAGTAAATTTACAATATAGATATACTTAAGTATTGAGCAGTTGATGAATGTTGATTACTTGTCTATCTATTATTTCTGCTCATATGCAGCTTCCATGGTGGATTAACCCCATGATTGCCCTGGCCCTACCACATTATTAGTTAAACTCCAGGGTTGAGTAATTTTCCCTCCCAGAAACCTAGATCTGGGGGTGGGGTTAGGGGAACTGGCTGGTTTTACTTTAAAAATTATCTAAAAAATGGTGAATTCAAAGGATTTGTTCATGCGGAGTCATTGGCAAATGTGGGGCACACTGATGACCCTAAGAAGGAAAGAATATCCTCCTTTTGCTGCCATGTAAACAGAATCATAGTTTTCTTTGTATGGAAAAAAATGTTGGCAGCATCTAGGCCATTTCTATATTCAGCCCCTGCATTGAACTGGGGCACAGCTGATGCATTCATTTCAGACAGTACCAATTGCTGCAGATGGACTTTTCATTATCAGTTGGCATATTTATTAACTTGGCAGAAACGATTGGTTTAATTGTGCCACATTCTGGTTGTTTTATGTATAGAGTCCTGGTGTTACTTTGGATACATTGGACCTTCAGGCAGAAAACATCATCATGTAGAAGTTTATTACTCTTGACATTTGTATCATCCAGAAGACACCAATTTGGTACTTAATACGGTGTATGCTTGCAGAACTGAGGAGCCGTAGAGAGGACTTTCTCCACTATGTAGAGGTTTTATAGTAACAAATACTATAACCCAGTTAGGCTGGAATTATTCTCCTTCTGTAGACAAGAAGGATTATCAATGACACAAGTTATTCTCAGGTTACTGTAGTGTTCTATTTTAATAAAATTCAGTCTAAATATATGAAAAATATACATTGGGGGAAATGATTCATAGTATAAAAGAATCATTTATAATGTATAAATGTTTGCTCTGGAAATCCTATAAATATTCGATTAGAGCTATATTTTTAAGTTTCCTAATTTACAAAAAAAGATTTTTGTATTTATTGCATAACATGAATTGCAGGAGAACATCGATTGTCACACTTATTACTTGTAATTGAAACTTTAAGAAAAATGAGATGCTGTGGGTTAAATTGCACAATGCAAAGCTCATTCTATTAAAAATCATAATGCGTCAGAGGAGCAGACAAAGCCAGATCCATAGTTCAGGCAAGCAGGTGGGCAGGCAGGCAGGTGGGTAGGTGGGTGTTCCCAATAGTGAAGAGGTAGATATGTAAGCTGGCAGACTGTTCCATCCATGTATGAGGAAGGCTTGGTAGGCAGGGTCCAGAGAGTGGCAAGACAGATTGGTACCCAGGGAAGCATCAGAAAATATGGTTGGTGGAGGTTAATATTAAGACAAAGGTTATTTGCTTTGTGCTTGCTCTGTGTGGGCAAATCACCTGCTATGTGTGGGCAGTCCTGGCCCACAGGGTTACAAAGAGCCAGAAAATGTCAGGAGCTCAAGTGATTTCTATCCATGATGAAAGATGCTAAAATTATCCTCAGAATAGCCTTGTGACTGTGAAGGAGTAGATCACTAACAGAACTCTCCCTGTGCCTCTGGGAGTTGATGATAGTAGAAATAACTCTACATTCTCTACCAAGGACTTCAGTCATGCAACAGGTGTGAGGAATTTCAGTCACACAGCAGGTGTCACCAGACACTATGAAGAGAGCATGGCCCAAGAGGCCAGATGGGCTTCCTTGATGTTACAAAAGACCCTGATGGAATTCGAAGTCAATTTCACTTGAGTCTCCTGTTCGGATATGCCTCAATTAATTTATTAGTGAATATATAAACCCTATGGCTAATATTTTTTACTTTATCAGAAAAAGATTGATTAAACTAGAAACAATAAAAAAGTGTCAGGTGTCAGATTGATTGAACCAGAAACAGTAAAAACAAACAAACAAAAACTGTCACGTGTCAGGGAAACTATTGGTTCCCCAGTAAGGAGGCAGGGAGGAGGTATAAGGTAGTTGCTTTTCCTTCTGGGACCAAACACCATCTTTAACATCCTGAGGATGCAGAGGGAGCTCACCACTAAATACAGACATAATAGAAACAGAATCCAATGGGCCAGATAAGATTAAGTGATGCCTATATCAAAGATTGTCTGCATGTTGACAATCCTCAGTGATTTTGCTGGATGCTCTACTCCCAGATGGTGGTATATTTCCAGAGTACATTTATTCATTGTTTTAATGAGTTTTCTTAGAACTAGCTATGGAAAATTCTGTAGGGCTACAAAGACTTATAAGAAGTTGGGTGAACTAACACCTCTCACCTAACTTTCTTCATACTTCTCAGTCTTGTCACTTTCTTTTGGGAACTCTTAAATCCTCCACTGGTAATTTAAATTTTGAAGTTCACCAAAGCTTCATTTTTTTTTTGGCTTACTTATGCTCCCCTTCCTGAGTAATCTCATCTACTCCTATGGGTCCCCATACAATCTCATGCACTAAAGAGTCCCAAATATAAAGATCTACCTCAGTGGTTCTCAAAATGCAGTCCCTGAACCAGCAGCAAGAGCAGCACCTGGGTACTTATTAGAAATTCAAATTCTCACCTCTCTATTCCCCATGCCCCTAGTTACAAAATAAGAAACTCTAGGAGTGAGGTCCAGTCATCTATGTTTTAACAATCTCCACAGGTGAATCTGATGCTAACTGAAATTGAAGAACCATTGCTTTGGTTTGCACTATTTTTCTGAGCTCCATGCTGGTGTAACCAACCAACTACAACTTCATGGGTGTCTAACAGACATATCCAAAGTGGAAACTATGATCTTCCTCTATGCATTCCTCAACTTGTTTCACTTTTGGTATTCCATATTTCAGTAAATGGTATCATCACTCAGTTTCTTAAGCCAAAAACCTGTCATCTTTGACACTCACTTCTACCTGACTTCCCACATTCAATTAATCATCATATTGTGTTTAATTTTATCTCCAGGATGTATTTGGCACCTATTTCTCTCCATTACCAATACCAGCACCATCCTCTCCCACCTGGACTACTGAAATAATATAACTGGTATCCTTATTGCCTTTTTTGGCCCAAAACAATCCACTCTTCATTTGCTCTTTCTGCAGTTTCTGATCACATCAGTCCTTAACATAGCAACTTTCAAGGGCTCTTGTTTGCACCCAAATATTTAATAGGTTCTACAAAGCCAGTGTTGCTCAAAGTATAGGCAACAAACAAATAAATTAAAATCTCTTGGAATAGGGGCTAGAAACTTGTATATATAATATATAAAGTACTCCTATTATAGTCAATCTTCATAAAATTTCATTTTATACAATGTTTACTGTTATAATGTGTAATTATTTTTTAGCAGAAAACATTATTCTTTAGCAGTAAACATTATTCTTTTTCACTAAAAGCCTAAGGAGATTTTATTCTTCATCTCATTTCAAGAAGCTTTTTCATTAAAAGCTTACTTTTATGTTTAATTTACAAAAAAAATTAATATTTTTGTTATTTTGAAGAAGACTATATTATTAAAAATTATATTGGTAGCTCAAGCCAGAAAAACATCACAACAGTTAAAGTCTCATGGTTAGAGATAATTAAAAAGTAAAATTTAAAGCTATATGTGCAATTTGTTACAGATAAGCATGGTATGATGATCAACAAAATAATTTTTAAGCACAAAATATATTACATAAAAATAAATATCTGGGAAGTATAGTAAAATATTAATATGAGTTCACAAAAAGGAAGAATGAAAATTTCTAAATGTTAAGGAAGAATTTAGAAATACATTTTAAATGGATTATGGTGGTTATCATATAGCACTTGATTTCTCATAAAATACTTAGAAGAATGTTGTAATAGTTTTATTTGCTAAAGTCCAACTTTTACAATGTGCCAGAAGTTAAATGCTTTACAACTACTTAATAATTTGATGATTTTTTTCCTGCAAACAAACTTTTGAGGAGATAAATTATTTCTCAAAATTTTGGAAAGGATTTATGAGGAAAAATATAAAGACCACTATTCTAAGTCAGAATGGTAGTGTTTGATGCAAATTTCTCCATCCCAGCTAGTTGAGTTCTCAACTGATGTAAAAGTGTGTGAACAATTATTTGTCATTAAAATAAAATTTTTATTTCTCTATCCCAGCTAGTTGAGTTCTTAACTGTTGTAAAAGTGTTTGACAAATTAATTTTATTTGTCATTAAAAGTAATAACAAAAACTGCAATTACTTTTGCACCAACTAATTGGCATTGAGACTTCTATGGAGTATTATGGATAAGGATATTCTTTAAGTTGGAAAAAAGTCTAATAAGGGCCCCTCTTATTGATTTATTTTCCCAGAGTAAGCCTCAAAAAAAGGCTGTGGCCCCGAAGTTGCAGGTTAAAGGACAGTTATATAACCAATAAAGTCTATTTAATCCCTAAGGGCCTGGAGACATAAGGAAAGACAATCCTTCCTATCTTGACTTAAAATGACTGTCACCCAGATGCATGTCTGAATAGATAAGAATCTAGGAATATGCAGAAAAGTAGACCTAGACAGAAAGTATCTGAAGACTGAGAAGTCTGAGATTTCCTAAGAGTTATGCCACTGTTGAGAATTTGACCAGAATTGAAATTCCTTGTTTTCACAGCAGGGCTCTGGAGTTCATCTGTTGTGTTTAGAATTTTTTCCATCCGTTTTCTGCAATAAATCAGGTTTCTGCCTTCTGTTATCCTGCATTTATTTACCTGTTAAACAGAATTACTGTGTAAAAACTTATTATCCTTTTATCTTAGAGTATTTTCCTTCTCACTCCTTTACTAGTATACAGGATTGTGTGTGTGTGTGTGTGTGTGTGTGTGTGTGTGTGTGTGTGTGTGTGTGATTCTGGTATTTGTTTAGTCTACTGAAGATGGGCCTTGAGCAGGGAGAGGGATACAAGTGATAGCTTTGAGGCAAAAATGTCAAGCTGATTGCTTCAAAGAATGCCAGATGCTAATAAGATGAAGAAAAAAAATCACAGGGCAAACATGGAATTTAGGGGGAAATGAAGCTTGCATTATAGTGGAAAAGACAATAAACAGTATAAATAACTAAAATATATAGAGATAAACACTAAGGAGAAAAAAGTGCGGAAGGAAGAATTTGCAAAGGAGGAAGTAAGCCATGTGACTCTTAGGGAAATGCAATTAAAACTAAGGAAACAGCCAGTTAAAGATCTGGGTGGTGACAGCATGCCTAGTAAACATCGGTAACATATGAGAAAAATAAGGGTTGAGGCCAGAGAGTTGATGGTAGCCAGGTCATACAAAATATTATGAATGACTTGAGGGACTTCAGCTTTTATTCTGAGTATGCTGGGAAGCCATTGCTGGATTTTTAAGCAGAGATGTGATAGGTTATGACAGAATTGGTTGAGATTAGACTGATGTGGAGCAAAGATAGACTCCAAATGCAAGTTAGACAAGGACATTAATACAGGTGAGATTTGATAGTGATTTAGACAATGGGAGTCACAAACAGAGGTGGTGAGAAATTGTTGGACTGTGGATAAGATCTGAAGGTATCAAAGATTTTACTAAGTAGAAAAAATCATAAACAGTTTATAGGTCTGTCGAAAATAGCATGACAATTAATAATATCTAGAGATTTTTCAAGCTATACCCATCTATTGTATTCCCCCTGATACCTTAAAGGCAAAATATACTGAAAAGGGAGTTTATCCTTGTAGAAATCAAATGCCTAGAAACAGGTTGTTGGCTCTTCTTGCAGGGAATGCTGGACTCTTGCCATTGCCTGGGGCCAGAAGACAGTCAGTGGTTCTACCTGAGCCTGGCATTGGGAACAGGGAGATAGGATTATAACCCAACCACAAAAAAGGCCAGGTGGGAAGCACCTGATGCTGCCTAATGCAATTAGCTCAATGACAAAGATGCACAGACATGTGGTAGGGGTGAAAATTTGAATTTGTAGCCATATGTGTCCTATTTATAGTGATATTTTCTCAGCAGGCAGGAGCCATGGATTGGAGAGGTGAGGTGAGGGGACTGGTGCAGAAAGTCAGAGCACATGGAGTTGAGCATTTGCTTCTGAGCCGAAACAGTCAGATTTCTTTCCAACTGACAACACACCCAGAGCTCTCAACGTTGTTCCAGAAGGTTCTTTGTTCTCCTAGTTGAACATACATCTGCTAGCTGACAGCTTGGGAATTTGAGCATTTAATTCTCTTTCCTGCCAGAAACCAACTCTTCCTGCTAGACTCAGGACTAAGTGATTGCCAAAGTAGCCAATTAGTCTTATATCCTTTCCAAAGAGACACCAGCTACATTTTCACATAAAAGGGAGCATTCTCAGTTACAAAATCCACAGGAATGTAATTACAGTGGGGAGTGGGTGGTGGGAGAGAGGTGATTATTTAAGAGAGGGAAGGTGAATTATAGAAATCCAGTATAAAAAGTTAGATGGAATATGCCAAGAACCTAATCCAGGTCCCTCTGCTCACATTTTATCTTGGATGATAATAGTTAATCAGAAAACCATAAAGCATCTAATAAATGCTGTTTTGGATGATTTTTACCTAGCAGTGAAATTTTCATATGCCTAGTGACAGAGGGAAAATAACCTTCCTTTGAATATTACTGACCACGTTTTTTTTCTTTCACTGGTTCTCATGACATTATAGATCAAATTGACCACAAATCGCTAACTACCTCTTCAAGATTATTTGCACTTCTTCTTTTTACCTTTCCCACTTCCCTTTCTTTAGTTATTTTAATGTACTCATACATAATTGCATAGAATTATAACATTCTATTAAGTGACATAACTAAGCAACAAACTTTACTGTCACTAGGTCAAAGCCAAAGGCCATTAAACTCTCTCAGGATATTAGGCTCTTTGAGAAATATACAAATACATAAATCCTCAGACAAGGCTTCTCAGCCGTGAGGCCTTTAAGATGGTAGTGTGCATTGTCAATCTACTGTTAATAGACTTCTACTTTAGGTTCCTAGATAAACTTTCTGAAAAAGTAGCTCAGGCTCCAATCTCCTGTATAGTCCTCCTGAAAGGATAACTAGGACATTTAAAATGTTAAAGCACTAAGCAAGACTATGTAACCAAGAGATTTTATTTAAATTTTTTATTTTATAATCCCAACTTTTGAGATCAGCACAAGGCTGGGGTGGGGGGTGGAGGGGGTCAGTATACCTGTCCATGGTTCTGAAAGGGTGGTCATTTTGAAATAATTCATTTGTTTAACAGTGTCTAGTAATGTCTAATAGATTTTTCAATATCTCTTGGTGTAGTATGTATCAATGACTTCCAACAGCTCTTTGGTTTACCACTCTGCTGTAAATAATTGATATACAGATTGGTCTGAATTGTTTCTTGGTCATCAAGCTGGTTAGAAAAGATTCAGGGTTTGAAAACTTCACAGTCCTTAAGAGAAAGATGCTACACTAAGGCTGAATCCCCTGAACTACTATGAAAATGAGGTTTAAACAATAAAGAAGTTTAATGAAAGAATGTTGAAGAATGAAGAGTAAAATTATGTGGGGCAAAATTGACCACACAATGTATTAACACGTTCAAGTTCAAACAGAATTTTATGCAGGAGAAGACTTTAAAATCTGAAGATAAGAAAACTTAAACTGAAAATGGAATCAAAAGTTCAAAGATGATGAAATATTGATATCAATTTGATACAAAGAGATATTATGATATAATAGAAAGTAGAGTCTATCTCTTTGTATGGTTTAGATTTAAAAGGCATAATATGGTTTGTACACATTTGGAATACAACCAGCTAGCAAGGGAATTACTTCAAAGAACTATGCTGAAGCCAAATGAGATTATCAAGGACAACAAGTGACTTTCTTTCTTGCAATGTCACATCAGTAAAAGCCTAAGTGCTACACTGAATTAGGGACTTTTTCACTGAAAACCTGGGTGGAGTCAAAAGAGAGAACAAAGATTAAAATGATCATGTGTTTTGTATAAATATGTAAATTTATAGATGAAGAGAAGACTATCCTTGGAGGAAAGCTGATTCAATTTAGTGACAAAGAAACTTCTGAATGATTTTATTCATCAGCAACTATGGTCTGTTTTCATTGCCAGGGAGAGAGGGACCCATGTAGATGCTGTGGTATAAAATAAATCACTAAATTACTTAATACACAATAATGCTGCCACCATCCGTGTCATTCCCAAGTGCACAAGCAAGAAGTAGATGAAAGGGGTGTTCAGGATACAACTGACTAAAACTTTTAAGAACATTAAATTTTTTAATGTTCTAAAACCTTACTTTTTGCCTTCATTAAAATAAGGATTACAACAAGCCAGAAAACCAGTGAAAAATCCTGTTGGATATTTGCTAGGTTGGACCAGATCAGGTATTCTTGGCAATTCACACACCCTTCAGTGTTTAGGATGCAAAACTTAGACACACACCCCAAGCAAGATAGTTCCTGCACCAGCACACATCCCTTCAAGCCTTCAGGTGGACATAATAATCCTGCCACTAAGATAGAGTGCACCAAGTGCCTCTACCCTTTATCTCTATTGGTGGAGTCTAAGCGAAGAAAATCAACTCATCAGGACAAGGACTTGCTCTTTTTCTGGAGTCCAGGATTTGAAGGAGATGCTCTGTGATCCATGAGATGCTAAAAGAGAATGTCATCTTTTTGCACGAACCTAACCTTTTCACCCTATGGGTTTGTTTGAAATTGAAGATCAGGAGAAAATGTATTCTTGAAGAACTGCCCGAATAAATGCTGTATGTGGAACAGACTAGGGGAAGGCCATGTGCATCTTGATGTTAGAATTTGTAATGCATTGGTGGTACTTATCTGTATTATCCTATGACTGTCTTCTAATATCAGATTATCCATGATAAGGTGCTCCCAATCAAGAGGTAATGTCTCTGCTGCAAAGATCCCTGATCCCCAAATGTGGCCATGGCCATGGTTACTGGTTGGCCTATACTGAGTTTTTTCAGAGGAAGTATTATTCCATGTTTAGATTTTCAGAAGAGACTACTGCTTAATGTGTTATTCTGCTTGCTCTGCAGCTGGAAGCCTCCCTTCTGCTGCCCACTTGTGTGAGCTCCCTACACCCTTCAAGGTGAGCTTTCAGGGAGGCAAACCACCAAGTTCAGGAGAAATCTTGTTTTTAAATTTTAAAAAGCACTGTAAAATAATTGATTTAATCCAGTGTAACAATCATCTCAATCAGAATAGACTCATGAATAGATACCTAAGACTAAATTAGCATCCTCCCAAAGTTATTTTGTTCTTTCTAATACTTCTTACAGTTCTTACAGTTCAAGGAAGGATAAGAAAATAATATTTTTTCCATCTCACTCAGACCAATGCTGTCTTAGTAAAGTAATACAGGTGCTGGATCTGTGTCCATGGCTCATTTTAAATTCATGAGGGTGTGCTTTTAACCAATATTCCAGCCAGAGGGTCCATTTGGAACCAGGCTCATCTATCTTAACCAAGAATATTATTTGAGAATAAACAGGACCTTTCTAAATAGTAGAGTAGGACCACCAACAGGTAGAAAGTTGGTCTTAGAGTTGAAGCCATATGGTTCCCTCAGTGGCAGGTTTGCATAAACACAACCCTACTCTTAATTGTTTTTCAGTACAGGTAACCAAAGCAGTTTTGGTATGGGGAAAAACGATTTGTCTAAATTCTATCTCTGTGAATTGGCTTGTGGAAATGAGACTTGCTATTTGTACGAAAATAGCATCCTCAATGCAGCTGTTATGCTACCACTTACTGTTCAGTAA
Source organism: Homo sapiens (assembly GCF_000001405.40). Classification (NCBI taxonomy): domain Eukaryota; kingdom Metazoa; phylum Chordata; class Mammalia; order Primates; family Hominidae; genus Homo; species Homo sapiens. Next base: position 118,037,689 of record NC_000007.14, on the reverse strand, counting down.
CAGTGAAATGCTGCAAGCTGAGACACACCTATTCAAAGTTCTGTCCTTTGTTTTATCTGTATCCATGTCTGTTCTTGTATGCATATCAAAAAGATTTTTCATGTTTTATATTGGAATAAATACATTCTGCAAGTGTGAACATCTCAGCTGAGGAGTTGGTAATGTAAGCACAATTACTAATATATGTCTGTAGAATAATTTTTCCTATGTACATGGAATAAAGGAGAAAAACTCAGAATTTTCCATTTGGTTTGTACTTTATCCTACATATACTTACCAGCAAGAACGGAATGTATCTACAGCCAGAATCTGGGACAAATCTGGCTCAGAATCCTAGTCCCAGTCATTTGCTTGCTTGCTTTCAGCTCTGCAATATATTACAGGATGCTAAACCCTGCAGATTATGCATCCCAGGATTCCATACCAACTGGCTTCCTATTAGGTTCAGCCAAGGGAAGTCACAGGTAGGAGATTGAAGAGCAAGTAAAGGGGAGGAAGGAGAGTTTTCTTCTCTCAGCTTTAGAAAGCATCTCCAGCAGAGTCTGCATCTCTGTGGTTCCAGCTGCTGTTGGGAAGCAGCTCCTTTGAAGACCTCAGCTCCCAAAGGTAGCCCAAGCTCTTACTTGCTAGTACAGTTGACAATTGGGTTCAACCTGGGTTTGAATTTATGGGTCTACTTAAAAATAAATACAGCCAGCTCCTTCATATCCTTGGATTTTGCATGCGTGGTTGCAACCAAACACATATCAAAAATACAGTGTTTTCAGGATGCAAAACCTTCAGATATGGAAAGTTGACTTCTTGTATTCATGGGTTCCATAGAGCCAATTGTGAGAATTGAGCACGTGCACATTTTGGTATCTGTAGGGGTCCTGGAACAAATCCCCTATGGATACTGAGGGATGACTGTAAAAATGTTTTCTCCTTTATCCCTCAAGCTCTACAAGGTGGTATGTAGCTTCTTTTTGTCCATCTCCGAGTTGCCTGCCCAGACTGTTTTTCTTTTCAGCATTTCCAACACTTCTAAACTAGTATCCACATTCAATTCCTTTTGCTATACTACTGGGCATAAGTCTATTTTCCCTAAGTAGACTCTGACTGTTATCATGAAGTAGAATGCAGGCAGTTAATTTCCATCTGAAAAGTCAAAAATCATAGCATTTGGCACTGATAACTGGAAGTTTATATATGAACTTTTGACCATTAAGAGTACACTGCTTGCAAAAGTGTTAATGGGTACGGTAGTTTTTGCTAATCCTCACATAAAACAAAGGCATTCTCTGGCCATTCTGAATTATCCCACAACAATCTGCTTGCTAACATGAATGCAGTCTCTTGAAAGGTACATAAAGGTACTAAAGCAATGGTTCAACCTCAGCTGCACATTAGCATAACCCAAGCATTAAGAAACTCCCATGCATTTAAGAAAATCACAATGTCCAGTTTGCACCACAGACAAAATGAGAGACCCTGGTAATGAAACCTAGGCATCACTACATTTTAAAGCTTTCTAGGTGATTTCAACATGCAGCCAAGATGAGAACCACTGTATTAAGGGCTGTTGTTTCTCCTGTTGACCCAGTTGTTTGTAGATGTAAATAACTCAGTGTTAGCTGATTCAGGTAGTTGCTCTCTCTTTAACTGCGGTCAGCATTATCACTAGGACTGGTCCTTCACATAGGAGACAAGTGGCGCTCACTCCCTTAGTAGTGCTTGTGACTTGAATTGAAGTTGTTGGGGTTGTAGCAGTTGTGATAGCCCACCACCATCATTGGCCCACTCTCCTTCATCTTTATAGCTGCAGAAATGGTGAGGCTGCCCAGAGAGAAGGTAAATGAGGTTGTCAACACCAGAGAGAGGAGAGCAGGGTAGAATTCAGTTTCAAAAGATTTAAAAATTATATTTTCTCACTTTGATAAAAAAAATCTGGGTCTGTTACAAATATTTTCAAAATTTGTTGTTATATATAACATATCTATTCTATTCTATGGTCTATTACTTCCAGAGTTTATAAATCTTCTCTTACTCTTGTATTTTTTATCCTGGCTAATGGTGCCACTAATTTCCCAGTCCTCTAAATGAGAAACCTAGGATTTATTTCAAGCTTTCCTCACCCCTAGCTTCACCCCCATCACCACCACCCACATATCCAATCAACCACCAAGTCTTGTTGACCCTAAGTCCTGTTGAGCCTAATTTCTAAATAATACTCAAGCTTATCTCTTTATTTCTGTCCCCATTGACTTGGCCAAGACCAATGGTTCTCAACCCTAGCTGCATAATATAATCACCTGGGGAGCTTTAAAAATCCTAATGGCCAAATCACACTCCAAACCAATTAAAAGAGAATCTCTAAGTGTGGTATCCAGGCATTATATTCACTCAGCCCTCTGTGTCTGCACTCAGGGTCCACATCCTGGAACTATTATCACATGGATACCTAAGGACCACTGCAGTTTTAAATATTTCCCAGGTGATTCCAATGAACAGCTGACTATGAGAACTACTAACCTAGGTGTTTTTTTTCCCCATCTGAACCATTGTAGTTAAGTTCCTAATTGGCTTCTTAGTCCTGTATCACTCTCAGTTCATCCTCTACATTGTTGCCAAAGAAATCCTTCCAAAATGCAAATCTGATCATATGACATGGGAGTGTGAAATTCTCAAATGGCTTCTTATTGCTTATAGGGAAATAATCTCCAAACACCTATATGTGATATAGAGAAGAGAAATGCATGCTTGAAGACCAACCAGATCTGCATTCAAATTCTACCTATATCCAAGCTATGTGACATAGGCAAAAATACTTCATCTCTCTGAGCTGCAATTTCAACTGTAAACTCCCTCATAGAACAATTTATGTAAAGTACTTGACACAGTCCCAGGCACTTATTGTCAAGTAAATAAATGGTTGTTGAAACAATAGTGTATAAACCCATGGCTGCTACTGACTTCTTCAATCTCACTTTTCCCTCTTCTCCTATTGCCCACTAGAGTCCAATAGGATTTAGAATTTAGACAAAGTTTGGGATGCAGACTCCCAATATCAAGCATTTTCTGACTGCATTCCTGTATATAAGTGTTGTTCCTTCAGCTTAAAGTGCCATCCTCCCATCTTGCTGCCCAATCCTACTCATTACTAGACCCAATTCAAAGCATCACTTCTGTGAGGGCTTCTCTGTCCATCTTCACCTTTGCAAACTCCTCTTTCTATTGTGCAACTCCATTACATTACATTATATTAAGATTATCTACATGCTTCTGTCTTTATCACTAGATTATGAGCTGTTTTCGTTCAGAAGCCGCCTTATGCCTTTACATGCCCAGTAGCAAGTATAGTGCCTGGCACTTGGTTGGTACACCAGTGCTTATTACATGACTGTATACCTGAGAATAATCAATAAATTACATAAATTTAAGAGTAGATTAAAGAACTGACAAGATTGTATAGCACAAACCTTTGAGGACAATGTGGTGCAATGCAGAGGAACAACCACGTTCTTCCACAAAGAAATTCTAATATCCTTTGAGAGAGAACACTGGGCTATAAAGACCAGTGTTCATATATCTTGTGGTACAAACTATGTGTTTTTATTTTGGAAGATGAGATTCTAAGAGTCAGCGTCAGAAAGATTTCCTCTTAGCTCCACTATTTGCTAGCTCTATGATGGTGGGTAAATTACCTAACCTCTCTAAAACAAAGTTTCCTTTTCTATAAGATGAGACAATAAAGATAATATCTACTTTGTGGTGCTGCTATGAGAAATGAATGAATGACATAATACGTATAAAATATTTGGTACAGTAAGTCCCCATTAAATGGAAGTTGTCTTTTTTATTATCATTATTAGAAAAAAAAAAGCACTGCATCTGCTTTCTTTCTGATTTTGTTTTACATGACAAAACTGGTTTGATTTTCTGGACCAGGTGATTTAATAGAAATATTCAAATTGGTTAGTGTGAATACACAAAACCCACATATAGGTAGTTAATGTCGGGAGCCACTATGCCCCTGCATTTGTTTGTGGGGGCATAGTAATGTGTTTGAAATTATTTTAGAAGCCTTACCTAAAACAATCTGCGTTTATACAAATATAGCTAAGAGTATCATTTGTTGGTAGTTAGGACTTTTTTCCTCAACTGATGCTTGGTTCTATTCTCTGCCTCTAAGGAGACATCTTGTCCCATCTCAGTGGTTACCATGGTAATAGTGTATTTTTGTCAAGGGATAAGGTAGCAGGCCCCTTCCATTGCTACTGCTAATATTCCTGAATTATCTTAATGAGGAAAAAATAGTAGTTTCTCTCCCCACAGAGACAGACAATATTTAACATTTTATGTAACTTAATTTTTCTTATTTTTTTTACTCACATATTCCAAACTTCAGACACTAATAAATTTGTAGATGGTTTTAAGAGATTAGCAACTTCTATTTACTCTCCTCTGAAAGGAAGTGGCTAAGGTCGTGAAATTTAGATCACATAACTCAGAATGAAGTGTGTAATTAGCAATTATATTCTTTACCTATATATTACATAAGCAATATTTCCTAAACCTAGTAATGGTCAGAATCAGCTGGGGAACTTAAAAACACACGTAGAGTCCCCAAGCCTAGGTATATCAGAATCTCTAGAGGTGTGGCTTTAGAATCTATGTTTTTAAAACCTCTTTAGGTAATGCTAACGATCCAGTCGGGCTTAGGAAATTTTGCCCCATAATATTTAACACATATTTTGCACATAGGAGATGCATAGTGAAGATTTACTTAGCTGAACTGCTGTGCAGCAAAATGGGATATATTACTCAAGACAAAACTATGTTTTTGATTCTCAAGCCCATGATGGTATCACATTATTAATTATTTGGACCAAATCAAAATGTCCTTATGGTTTATCGATCTGGAAGTTTCTCTTCAGATTTAGCAAATATTTACTGAATACCTAGTTTGTGCAAAGCTAAAAATGTAGCCTCGAATTGGGAAATAAAAAGAAGGGTATTAGCTGGGCATGGTGATGTGTGCCTGTAGTCCCAGCTACCTGGGAGGCTGAGGCAGGAGGATCACTTGAGCCTGGGAGGTCAAGGCTGCAATAAGCCTGATTGCACCACTGCATTCCAGCCTGGGCAACAGAGTGAGACCTTGTCTTAAATAAGTAAATACATACATACATACATACATAAATACATACATACAAAAAGAAAGAGAGAAAAAAAGAAGAAGGGTGATTCTTGCTCTTAAAAGTTTATTCATTTTGGGAGGCCAAGGCAGGCAAAATGCTTCAGCCCAAGAATTTCAGACCAGCGTTGGCAACATGGCAAAATTCCATTCTCTAGAAAAAAATGGGAAAATTAGTTAGAGGTGGTGGCACATGCCTGTAGTCTCAGCTACTTGGGAGACTGAGATGAGAGGATCATCTGAGCCAGGAGTTTGAAGCTGTAGTGAGTCGTGATCGTGCCAATGCACTCCAACCTGGGCAACAGAATGAGATTTTATCTCATTAATTTTTTTTTTTTTACTGTGTGCTAGAAAAGAAAGCTATATACCCAAGTAATACAAGGCTTATTATAATAAAAGTTTGGGGAATACTAAGTAAGGTTCCAGATTGGATAATTGGGTCAATGGTCTGGGTAAGGTCATTTTTAAGTCTCATCCCAGCCATGTTGCTCATGAAATACCCTCCCATGGATAAAACAGCAGGTTGGAGAAAATGATACTTTTGATAAAATAATGTCTCTTCCCTTCTCTGTTTTAATGTAGCTTTTTGAACATACCTCCTGCTTGTGTTTAATGCGTTTTTTGTTATTTATTTGCATGATCTCTTCAGTTTTTCCTATCTATAAAATGAGAAGCTAGACTCTTAATTTTGTTTTCAGTTTAATTATATGATCCAATTAATTTTAATAGTGAAGACAATCAAATTGAATCACTAAAATAGAAAATAAGTTTTCCTCTTGATAAAGCGAAAACACTAAATTGGGAGGGAAGCTAGGAAGCTATCTAAGCTCATTCAATATTTTACAGATAGTTTCTTAGACGTGGAAAGAGCACAGAAAATTTTCCAAAACATGCAACTGGCTTACTGGTAGAGCCATCTTTTAGTTATCATTTCCATACTCGCAATCATACCTGCCCTTTTAACTATGTTGTGTGTTTGTGTTTATGTGTATGGCTGTTAAGCCAGGCTAAGAAATGTGGAAAACAATTCACACTACCTACAAAATAAGAAATTTATCTAGAAGTTCATTTTTCATCTATTTATGGAGCATTTGCAGTGAGTGCCTTGGGCTAGATGTAATAGCATAGGAAGTTATGGGGGATGTGGCATACCAAAAGAGTATATTATTGAGTTTTTTGCAGATTTTTCCATGTGAACTATAGCCCCAAGAATGACAGATCACCCAACTTTTTAGGAGAAGCCAGAAATACAGATTTTGTGTGAAATCTCTCACTTTTTAAATGCATCAAATAATGTTTAACAGTGTACAGGTTGAACAAACACATTTATAGGTTGAACCTAGCCTCTTGGCTATAAGATTTAAGGCTTCTTGTCCATACACTAATAAACTTGATATATCTCACCAAGTGTGCAGGGCTCTGACCATGAAAGTGGCTCCTGCATTGGTCACCATGTATTTTGACAACTTAGTAGGAGTTCTGCAAACCAACTGGCTGAAATGCATGGAACTATTCTAGGAGTAACTTTCCCTGTCTTTGTTGCAATTATTTAATTCTGAGAATAGTCTAAGTATATAGTGTTTAGATACATTAAATTATTAAAGTTTACCTACAAATCTCCTGAGGAACTGCATTTTCATGTAAATGATATGGCAACTGTAAATAATACATTATGTGTGACATGAGGTAAGCCAAAAAACTTAAAGATTCATCCTTAAGGTCTTAATTTTGGTCTTCTCCCTACACCATGCTCACATATTCTATCTCTGAACTACCTGTATAAAGTTTATTTTTTTCTGGCCCTGAAATAATCCAGGCAAAAATTATGTCCTGCAAGGGAGAACTACATTTTGAAGAAGAAAAGGAAAGGGATAAAAAGCCAGATAATGCTCCTTTGCATCTAATATCTAAGATCAGGGAGTTTAAAATTATATTCAAGCACTGGTTATATGGCTGACTAATCCCTGATATCTTTTCTGTGTCTATTTCATCTACCTCCTCCTTTATTCTGTTTCAAATTTGTCTTACAGTTCAAAGAAACTGTCTAAGGGATAAAAGGTCCCTATGTTATGAAAGAAACTTTGTAATCCTCAACTTTACTTTGGAAAGCCTTGAACAAATATTTATGGTAGCAAAAGGGGACATATTTTCACAGTGGGAGTAAAGAGATTTCCCAAATTGAGTACTGTAACTGTTATGTCCCAAAGCCAGGGGAGCTGAGAAGTAATGACATTCCTGGTCTTTTGCCTCTGTTTCAATGAGGGACCACAGGGCACTTAGCACCACAGCCGAGGCCTGGGTAACCTTCATCCCTGCCTGAGCAACTGTAATCCCTTGGTCTGGGCCTGATTTCACTTTGTGTTACTACTCTCTTTGGAATATATGCAGCACCAAAACGTAGGCATTAAGCCAGAGCACTCACTCTGGGCAAGCAGGCTAATTAATATGTTTCAGAGTGGCACATTTCCATGATTCCTGAAGGGTTTGCCGACATGGACAGAAGATAAAACGGAAGGCCAAGCCAGATCTGATTATGTTTTTCTGGCATGCAACGTGACTAATCTGACACAAAGATGGGTGCCCATTTTCTTGTAATGGTGGGGGTGGTGTTAATTTGCTTTGTTGGCTCAACTAATATCCATGATCCTAAATATATTTGAAAATTATTTGCACAGATAGGATAGGACGGACTTTGTGAAAATTACTTAATAAGGATTCATGCTGACAGTGTGGTCACTGACAGTATTATTTAAGAGGTTTTTGAGGATCTGTGCCAAGCTTTTTATGTGAAAAGGGTTCAAAACAGTATGAATGCTGTTTTTCATACTTCAGCTGTACAAGATGGCACATTTACAGGAAACTATCATTAAAATCTCTGAATTTAGTGCATTTAGTGCAAAAGATACCCTAGACTGAAGTTCTAAAAAGGCAATTTTGTCTTTCTTAAATGTACACAGTAAAGTGAACCTGGCTGTTTTACTAAGTAGAGATCTTAGGCTACATTATCAAACAGATACAACTAGTATTTAATGAGCATGTTCCATGATGATGAATTCTTCTAATATCCTTAAATACAGTATTTTTTTTCCTACTGGCTTAATCAGTCTCCCTATAATCTTTTCCATAACATTGTTTTGGGGATTTTTTTTTTTTAGCATTAGCTTCTTTTATAATTACAAAAAACTTAGACCTGACATTCAATTTTCCCAAAATTTGAATTTGTTTAAATTGATGAGTTTTTTGTCCTTTCTTTGCACCAGCTGACAATTATGTCTGCACCTCTCCCTACGTCCTCCATTTATCTCAGCCACACAATGGTCTTCCTTACCACCCAGTGATTATAATAATGGCTAATATTAAGGGAACACAATCAAGCACAGAGCTAAATTATCTTTATGAATTACCTTGCTTAATGCTGAAAACATCCCCATGAGGTAGGTACTATTGTGATTCCATCTTTAGTGGATCAGAAGCCTGAATTGCCCATGATCACAGAGCCAAAAATAGTAGTGATCACTGCCCATGCTCTTAGCCCCATCGTTGGCTCTTCTCTACTCTTCTAACAGCACCACAAGAGGGGAAAAAGTTTTAAAATATTTTTTCTCCCATGCCACATCTCTAGGGACTACACACTCTCTATGATAGATCATGGAAAGTGCTGGTGAGAGACCAGAAAAAAATGAGGAGAAATGGTGTCCTGAGCATAGGTTACATTTTGGTAAATAAATCTTATGACTGTTTTAAGACTTAGACCTTCACACACACACAAAAATTTGAAACTGCAGAAACAATATAAACTCTCTGGTATATGAGTAGCAAGTTATATTCTCTTTTAATTCAATTGAAATAAAGTGCAGTTGGTAACTCTTTCAGACAGAAACATACTTGGGAGAATAAAACACACCCAAAGAACACTTTCCCTTGAATTGCCCGCTTCTTTGTTTTAATCGCCATCCCCTCAATGAGTGGTTCTGGAAGGAAAGGCTATTCCCCCGCTCCCAGCTCCCCAACCAGCTGCTCATTTTCCTTGATTTTTGTCATCAAGTTTTAATTCCAGGTTTGACATATCACATTTTGCTGTAATGGAACAGATAAGCATGTTTAAATCCTTGCACAATTCAACTTAAACTAAATTAGCCAGCAGGTGCATCCGTTTACACCTTGCAAAGCTCTTTTTCACGTGCATTATCTCATTTAACTCACAAAACTCAATTAGGAAGAAATGATTGGCAGGAAAGAATTAAACCTTTGCTTAAAGCACAGATGTACTGGTAAATCAGTAAACAGAAATTATTGCAAAAGAAAAATGATAATATTTATGTGAACCAGCAACAGATTGCAGATGTTGGTTGATTCTGACCTCTGTATGTCAAAGTTTTCCTTCGGCCTTCCCATCAGTATATAAGCAAGGTAGTTGATCTAGGCTCCCCCCTTCCCATAAAAACACTTCATTTATTACAGTTGCAGAAATAATTGGCCATCTGTTCGTTTTACTCATTGTGCCATGATAAATAATAATGGATCCTAGAACGAGTTTCCCTTTTACTTTCCACTTCAGGTGAATTCTGTGGGTTGAGAGGATGTAGATATTGCTGTACAGCTGTGCCATAGTAATGGTTTCAGAAAATATTCAGGTGTATCTCATTTAATTCCTTTTACATCATGTTATTTTTTCATTGATAATTTATTTTGATTGTGCTTCGGACAAGATATTGTTTTAGCCTCATGAAGTGATTCTTATTTCAAATGTTCACACCTCTCCAGACATGCTTGCTTGTCCATCCTGTGTTGACTCAAGGCCAATCTCAATAACAGGGGACAGTTATTGTGCTTGGAACTTTAAGTGCATCATCTCATTCAGTCTTCATAGTAATCTCAAAGAGTAGGGCATTTTATTATCTCCATTTAGTGGAGGAAGGCCCTGAGCTTAATAGTTAAAAGAGACTGGTATATTAGTGCTAGAATTCCAATCCATGTCTACATACTCCAAAATTTGAATTAGTAATCACAACATTCTTCACAACTGATTAATGAGTTCAATATTCACCATGACTTAACGGATTAAAAGTATGGAAGAGGCCGGGTGCACTGGCTCAGCACTTTGGGAGGCCAAGGCAGGTGATCACCTGAGGTCAGAAGTTCAAGACCAGCCTAGCCAACATAGTGAAACCCCTGTCTCTACTAAAAATACAAAAATTAGCCGGGCGTGGTGGTGGGCCCGCCTGTAATCTCAGCTACTCAGGAGGCTGAGGTAGGAGAATTGGTTGAACATGGGAGGCGGAGGTTGCAGTGAGCTGAGATTGGGCTACTGCATTCCAGCCTGGCGACAGAGTGTGACTCTGTCTCAAAAAAAAAAAAAAAAGAAAGAAAGAAACAAAAGTATGGAAGAGCTTGGAAGTTAAGATATACCAGTTTTTGTTACAATAATACCACAAAACAAACCAGTGGCTTAAAACAATAATTATTTATTCTTGCTCCACACTTACACATGAGCTCATGCGTGGCTGATTGAAGCCTGGTTTGGCTGGGCATGGTTCCATGCTGCAGACTGGACCTTTGTCTATTGCACAAATCTTTTATCCTATCCTCCCACCAATGAGATACCTGGGACATATTCTTCTTATGGCACTACCAGAAGTGAACAATTGGCAAGTAGAAACACATAATGTCTCTTAATGTCTAGACTTAGAACTGGCACACTGCCATTTCCGTCCATGTTCCATGGGCAAACTAAAGCAACATGGTAAAGCCCACCATCAATGAGATGGTAAAATATACTCCATCTCTAGTTGGAGGAAATGCAATGCCACATGGCAACAAGTGTGAATACAGGGAGTAATGAGGAATGAGAACAACTTATACAGTAACATGAGGAGATAAGCAGTTAAGAAAATGAGCTCTCCATGTTGTATGAATGTTTGTATGGAAGAAGAGAAAGGAGACTTGAACTCAGCTGAACAGAGGATAAGATCTAATATTCTATTCCTATTTCTTATATTTAGAGATGAAAAAGAATATCCAAAAGGTCTCTGGGACTATTGCCTTAAAATCTACCTGCTGAGCAATGATTTCCCTGCTAAGCAGGTCAGCAGGGAAAATACTGTGTTACAGTATGTGTGCTTCTAAGATAGAACTGGCCAACAAGTAAGATTATAATATATGTGAGAATTAAAACAATTGTAATTGGGAATATATGAAAAACTCAGGCCTTCCAGAACCTGTAGACTATGGAGTCTACAGAATACTTTTAAATCACGTTTAGCCCCTCCAATCCAAGCATACAATTCTAGATTCTGAGTTGAGAAGGATCTTAAAGGTCTTCGAGTCTAAATACCTACTCAATGCTTGAATTCTCTCTGTAACATGCAGCTTATATTTGAACATGTCCTGTAACATTACTTTCCAATTCCATTTTGAAAATTTCCATCTTCTTTTTACTTATCATTGTCATTTAAATGCAGTCCATGTCTCCACACTACTCATCAGTGAGTCCATGAGCAAGTAAGAACCACCCAAAAATGATAAACCCAGGAACACTCCTCTCCTTCCTGGTGATCACCCATTCCTATGCCAGGCCAGTTTCAAAGGGCCCTCTGCGTGACTTAATACTCTGCTGTTGCAGTCTTGAAATTCTTAAGTTTTTAACAAGCAACTGCATTTGCATTTTGCACTGGGCTTCACAAATTAGGTAGCTGATCTTGTTCCTAAGTCATCACCAGCACTGTCTATACCTGAGTCAGGTCCCCACCTCCTGACACCTGCTTCTAGCCATTCCAATGGGGCAACTCCACTCTCTATCTTACCAGATTAGGTTCATGATTGATTCTCTGTTCTTCATGGTTTCTGGATTTCACTCTTACTCAGTTTTGGTGGAGCAATTTCCTCAATCTGTCCCAGCTGGACCAGACCCTCACTGACACCTTACTTCCTCCCCCAGCAGAAAGAGATTTTGACCATAGCTCTCAGATAATTCTTCCTAAGCTAAATTTTGATCTGGGCCATTGATGCTCTCTCTCCTTCTTGGAGCTATGCAAAATAAATCTTTTTGATTCTTCATCTACTTTGAAGCTAGCCCTTCAAAGCAGAATGGAGGAATCACTTGATAGGGAGACATAGCTGAACTTTGGGGAAGGAGCAGGTGGCACCTGGTCATTGATGAGGGGTGAATAGAATGTGCTCAGCATGAGCTGACATTATTCTCATCTTCCTACTTTTCTTATCATACATCAGCTGAACTGATTTGGTGCCCTTTTGCTTGGATGTGGCGGACTCCATCTTTAAATGGCTGTGTCATACTACCATTAACAGGGGCGGACTCCATCTTTAAATGGCTGTGTCATACTACCATTAACAATCTAAATTCAACAATCACAAAACCAGGTGATTTGTATTGAAGACCATATCTTCCCCATAAGTACATAAATTATTCAAGCAGATCCTTTAGGTTTATGGTAGAAGGAACAGTGTAAACATGAGAATTTAACAGACTTTTTGCACATATTTAATTTGGGCTTTTATATTTCATGCCAAATTTTGAAATAATATTTAGTACTTGGCTTTCTTTTTTTTTGTTTGCAAAAGTAGCACTTGTTTTTGTAGGAAACTTAGAAAATAATTTAAAACCACAAAGGAAAATAAACATCTCTTATAGTTCTACCTACTAAAAATAACTACAGTTAACATACGGTTTAATATCTCTTTATCTTTTACCCTGAACACATACACATATATATCTTAAAAGATCATATTGATTTAACTGCAGTTAACATAGTTTAATATATTTATCTTTTACTATGAGCATATATATATATGTACACTCATATATGAACATATATACATATTACATATAAAAAGACACTATTATGAGCATTTTATGGATAGTGTTTCACATCTTACTGTTTTTAAAAAATTTTGTCAAAATGATTTTTCTATGTGATAGGATAACTAGAAAGCAAACATAGTTAAAGCCATACAGTGACACAATTGGATATTTCTGTCAAAAACAGTCAAGTCAAGAGGAAAGACATTAGAGTGATGTTCTTGTAGTTATATAGGCCAAATAGCAGGTTGATTTTCTCACTATCTACTAACACTAAAATCCACAGCCAATTGACATGCTGGTGATGTGTGATCAGAGTCAAGCCTTAGGATTTAAGTTATACATTGTTTTGATAAATACTTAGCTGCTTTGGATCCTTTTTACACCTTTCAATAAAAGAAGTTTCCTGGGGGTTTTTATTTTAAAATAAAGGGCTCAGTACAGAAGGAAAGATTTTTATCTTCTTTAATGAGTTGCAAAAACATGCAAAATAACATCCTGAGCCTGTTAAAATTAGAATTTCTAAGCCTAAAGGGGTCAGAAAAACCCAGGAATATTTTGATGCCCTGAGTTTTTTTGTTTGATTTGCCTGGAGGTACACGTTTAATAACTAAGTGCCCTTTCTTCCCCTTTTAAGCTTCTCACCTTCAAAGATTGTGCAGTATATGAATATTTGTTCCATTACTAATCTGTTCATTTAAAAATATGTTTAAAACACCTGAATCCATTATTTAGTGAATATTCTTTAAATGTGTAACTGTAGATAAAAAATCTATATTCAAAAAATAATCCTGTACACATGGATATTGATAGTCTCTCTCTCTCTCTCGCTTTCGCTCTCGTTGTCTCCCTCCCTCCCTCCCTCTCTCTCCATCTCTCTCTGTTGTGCATGTGCCACATTTTAATCATCCCTGGAGTTTTTTCAAAGCTTATACTAACAGGTATCTTCCAAAGAGTTACATGTTGTGTTTATTTTTGAAAGTGTGAAGCAACTTAACATTTGCCTTATCCCATCTATATTCCAAAATCTGTGTAGCTTAGTTGATTTTTTATGTTGCTTTTACTAACTTTACATTGGTCCTCAGATTTGATTATTTCAAAAATAGGCATGATATAAGTGGTCTACAACAGACTGTTGACAGTGAATGAACTTAAAAGCTCCTGCAATCTTCAGGATAATCATAGAACAAATGCGAACAAAAACAAAACAAAAGTTCAACATTTCTGGACATTGACTTCTGCTTTACCCTATCAGCTTCTATGAAAAACAGAAGAAAATTGAAAAATATGACAGATTAATTCTCAAACCTTGATACTGAGCATATTTCACTTGCAGAGCTCTGTTCTTTTCTCTCTACCCTTTATTGTATTCTTAATGTAAGTTTGTTTAATATAATGAGTAAAGCTGCTTTCCTCAATGTCTCTAAGACGATGCATTAAGACTTCCACACTTATTTACTAAGTGCACATTCCAAATTTATAGTTACAGATTATCACCTTGACCTCTTGCTGCCATGTATGCACTGATTCATTACATTTTTTAGACTAAGTTTTACCCAAGATACCACAGCCAGTATATCCAGATTTGAAGAGCTTGAGTTATTCTTCAAAATGCCTTGAGATTATGTTCCACTTACTCAAAACATCTCTGGATCTTATTTTGTGGAAGACAAGTTGGTGGCTTAGACTGAGCACCGGTCTGGTGCCAGGTATACCTGGCTTCAAATCCCTGTCCTTCCTTTATGACACTTGGGCCTCTTAGCATCTCTATTCCCATTTGTGAAATGGAAACACGAATGTTACATAAATAATTTGGTATAAATGATGTATGAATTATGAAGATTAAGTGAAATAATGCACACAAAGCACTTGAACTGATTAAGTGCTCAAATTGTTAGTTCCTATTATTATTACATCATTCCAGATTAGTTCGTGAGTAAGAGAGTGACCTCATTGCTTCATAGCCATATTTTATTATAGTCTTACACTACTATCCTCCAGACTTATCAGCCATTTTATTTATGAGATTTGTCTTTAAATGACTTTTTATTGTGCTTGAGAAGCAAATGTACCCTTGCATTTAAAAAATAGAAAACAAAATGTCATGAAGTTTAATGAAAACTCAAGGCATTCTGAGGCATGACTCAAACACACTCTCAAGACCAAGCATATCAATAAAGAAAATAATTGTGATATCGGAAGGTAGAAAATGGGAGTCTCCTTTAGCTACTTCAATTCTGCAGGCATTCATTGAGTACCTGTGCTTTGGCCACCTAGGTACCCAACCTCCTCCAGCAGTGTGTAAAACTCCTGGAGAGTGGAGTCCAGGTCTTTTTCAGCATTTCATCCTCAGCATTTAGGGATTATGGAGGAGAAAATTTAAGGACTTGGTCTTGGTTCAAAGGCATGCATATATATATACACACATACATACATATTTTTTTCGTAAGTTTTTTTGGGGAACAGGTGGTATTTGGTTACATGAGTAATCTCTTTAGTGGTGATTTGTGAGATTTTGGTGCACCTCTCACCTGAGCAGCACACACTGAACTCAATTTGTAGTCTTTTATACCTCACCCCCTTTTTACCCTTTCCCCCTGAGTCCCCAAAGTCCACTGTGTCATTCTTATGCCCTTACATCCTCATAGTTTAATTCCTACTATGAGTGAGAACATACGATGTTTGGCTTTCCATTCCTGAGTTACTTCACTTAGAGTAATAGTCTGCAATCTCATCCAGGTTGCTATGAATGCCATTAATTCATTCCTTTTTATGGCTGAGTAGTATTCTGTTCTATATATATAGCACAGCTTCTTTATCCACCTGTTGACTGATGGACATTTGGATTGGTTCCACATTTTTGCAATTGTGAATTGTGCTGCTATAAACATGCATGTTCAAGTAGCTTTTTTGTATAATGACTTCTTTTTCTCTGGGTAGATAACCAGTAGTGGGATTGCTGGATCAAATGGTAGTTCTACTTTTAGCTCTTTAAATCTCCACACTCTTTTCCATAATGGTTGTGCTAGTTTACATTCCTGCCAGCATAGAAGTGTTCCCTTTTCACTGCACCCATGTCAACATCTATTATTTTTTGATTTTTTTGATTATGGCCATTCCTGCAGGAGTAAGGTGGTATCACATGGTGGTTTTGATTTTGCATTTCCATGGTCATTAGTGATGTTGAGCATTTTTTCATGTTTGTTGGCCATTTGTATATCTTCTTTTCAGAATTGCCCATTCATGTCCTTAGCTCACTTTTTAATGGGATAGTTTGT
This sequence comes from Homo sapiens, assembly GCF_000001405.40. Taxonomy (NCBI): domain Eukaryota; kingdom Metazoa; phylum Chordata; class Mammalia; order Primates; family Hominidae; genus Homo; species Homo sapiens. The sequence continues at coordinate 118,021,419 of NC_000007.14, read as the reverse complement.
TTTCTTGCTAATTTGTTTGAGTTCATTGTAGATTCCGGATATAGTCCTTTGTCAGATGTATAGATTGTGAAGATTCTCTCCCACTCCATGGGTTGTCTGTTTACTCTGCTGACAGTTCCTTTTGCCATGCAAAATCTCTTTAGTTTAATTAAGTCCCAGGTATTTACCTTTGTTTTTATTGAATTTGCTTTTGGGTTCTTGTTCATGAAATCCTTGCCTAAGCCAATGTTTAGAAAGGTTTTTCCAATGTTATCTTCTAGAATTTTTATAGTTTTGGGTCTTAGATTTAAGTCCTTCATCTATCTTGAGTTGATTTTTGTATAAGATGAGAGATGAGGATCCAGTTTCATTCTCCTACATGTGGTTTGCCAATTGTCTCAGCACCATTTGTTGAGTATGGCGTCTTTTCCCCCATTTTGTTTTTGTTTGCCTTGTCAAAGATCCGTTGGCTTTAAGTATTCGGGTTTATTTCTGGGTTCTCTATTCTGTTCCATTTTCCTATGTGCCTGTTTTTATACCAGTACCATGCTGTTTTGGTGACTATGGCCTTATAGTATAGTTTGAAATCAGATAATGTGATGCCTCCAGATTTGTTCATTTTGTTTAGTCTTGCTATGGCTATGCAGGCTCTCTTTTTGGGTCCATATAAATTTTAGGATTTTTTTTCTAGTTCTGTGAAGAACGATGGTGGTATTTTCATGGGAATTGCATTGAATTTGTAGATTGCTTTTGGCAGTTTGCTCGTTTTCACAATATTGCATGAGATATGTTTCCATTTTTTGTGTCATCTATGATTTCTTTCAGCAGTATTTTGTAGGTTTCCTTGTAGAAATCTTCTACTTCCTTGGTCAGGTATATTCCCAAGGATTTTATTTTATTTTTGCAGCTATTGTAAAATGGATTGAGTTCTTGGTTTGATTCTCAGCTTAGTCATTGTTGGTGTATAGCAAAGCTACTGATTTGTGTACATTAATTTTGTATACTGAAATTTTGCTGAATTCATTTATGGGTTCTAGGAGCTTTTTGGAGGAGTTTTTAGGGTTTTCTAGGTATACAGTCATATAATAAGCAAACAAAACAGTTCGATATCCTCTTTACTGATTTGGATGCCCTTTATTTCTTTCTCTTGTCTGATCGCTCTGGCTAGGACTTCCAGTACCATGTTGAATAGAAGTGGTGAGAGTGTGCATCCTTGTCTTGTCTCAGAGGGAATGCTTTCAACTTTTCCCATTCAGTATTATGTTGTCTGTGGGTTTGTCATAGATGGCTTTTATTACATTGAGTTATATCTCTTGTATGCCAATTTTGCTGAGGGTTTTAATCATAAAGAAATGCTGGATTTTGTCAAATGCTTTTTCTGCATCTATTAAGATGATCATGTGATTTTTGTTCTTAATTCTGTTTATATGGTATATCACATTTATTGACTTGCATATCTTAAACCATCCCTGCATCCCTGGTATGAAACTGACTTGATCATGGTGGATTATATTTTTAATATGTTGTTGGGTTTGGTAAGCTAGTACTTTGTTAAGGATTTTTGTATCTATGTTCATCAGGGATATTGGTGTGTAGTATTCTTTTTTGGCTATGTCCTTTCCTGGTTTTGGGATTATGGTGATACTGGTTTCATATAATTATTTAGGGAGGATTCCCTCTTTCTCTATCTTGTGGAATAGTGTCAATAGGATTGCTACCAATTCTTTTTTGAATGTGTGGTAGATTTCAGCTGTGAACTCATCTGGTCCAGGACGTTTTTGTTGTTGTTGGCAATTTTTAAATTACCATTTCAAACTTGCTGCTTGTTATTGGTTCGTTTAGGATATCTAATTCTTCCTGCTTTACGGTAGGAGGATTAAATCTTTCCAGGAATTTATCCATCTCCTCTAGATTTTTTAGTTTATGCACTTAAAGGTGTTCATAGTAGCCTTGAATGAGTTTTTGTATTTCTGTGGTGTCAGTTGTAGTATCTCCCATTTCATTTCTAATTGAGTTTATTTGGATTTTCTCTCTTTTTTTCTTGGTTAATCTTGCTAATGGTCTATCAATGTTATTTATCTTTTCAAAGAACCAGCTTTTTGTTTCATTTATCTTTTGTATTTTTTTATTTCAGTTCCATTTAATTCTGCTCTGATCTTGGTTATTTCCTTTCTTCTGCTGGGTTTGGGTTTGATATGTTCTTGTTTCTCTAGTTCCTTGAGGCATGAACTTAGATTGTCTATTTGTGCTCTTTCAGACTTTTTGATGGAGGCATTTAGGGCTATGAGTTTCCTCTTAGCACCATCTTTTCTGTATCCCAGAGGTTTTGATAGGTTTGATAGGTTGAACTGTTGTCGTTCATTTCGAAGAATGTTTTAATTTCCATCTTGATTTCATTGTTGATCCAATGACCATTCAAGAGCAAGTTATTTAATTTCCACATATTTGCATGGTTTTGAAGGTTCCTTTTGGAGTTGATTTCCAGTTTTATTCCACTGTGGTCTGAGAGAGTACATGATATAATTTCAATTTTCTTAAATTTATTGAGACTTGTTTTGTGGCCTATCATATGGTCTATCTTGGAGAAAGTTCCATGAGCTGATGAATAGAATGTATATTCTGCAGTTATTGGGTAGAATGTTCTGTAAATATCTGTTAAATCAATTTGTTCCAGGGTATAGTTTAAATTTTTGTTTCTTTGTTGACTTTCTGCCTTGGTGACCTGTCTAGGGCTGTCATTGGAATATTGAAGTTTCCCACTCTTATTATGTTGCTGTCTATCTCATTTCTTAGGTCTAGCAGTAATTGTTTTATAAATTTGGGAGCTCTGGTGTCAGGTGCATATATAGTTAGGATTGTCATATTTTCCTTTTGATCAAGGCCCTTTATCATTATATAATGTCCCTCTTTGTCTCTTTTAACTGCTGTTGCTTTAAAGTTTGTTTTGTCTGATATAATAATAGCTACTCCTACTGGCTTTTGGTGTCCATTTGCATGGAATGTCTTTTTCCACCCCTTTAAGTTAAATTCATGTGAGTCCTTATGTGTTAGATGAGTTTCTTGATGACAGCAGATAGTTCATTGGTGAATTCTTATCTATTCTACACCTTTTAAGTGCAGCATGTCGGCCATTTACATTCAATGCTAGTATTGAGATATGAGGTACTATTCCATCCATCGTGCTATTTGTTGCCTGTATACCTTGGTTTTTTTTTATTGTATTTTTGTTTTACAGGTCCTGTGAGATTTATGCTTTAAAGAGGTTCTGTTTTGATGTGTTCCTAGGATTTGGTCCAAGATTTAGAGCTCCTTTTAGCAGTTCTTGTAGTGCTGGCTTGGTACTTGTTACTTCTCGTAGCATTTGTTTGTCTGAAAAAAACTCTTTTCTTCATGTATGAAGGTTAGTTTTGCTGGATACAAAATTCCTGGCTGATAATTGCTTTGTTTAAGGAAGCTGAAGATAGGGCCCAATCCCTTCTAGCTTGTAGGGTTTCTGCTGAGAAATCTGCTGTTAATCTGATAGGTTTTCCTTTATAGGTTACCTGGCACTTTTGCCTCACAGTTCTTAAGATGGTCTTAACTTTAGATAACTTGATGACAATGGGCCTATGCGATGATCTTTTTGCAATGAATTTCCCAAGCATTCTTTGAGCTTCTTGTATTTGGATGTCTAGGTCTCTAGCAAGGCCAGGGAAGTTTTCCTCAATTATTCCCCCAAATATGATTTCCAAACTTTTAGATTTCTCTTATTTCTCAGGAACACCAATTATTCTTAGTTTGGTCATTTAACGTAATCCCAAACTTCTTCGAGGCTTTGTTCACTTTTTCTTACTCTTTTTTCTTTGTCTTTGTTGGATTGGGTTAATTCAAAACCTTGTCTTTGAGCTCTGAAGTTCTTTCTATCCTTGTTCAGTTCTATTGCTGAGACTTTCCAGAGCATTTTGCATTTCTCTAAGTGCATCCATTATTTTCTGAAGTGTTGATTGTTTATTTATGCTATCTATTTCACTGAAGATTTCTCCCCTCATTTCTTGTATCATGTTTTTGATTTCCTTAAATTGGACTTCACCTTTCTCTGGCACCTCCTTGTTTAGCTTAATAACTGACCTTCTGAATTATTTTTCAGGTAAATCAGGGATTTCCTCTTGGTTTGGCCTATCGCCGGTGAGCTAATGTGATTTTCAGGGGTGTCAAAGAGCCTTGTTTTATCATATTACCAGAATTGTTTTTCTGATTCTTTCTCATTTGGGTAGCCTATGTCAGAGTGAAAGTCTAGAGCTCAAGGTTGCTGTTCAGATTCTTTTGTCCCACGGGGTGTTCTCTTGGTGTAGTACTCTCCCCGTTTTCCTAGAGACATGGTTTCCTGAGAGCTTCTGGATCTAGCCACCCAGCAGGTCTACCAGGCTCTGGAGTTGTACTGAGGGTTGTCTGCACAGAGTCCTATGATCAGAACCATCTGCAGGTCTCGCAGCCATGGATCCTAGCATCTGCTCCAGTAGATGTGGAAGGGGAGTGAAATGGACTCTGTGAGGGTTCTTAGTTTTGGTTTTTTAATACACTATTTTTGTGCTGGTTGGCCTCCTGCCAGGAGATGGCACTTTGAAGAGAGCATCAGCTGTGGTAGTATAGGGAGGAACCAGCGGTGGGCAGGGCCCTAGAGCTCCCAAGAGAATATGCCCTTTGTCTTCAGCTACCATGGTGGGTAGGGAAGGACCATCAGGTGGGGCAGGGCAAGGTGTGTCTTAGTTCAGACTCTCTTTGGGCAGGTCTCGCTGCAGCTGAGTATTTGGGATGTCTTCCAGTTCCTGCAAGAGCAATCCGCTTCCTTCAGAGGGTCTGGGGTTCTCTTGGCTTTCCTGGTTTATTCCTGCAGTAATTCTGGAGCAAAAGTTTGAGATGCGAGTCTCCACACACTGCTGTATCTGCCTGCATGGGAGCTGCAATCTAGTCCTGCCTCTTGCCTGCCATGATCCTGGGGGTTTTATCTTAAAGGCATTTTTCTATTCAGATAAAAAGAGAGAGAGCACCAACAATTATTTAGAGATTTTGATGGGGTAATGAGTGGTAACTACAAGAAAGGAGCAATATCTCTGACCTACTCTCAGCAGAGCCTACTTTCTAGGAAAACATTCACTAGTGTTGATGAACTTCAGAGTCTATTGTGACAATGGTGCAGATCTGGGTTGGGCTACCCATGTGAGAATTTTGGGATATATGTCACAGACCAACTTAAAGGAGGAATGAACCCACAAAGCTGGCATCTTGTGAACCATGAATCAAGCTAACATCTGTCAGTCTTCAAAGATTGAGCCTACTAATTGCCCAGCACTGAAAAAGGCTATAGGAGATAGAAAAGTATAACTTATAGTCATCACTTTCAGCCATATAGCAGTTTCTCACCTTTATTATCTTTTCTGTTAGGTAGTCTCGACTAACAGGCTTTCTATCTATGCAATGAGGATATTTCCAGCTCACTCACCTGCCATTTTAATGACTTTTCTCTGAATATTCTGATCCTCTCACTCAGTTTTCCCTAAATCCCAGCTTCACACCTACAAAATGCCCCTGTGACTTCAGAGCAAATTTCAGTGACTTTCATCACTACCAACAGAGCTGGTTAATAGCGAAGATGAAAAGTGGGAAAAGGTAAAAACACACCCCACAACATACATGTGTCTACAAAAGTTGTCTAATTTATCTCACTAACTTTTAGTGTTCCATTTGTGCTTTGCAACGTCTTTTGTATTTATTAACAATGTTTATAAACATTAAATTAATAATACAAAGTTAATGAACATTAACATCCAAGAGAATGCCAAGCAAGTGGAGAAACTTAGATGCCCCCATTACAGAACATTAACAGCACTGGAGTTGCTTTAGATGTGGCAGCTGCAAATGAACCGTTGCTTCCAATCTGCAGTATTTTTCAGTCCCCAAGTGAAAATAAACATGCCACTTGAAAAAATAAGATCGGTATTATAGCAGGGTAAATTAGAGTGGCTATTAGTATATTAATTGAATACCAGATGGAAAAGCAAAACAAACAATTGCCTGCCAGTCTCTACAGGAAATGTCTTCTAAATATTTTAGAAGAAATTCTAAAACAACATGTGGTGGTGAGGTATATGGGTATATATTTTCAGTTACCCTGAGCTTACTAGTGACCAAAATAGCCCGTGAAGTCGGAAATTGTAGAAAATTCTGCCAGCAATTTAATTGGGAGTGACCTTTTCAGATGACAAAATGGATATTAAGTTTTTGGTGTAATTGTTATTAGTTTAATTATCCTGGAAGTGTATTGTCTTTCTTGCCTTGTGCAAAACTATACACTGTGGCCACATTGGTCATGGTGGAAGATGAGTGCAATTCCAGGGGCCCAGAAGCTGGTGGGTGAGTCCCTGGCCAGGGACTTTAAAGTCCTTCCTCTAAGCTGTCTGCACTGTCCCCACCCACAAATGAAGTATGTGAATGATAAAGTGTCTAACAGCCCACAATTTAGCAGCGACTATAAACATCGCTTAAATCAGCCACGTGCTATAAAATGTGTTCAAACATAAGAAAGCATTTCTGAGACCTTGCTTAGTTCTATAGGGAATTGTTCTTTTTTAATTTTTTTTCAGTGTATTGTTTTCTAAAGTATAAAAGACTTTTTGTACAATAAAAAATACTCTTGGAGGTGTTATGTCCCTACGGATGTCTTACTTATTTTAATATAGACTTTCAAATGTTAAAGCTGGTTTACAATCATTCTTTGTTAAACTGAATTATTCATCAAACTTGATTGAACATATATTATGTATCTGGTAAGTTGGGCACAGAGATGGATAAGGACACCTTCTCTGCCCTGATGGAGTTCCCAGGTGAGGGCAAGGCCAGTTGTCTTTCCCAATCGCTGTGATGCAATGAGATAAGAGCAGTAATATGGATATGGAAGATGTGCTTCAGGTGGGCTGCAGGTGAGAGAACATTTGACTGTGCCTGGGAAGGTTAGCGGGAAGCCCGAGAGTAGCCCTGAAGGCCAAATAAGAATTCTCTTTGAAAGGGAGATCTTTCAAAGGAGAGAAGCTAGTCTAACTTTTTGGCATCTTTCAGCTCTTGCCTTTCCCAAATGTCTTCTGAAAATCTACTGCTACTTGAGGCTTCCAAGCAGGATTAGATACACTCCTAGGTTGTCTCTTGACCATCACTCATAGCTATCATCATTCTGTGTTTTAATCATTTGCTTCTTGGTACCCCCTCTAGGTATTATTTTTCTAGGAGTATCAAAATTACTCATTGTGGAATCCCTAGCCCAATGCCTGGCTATATAGTAGCAACTCATCAATGTTAAATAAAACAATGTTTGAGATAATCTAACATGATACGAATGCAGGGGACATGGTGGTCTGAGTCAGATTGCAGTGGGACTTATGTACACTGCTACATGATGTTGCAGACCTTATTATGTGTTGGACAGCAGAGATTCAATGTCTGCTTTGAGTAGTAAAGTAGAATGGTGCTTCTGGTGGCAGGGTGGGGTGTGGGTTGGAATGGAGAGTGGCTGCCAGCTGGGAGATGTGTCCCTGATCTCCCTCTCTGAGTGGACAAACACAGTGGGTAGAGACTGGAGCACACCAACCTACAGCCTGGTTTGGGACTGGGGTTTGGGGGTGGTGCAGGGAGAGGACAGGTTTTGAATAGTAACATCCTGTGGGATTTCTAAGTTAGTCACCAAGCTGGCAACTGAATCTAGGTTACTGAGTTCCAGAACATGAAGTGGAGGCATGGGAAGGCCAAGAATAGGAGGTCAGGAAGTGAGGACTGACAGAATCCCCCACACTGAGCAGCACATGGCCACCAATTGTCATTTATTGGATGTGGCTTGCAGTTAATTGGTGGTGAAAGATAGGTGAGTAGAGAGGGAAGAAAAGAGAAATCAAAAAAGATCTTAGTTAGGGTAACTGGGTGAGTGCTGACGCATTAACAGGCTAGGGAAGGAAAGCGGAGGAACAGCAGCAGCTTGCCAGAGCCACAATAGGAATGTGCAGCAGGGAGAGAGAGGGGCAGGTGGCAGATAGCAAATGATTTTTGTTGAGTTCCAGTTGGGGAACTTAGAAGAAAACTAAGATTTTGCATTGTGTTTGAAAGTTAATCTACACAAATCACTTTTTGTCTTTGCAAAAGTAGCTTTTTATGAACAGAAATGCCTTTAGCTACATTTCTAATTCTAAGAGAGACTGTTCAATTTTTCTTATACTAATTTAGTTTATTAGAATCAGATAAGGGAGGTCTGAGTCAGTGAATTTAGCATCCCAAGGTTGGTGAATAAGATCAACATCCCAGGGCAAATGGTTTAAACATTTAAGTAAACTTTTTTTTTTCTACAACAAATATTTTCTTCAGATTCCTATGATAAACATGGATAGTCCCAAGATTATAAGTTAGCAGAACTTGGAACCACCTACAAAAACCATTCATTGTAAGAAGAAAGAAAATAGACTTAAATCAAAACCTAATTTTATAATGAAAAGATCTAGAATAAGTGTAAACTTAAGATACATTTTATAACTGATATGTAAATATTCTCAAATCTTCTCTCTTATCTTTCTAAACAAAATGTATTTGTTAAACCAATGCTTTGCATTTTCAAAATTACTTTTATCAACACCTTTTTAAACTTTCTCTCAATTATTTTTGCCAAAATAATTATGACCCATGAATTTTAATAGAATTTTACAGTTTTGTCAATTAGCTTAGCCAAGGATATTTGAGGCTTATCATACTTTTGTCATACTGAGTGAAATGTTCTGTTACTCTGCTTCTTTTTCTTACAGTTTTTCTTTTTTCCTCCTAGCTCAGAATAGGAGTACTCACCGCTGTGCCAGAGAGTATGAAAAGTCCCAGGAAGAGCTTGTCATTTTTTTCCTAGAGTATACTTTTTACTTGAGGAACTTGAGGGTTGCAAAATGGGTGGGGGAAGGAGGCTAAGTAATTTAACACATTTTTATATTAAAATAAAATATGCTATATTATGCTAGAATGAAAATTCACGTGAACTTATACACATTAAAAAAGAACAGCAACACAAGGCCTCAAACAGCCATTATGCTGGCTGCCAGCATATCAGCTTCTCACTTCATCTCTTGGTGAGACTTCATGCTTTCCAAAGATGGTCTCACACATGGGGTATTTATACTCATCACTCTGGGTGCTGTTCTAAACAGGCCTCAAGAAGATGGTACGACAACCCAAAGTAGTGCTACACTCTATGTGCACCACCTCACTCCTACCACCTCTTCCTGATAGAGTCTGAGCACCTATGAAGATACAGTGCTTACCTTACCGCATAACAGTTACTGCATGTCTGTCTGAAGTGGCAGTGCCTTGTGAGCAGGTGTGTCCCCCTCCCCAAATCATTTCCTCTATCCCCACTTCCTAGCTCCTGTCACAAAGTATTCAATAAATGTGTGTCAAGGGAATGGGTGAATGAATGAATGAATGCATGAGTGAGTCTTCAGAACTATCCAGGACAGACCACAATTCACATACTCACACACAGAACAGTCTGATAATGACCCTGGGGTCAGCCTCATGTTTAGTCTGAGGTGAGACTGATGACACTGTGAGGTGACACACTAGCTGCAGAATTACCAGGGAGCAAATCTCATCATCAGGGGCAGAGACAAGGAGGGTCTCCTGGGAAATCAAATCTTGATCCAATAACCAAGGAAACTAGATTTGTTATATTAACGAAGTGTATATACTGACGCAAACTCGCTGCAAGGAGAGACCCTGTCAGAAGATTTTCCACTCTTCTGGCAGCTAAGACAAAAGAGCAGAAAAAAATAATACCATAAAAAGATGTGCTTCGAATACTGTCTATTGACCACAACTGAATTGCTCTTTTGCAGTCAACGCATTTGTCATCATTCCAGTAACCATTGTGTCCAAATAGATTACATCATTAAGATCATAAGAATATCAACTCATCTTTGCCACATCCCATTTTATCAGGCATTCAGACATGGTCTGAGAATTAGTGGGTTTTGTAAATGGTAAAAAAAAATGAACTGACAATGAAAATAAAGTGAGTTTTGCTCACAGACAATAAACCTAAACTATGCGGCAGTTGACTATTGCAAAGCTTGAAAGAGAAGGGGATTTCATTCATTCAACAGATATTGAAATGCTATATAGATGCCAAGCACAGTATTTCAAGCACAATAAAAGGCAAGATAAAAATATGAGTAAAAGGCCAAATAAACATAAAAATATTTTCCTTTCAACAATGTGTCAAGAAATCTGAAGTGTGTATAACATATTTTGTTGTTTGTACATTTACAATAGATATCATAGTAGGTGTTTAATAAATGATGTAGTAGCTATATACCTCCCTAAAGTATGAATGTGGACATTTTCCCTATCCACTCTGCACTCTTCTGATGAAGCCTCTCCTAATAAGGAGGCATCGGCGCAGTGATAGAGAAGTGACTTTTACACTCCTTTTGCAAATTTGAGTTGCAGACAGAACAAGGATGGACAATGACCTTAGTATGCCTTGGTTGGTATCCTACTTTCACCAGTTACTAGCTGTATGATTTTTGGGCAAAGTATTTGAGCTCTGTATGGCTTAGTTTCTTCATTAATAAGTAGAAACAGTCTGTTTATCATCCCACTGATAATGGTTTCGGTATTTGTCCCACCCACATCTCATGTTGAAATGTGGTCCCCAGTGTTGGAGGTGGGGCCTGGTGGGAGGTATCTGGGTCATGGGGGTGGACACCTCATGGCTTGATGCTGTCCTCATGGCTTGATGCTGTCCTCATGATAGTTCTGGTTGTTTAAGAGTGTGTGGCACCTCCCTGCTCTCTCTCTTGCTTCCACTCTTGTCATGTGATGTGTGTGCTCCCGCTTCACCTTCCATCATGAGTAAAAGCTCCCTAAGGCCTCTCAAGAAGCTAAGCTGATGCCAACGCCATGCTTCCTGTACAGACTGTGGAAACCTCTTTTCTTTGTAAATTACCTAGTCTCAGGCATTTCTTTATAGCAATGCAAGAATGGCCTTACACACCCACCTACCTTCTTATGGTTATAATGATGAACTGAGATGATCTATATAAAATGCTCAGAGCAGTTCTTGGCACACAGAGTATATGCAATAAAGCCAAACAATTATTTACCTGGAATCCTGGCAGACGGAAACATTTGACTGAATAGATAAAAACAGTTTACTCGGAAGTGGATTTAAAAACAAACAAACAAAAAAAAAAACAAATAGAAAATATTCTGGAATGGGAAGTTAAGTCCAGAATGGAAAGAGCTCAAATCCACAAATGTCACTGGGCATTTGTTATGTCCACAACATTGCACAAAGTGCTAAGAGGATGCAAATGGCCCAAAGGCTCATTTCTGTCCTGCAGAAAGATTTCATTTGGAGCAACAAGACAATAACAGATGGAAATAGTTAAATAGTAAAAGACTGAAACAACCATTTAAGGCCCGCAATCAAAGAAATGTCACAATATTTTTTTTTAAATCTGTGGAATTCCAGAGTTAAATTACTTATATCATAATTTAAACTTAAATATGTATAGCCATAAACAAGGTATACTCCATATGCTTATAGTTCTTAATAGCTATGAAGCCAAAACATATTTATAAATTAAATATAACAAAATATTTATATTTTGTTATATAACAAACCACATATTCCAGTTAACAATGATCAGTGTAATGTGGTAATACTGTTTTACTAAGGCTAAATTGCCCCTTTCAGGATGAATGCAGTGTTGACTCCATGGCACCAGTTCTTTTGAGTTTGACATGCTCGTACAACTGTGTGCTGAGTAATGACATCATTCTCCAAGTGCTTTTTCTTTTTGAATGGTGAATGGTCATTTCTTTCTAGCATGTAGAATACCTTACTCTCATTTAGCTTTCACTTAATGCAAGAGCATCATTTGCATATTGTCTGCCTATGTTCTTTTCTTAATTAGCTTGTTACAATTAAAGTGGTACTAATCAGGACCAAAACAGTCATACGCACAAATGGACAGTGAAAATATTAGGCAGTTCTCAGTCATAAGGTATTCATCAAGTGATCCAGAGCATGCTTATAATATTTTTTAGATTATCATGGAAATGAAACATGCAGATAGTCACCTACAAATTCTCATAGAGAACTAATGGTACCTGAGAATAGGTTTGAGGTTGAGAAAGGCCACAGTAAACAGTTAATTTCCAAGTGGATTTTACAAACAGGCAATATAAGTGCTATAGAAATTGAAAGAAGGAATGAAGGAATGAGCATTTTGTGTTTAGGTGATGAATGAGGTAGGGCTTGTGGAAAAGACAAGACTTTGGAATATGATAATTATTGTGGTATAGGACACATTTAGGCATGCTCTTGGAGACAAGTACCTGGGTGATGGGAAGTGTGGTCCTACCTAAATAGAGATCTTAATTTTTGATCTGTGGATTTCTTTTCCTTTCTTTCTTTCTTTCTTATTTTTTTTTTTTGGCTGGGCTGGGGGTGGCGGGGGGGAGCATATAGATGAGGTCTTGTCATGTTGCCAGGGCTAGTCTGGTCTCAAACTCCTGGGCTCAAGTGATCCTCCTGTCTTGGCCTCCCAAAGTGCTGGGACCACAGGCCTGAGCCACCACACCTAGTCTGGATTTCTTAAATAGCACACAGAATTTATATGACACAGTAAAGAGAAAGACTGCAGGACAATGTGATGTTGGGAGAATTACGTTTGTAGGAGGGTATCTTAATGAAGCGCATAAAGGATTTAGGTTTTCTCGCCTGTGGAACTGTTAGACAATGGCTCTGGCTGATTCATAAGTAGTTTATATTAGGAGAAACCTTTGTGTTTAAGGGAGAATCCTTGATATGACAAGAAGTGTTACACATTTATTAGACCCAACTAACTTTGACCTATCCTTGTTATTAACCAAATAAGAGAATGTTTGCTTCCAGAATGCAGGTCCAAGTTACCCTTTACTAAGTTCCTATTTATCTAGCATATGTTGAAAGTTTTAAAGCCAATAAGAATACTTAAGTACTATATATTCACAATGCAGAATTCTTACACTAAGGGGATATATCTGCTGAGTAACTGTAGAAGATTGCTCACAGGTGTTTCCTATGAGCTGAATTGTGTTCTCCTGCAAAATTCATGTGTTGGAGCCCTAACCCCCAATGTGATTGTATATGGAGATAGGGTCTTTAGGAGGTAATTAAAGTTAAAAGGTCATAAGGGTGGGGCCCTAAACCTATAGGATTGGTGGCCTTATAGGAAGAGAAAGAGAGAGAGAAAGAGATCTCCCCCAGCCATGTGAGCACACAGCAAGAAAGCAGCTGTCTGCAAACCAAAATGAGGGCCCTCACCAGAAAACAACCATGCTGGCACTCTGATCTCAGACTTCCAGCCTCCGGAACTGTGAGAAAATTTCTGTTGTTTAAGTCACCCAGTCTACAGTATTTTGTTATGGCAGCCTGTGCTGGCTAATACAGTGTTAAACAAAACACTGATCTTCCTTCTGATCAGTGCTGTTTTCACTTATTTCATTTTCTTCACACATACTTTTGTCTAGTAAAAAGGCTTCCAAATTGACAGTATGGATGATGGTATGGTAATTTTGCCTGGTTTGTTTTCATTTCACATTGTCTTATGAAGGCAAGAAATTACATTCCAACTGACCTCTAGAATGTTATTTGCAGTACAGTTTTCTAGGCTGCAAAAATGTGTTTTCACTGGTGAAACCTGATTCTTGTTTCTGGCACAGTTTGCAAAATTGCTCCAGGTGCCAGGTGAGTTCTTTCACTCAGGAGGAAAATAAATTTCACAGGTTTTATTTTGCATGTAAAATCTAATTCATGCCTCTAAAAACAATAAGATATGGAGCCTAACTATAGTCTATCAAGGGTATGAGATGGGAATGAACATCAGTGGAAACCAAATTTGTAAAAGAAAAGAAAACAGCTGAAACAGAAGCTTTTAGCTGATTTAAATTCTCCTTATTACATTCCCAGGCGTCTGTCTGAACAGCAGAATAAAATTCATGACTATGGAAATTGGAAGAACACAAGTGTGGGGCATGCTCTTCTGTGTGCTTTCACGGAGGGGTTGTCACAGGTTTAACTGACCTTTTATCCTGCTGTGGGCTGTCACGGGTCTATCAGAGGAGGAGTCTTCCAAGCACAAACCACAGGAACTTTGTGGAGGAGGAGGGCCAGCGCTCTCTTGGAAGGCAAACAGCTCTGAAGCTCTGGATGCTTTGCCCAGTATCACCTTTAACACATTTCAATTCACTTCGTTACAAACAACTTAACCGTCACAGAGGTGACCTTTCAACCTTGGGTTCAGATTGTTTTTGGAATTCAAAACAGGTCAATAGTGTGCAGTTTCCATCCTCTTAAAGCAAGAGGCCTTTGGCTCCTAGCCTCAGAGGGCATTCCTGATGATGTGCTTTAGGTTAGGGTCAATGATGATGTGGCAAAAGGTGAGTGTTTTCGTAGGAATGAAATTTAGTCCATAAGCTAAGTTCCTATTGCATTGCAAGTTGAAACAGCTCCCTTGGATGAGGTTCTGTCTCATTCTGGGGCCATCTTTAGTTCGAGGCATGAATTGGGGGGTGGTAGCTGGTACAGTTTGTCCTCTCTCTTTACTGGTGTTCAGGTTGATCTTTCCTATCTAAGTTACAGTAGTGTCCACTCAGGAACCCATTCCAAGGCTGCTTGGGTCTGGCTTTCTCTGAGTTCATTATGGTGACCCTCTCAGGGGCATGGCCCGTGCTGCTGTGGCTCTGAAGCACAGGGCTGTGAACAGGTTTGTGGCCCTTCATAGTCCTCATCAACTTTGTGCTATGCCTAAGCATACAGGAACTATTCCCCTGCTCCTGGCTTTGGAAGGAGGTTCTAGAGGACTGTGCAGGCACATCACCAGGGTATTTCTATTCTCAGGTCTTGCTGCTTCTCTGATTCTATATTGGAAGATGGGTATGGTTCCCCTCTGAATTCAGATCCAGAAACTCATCTATGTCTTCTCTTTCTGCCCCATCTCTGGACTTGCAGTTCACAATCCCAGCCAAACTCCAACGCTTAGTAACACATGATAGCCACTCATTATTCACCTCCTCTCTGTCTCTCCTTGCCCTCAGCCCTAGAAAACCACCCATCTTGCTGGGTTCTCCATTACTGAGTCTATTTAGAGTCGAGTTTTTTGCTAGTCAAAGCCTCTTTCTGTATATTTTGTAAAAGTACCCTTCCCTGATGCATAAATGCCTCATAATTTATCTGATGAATTATCGTCTCATTGTATTATTCTGCTTATGTTCAATCTTTCAAATGGATAAAGTTGATACCATCTTTCAAAGTAACTCAAATGAATATCCCAAGTATCCTTTAAAATGCCATTTCATTTTCTGGGAAAAGAGAAGAAGAGCTGGCCATCAGTACAATTATAGCACTGATCATACTCATCCTCAGTATTCATTGTCTCCTGTACCCTACTTCTCCTGTAGAATTCCCAGGCTCCCATTAAGACCTAGTTCCCTCTCCTCTTGTGGTTTCTCTCCTCTTCTCATCCACGGGTTGTTGTACTACAGAGCAATGCCTACTTTATCCAGAACCCTCAGCTAATGATGTGCTCCACGCTGACATTAATTTTTCAGGCAACTGAAGCTTACCTGTTGAACAGAAAACTTTTTAAAGTTGTAATGGCTTTGAATAGAAACTTTCTCAAACTCCTTTGCACTGTTTCCTATCTGTGAAAATACGAATTTAAATTCCCGTCTCTTTCTCTTGTAATATATTAAATCAATAACCATTCAATAAACATACAATGAGCATCCCTTATGTGACAGACTCAGACATACTCAAAGATGAATACAATAAATGCCCTTCCCTTTAAGGAGCCTACAGTCCAATTAGGATGAGGATGCTGAAGACAAATTCCTAAAGTCCAGGGCAAGAGAGGCTAGACCTGAGCTGTGAACAGGGCAGGGATAGGCATCTGTGAGACACAGAAGAGAAATGACTGCCAAAATGGGTGAGGAGGTGCCAGGATAGGCTTCTCAGAGGACTGGTAATCTTTATTAGGGATTCTGTTCTTCGGGGGAAGTCCAGACGGTCTGCAGTTTGAGTTCTTCTGTCTGGTCATTATGGTGCTTGCATTTTCCCCTCCTGCAGCCAGACTGTCAGCTGTCAGGACTTGCTACCGACAGTGTGCTTGCTCCCTACCAGCCTCTTCTAATTTGCATTTTTAATCATCTAACAACCAAGGCTTAGAGCCAAGCTCCTTAGAACCAGGGCTGCCTTTGTGTAAATAGGCTCTCAGCAAGTCTCCCACAGGCTCTGCTAGGATAACGGGCAAGAGGGTTGATTGCTTATTTCCATTGGATTATTTTGATTGCTTTGTGCTCTGTCCTGATTCTTAGGTTGCTTGTGCATTTGGTGGATAAACAACCTCTAAGAAAAATGAGGAGTCATTATAGGTTCATAATAGGAGGGGGTGAGGAGAAGGGTTTATTTTTTTTATTCCACAGTAATGCTTCCTTCCACCATTTTTTTTGTTCCAATAAAAAATAAAACCAAACACTTGGTTTGGTGTCTAGAAGTTCTCTGAAATATAATGGTTTGAAATTTCAATAAAATCATGATTTGTTGTTGAAGAATAGTGATTATACTCTCCTCTCTTTTCAAAACATCCTATAACAAAAATTAAAGGCCATCCAGCATAGTATAAAACAGGGTTCTCATCAAAAAAGCACTTACTAGCTATTATTCTTGCATGATTCTATGCAAAGATGTTCCTATGCATATAGCCCTCACCAAATATTTATTAAAGTGAATTGAATTAAATCTTCTTACCTTCTAGAGATCTAGTATAAATGAATACAGCTAACATGGCATGAATGATATCCACATTTACATTATGAATTGTACATGGAGTGTTTTCACAGCCCTGAGTTGCAGACATGCATGGAATTTGGCATACTTAAGTGTTCAGTAATATCACTTTTTACTAGTCTGTGAGGGATTCTAAGGTGAAATTGGACTTGAAGTCATATCTGAATGAAGCAGGGAGCACTTCTTTGTTAAGAAGATGAAAGGAATGTGTTGGGGAAGGGTGGCACTTCAGGGAGGCAGGGAGGCCGAGTGCTCTGGAGAAGGCCTAGAAGCTCCTGCAGGAAGGACAGACTGACCAGTCCTCAATGTTGTGATGTGTAGCACATTTTCAACTTAAAGAAAGCTGGGCTGCCAATACAAATCAAAAAAGTAATTTCTTGTTTTATACCTTCCCACTACAGATACCAACATTCTCAGGGCAGAGTGGGAGTTGGGGGGAGTCTATATGTTATTTTCAGAAGAATTCAGCCACCTGTAGAATACAACTGACTATTCTTAAAATTCCCGGGAAGTGGAAGCTGACTTTTCTGAAGGTGAGTTTGATGTGTGGCTTTTCTCTGAGTTGTGGGGCTGCTTGATGTTAGATGCTGATAGAGTGGGGAGGTAAGAGAATGCACAGTGGAGGAAGCAAAGAGGCTTTTCATGTCTGGAAATGCCTCATGTGAAACTTTAGGAGAGCATTTTCCGGGAACATCTGCCATGGAAGGAAGGGTGCCTCTCCATGGAGGCAGGATGCAGAGAGAGGGGTGCTTCAAACAGAGCCTCTGCTAGTCACTTCCTCAGCAGCTTGAGCTGTGATAGGGAACTGTGTGGGGGTGAGAAACAGACCCTGCAAGGCTCAAAGCCAGACAAGAGGAAGCTAAGTCAAAGCAGAGTCTGTTTTCTGTTTCCTTGTAATCATTTGCTTTGTTGAAAGCAAACCAGGCTGAGGATCCAGTTAGGATTTGTGATTTAGTTGGTTGGGAAATATCATTAGCATTTCTGAGGAATGTTGCCTCTTTACAACCACCTGAAACATTAACCAGCATGAAGAACTTAGGAACCAGATACTAAGGAACATGAAATGAAATCAAGACACCTTTTCATCTTAAAAGACACCTGGGTTGAGCAGGCAGAAACATGGTATATCTCTGGACCAGAAGAACTGTTGCTGGAGATAGCTGAGTTGATCAGGTAAAGAAGAGCCAGGTGATAAACAGGCAGGATATGTCCACTCATGAGGCTCCCTGTGTTAACCCCTGATCTTCTTACTTCCCCAGGCAGAGGGGCTTGGGAACACAGCACTGCTCCCTAATCTCCCTCACAACCATGTCTTTGTAATGAGTAATCAGGAACATCGCACTCAGCCAACTGATTTAGAGTACAAGAAACTACTTTGGTACAGGTGAGAAATCCCAGGGTAGCAGACTACAAACAGGTCAGCATATGACAGGTTCTTGCTTGGCACCACTAGATGCGTGATTTATTTTTACCCCACCATACTCCTCTGTCCTTGAGCAATCATCTCTACCTTGATGGTGTAAGGAAAGCAGACTTTCTGCTTAGCACATTCTGCCCCCGAGTCAGGCTGAAACTGCTCTCTCTAGGTCCTTCTCTAGCATCCTAAGCCAGATGCTCTAGTTCACCTGGTCCTCATGCCTTCGAGTCTCTAGAAAGTTTTGTTTCTAGGAACTGAATCTAATTCAGCTTTTTAATCTACTCGCTTTCAACCTTTGCTTTAATGAACCCAACTCCCTTCTGTAGGCACTGGTCTTTTTTCATTATTCACTTTTTTTTCCTAGTCTGCTTCACTTTGGCTTCATACTCTCATTTCCTCCCCAGAGCCTTTCCTTGTACCCTGTAAATTTAAAACAAGAGTACACCTGTAACACACAAGACATAGGAGAGGTAGATGTTCATCACAAAGATAGTGGGGGAGTCAATGAAACAAACCAGTTCTTGGTAGTCAACTGCAAAACATTTATGAATGAGGTGTTGACATGGAACCCAAGAACTGTAGAACTGGAAAACAAATTGTCTTTCTAACCATGGTCTAATATTTGATCCCTCTCTTTAAATGTCCCCTCCAAAATGTCATTTAGCCTATGCTTGAATACCTTAAGTGACTGGGAACTCATTACCTTCAATTATGCTTGTTTGATATTTGGGGAGCTCTGGAAGAATAGTCGTTTATAGATAGCTGATATGTGTCTCTCTGTGGCTTCTGTATTTTGGTCTTTGAGAGTTGAGTGTGGAATCCCGGAGAAGGGGCAAGATCCTTTTCTTCACCTTACTGGATGTAGGAGATGGGACCTTCTTTAGGAAATAGGTGAATGAATCAATGAACGCCAACAAGTGAGGAAAGGAACTGAGAGGCTCTTTGGGAATCTAGCCCAGGCTCCTATTATAAGACAGGGGCAGGCTGCCTGTTACCAAAGGTATACGTTATTAAAATTTCTGCTGCTATGGGCTGAGTGTTTATGCCCCCTAAAAATTCATATATGGAAACTCCAATCCCCAATGTGATGGTATTTGGGGAAAGGGGCCTTTAGGAGATAATTAGGTCATGAGGGTGGAGCCTGTGTGATGGGATTAGTGCACTTATAGGAACAGACACAAGAAAACTTGCTTCCCATCTCTCTCTGTTCCCCACCATATGAGAAGCAAGAAGTCAGCCATCTATCTAAAAACCAGGAAGAGAGCCCTCATCAAGAACCTGACAATGCTGGCACCCTGGTCTCAAACTTCCAGCCTCCAGAACTGTGAACAGGAAATATTTGCTTTTCAAGCCATCCAGTCTGTGGTATTTTTGTTATAGAAACCCAAATGGTTACGACTACAATAGCTGCTTTGTTGGAACATTTTCTAACTTGTATTACCTTTACTTTTAGTTGAGTTAGAAATTAGTTACGTTAGGGACCTAATTTCAGTGTTAAACAACTGACTATGGTGCCTAAAGCACATAAGTGTCTATTTTTATCCTCATGCAACAAGAAGTCCAGAGGTAATGCAGGTGTTTGTTACTGGCATGGGCACTGAGGCACACGGATGTCAGGACAGGATCTCTGCCACTCTCTGGGCCTTTCCATGGTGATTCCAGGATGAATGCTGAAGCTCCAACCGCTTCATCTATATTTCAGGCAGAAAAGAGGCATAAACGAGATGGTGCTTATATCAGGGAAGCAAAGCTTACCCAGGTATCCTCAGCTGACATCCTTTTGGCTAGAATTATGTCTGCAGTCATGCTTAATTGCAAGAGAAGCTGGGAAATGTCATTTTTTTCAACCGGAGACATTGCCTAGCCCCTACAAAATGGGGTTCTGTTAATAACAGGAAAAGTGAAAAGGCCAGTTGGATAGGCAACTAGCAGTTTTTAAGTGTATTAATAGATGTATGTCCTCACTATTAAAACCCTATGTAGCATTCCTTATACATGCCTGTACTCTTACAGGCAACAGAATCAGCTCTCACTAGTATAAGCAAACTAGAGTTGATTAAAGAATGTTAGGTAGTTCACAGACTTCTCTGGGAGGGCCAGAAAAACAAGCTTGTATGCAGTCAGCTACGGAAACAAGTATGAAAAATGCTCAGTTGCCTCACAGGATTTTTATTGCTAAAAGGCTGCTGCCACCCCCCCTTCTCTGTACCCGCAACCTAACACGCTAGGACTAGATACTGGAAACTCCACCATGGCTGCCACAAAGGAAGCAAATCCCCCTGTACCTGCCTGCTTGGAGAGCCTCTCTCTCCTCACATTGCTCACTTCCACATCACTGTCTCTCCCAGGTGGATTGCACGGAGGACTGAAATGTAGTCCTAAGCTTTCCAGCTTCTCAAGTACACGGAGCCAGACTAATCAGGGGTTGGGATTGGTGCTGAATGAGCCAACCTGGTGTATCTATCACTATGCCTTTAAAACAGGAGGAACCAAAAGACCTACTTATGCTTTATCAAGGACTGATCAATAGTTTCCCATGGCTCTGAGATATGGTGGCAGAAAAAAAAAAAAAAAGGCTTCGTCTGGAAAAGAATGGTTTACTGTGAAAGAAAGAGAATGACACAATTTTTCCAATTCTATTTCTTGCTTTTGCATTACATGCTGCATTTTTGTAAAGATAACAGATGGGAATCCTATATTCATTAAAAAGAAAAAAGAACTCTTCATCAGCTAGTGTTTTAAATAAGGGAAATATGTAGTATTTATTGCTACCCTTTGAAGACCCTTTAAAGGTTTAATTAACACCAAATGTGTTATTCCATCTGCTTAAATAAGTAGGCCACATGGTCACGAGGCCTCTCATTGCAGGCTGGTAAACTGATCCATGGGGTCATCTTGGTTTGAATAGAAAAACTTCAATTAAAAATATCCCATAAATTACCAAAAAGTTATCTTCATTTTAAAGATTTATTTAAAAATAGCTTATACACACACACACACACACACACACACACACACACACACACACACAGATATGACCAAAATTCAAAATGGCCAAATACATGCATGTTTGAATTCAACAGTGCAATGGTTCATGTTTTTGTGTTGACATGACTTTTTAAAAAAAACACTTTTCTGGTATTTTAAATTTCATGGAATGCTTTCACATGTCACTGTATGATTCTCTCTGTCCTGTGAGGTAAGACAGAATAGATAGTATTTTCTCTAATTAAAGATAATAAAATAAAGGCTCAGAGAGATCTAGTGATTTACCCTGGCCCAAAAAGTTCAAAAGAGACTTGCCTGACCCTATAACATAATTTTTTTATTTCTATCCTGGCACTCTATCCAGCAATGAAAGCTTAATCATCAAAGGAAGAATCTTTCCATCTTTAGAAGGATTATTTTACACCAACTAGACTTGATTAGGTTAGATCTGAAATATAATACGTGGTAGAAAAGTGACTTTAATAACCTGGCAGTATGACAAAGTGGTTATGACTATTGGGAGGAGACAGACAAATGTGGGATTGAAGTCCCATTTCAGCCACTGAGTGACCTTGAGCAAGTAAGAACTTAATCTCTACAGACGCAATTTTCTCATTCATATATAGAGGATATAAAGAAAACCTACTCATACAGAAATGCAACACACATTCTGTATTCCCTAGAAAATCAAATCACTCTTGCTATATATTACTATATATTAATATTGCTATAATACATTGAGGCTTATTTATTCAAAAAAATCAAATGCCTTTTGTGTAAGGACTATTTGTTCTAGACACTGAAGATACAAAGATTAATAAAATAAATTCCCACCCCTATGGCACCAAAGAGAATGTGGCCAACTTGGGTTAAGTGCATGCTTGTGTGTGTGTGTGTGTGTGTGTGTGTGTGTGTGTGTGTGTAGTGGGGGAGTACTAGAAAGTCTCTATAGATGATTTATTCCTTGAGCCAAGTTTTGAAAGTTTGACTGTATTTGTCTCCCTAGAGTCCTGTCATCATTATCTTATCAGTTTATGGGAAAAGCGAAAAACTGGCACATAAAGCAACCTACTGAAAATATTTAAAGCCTCTTATAAAAGAGGCTGAAGGGAGCACTCTAGTGCCATTTTTGCCCTTCTGTGCCTTCTGCCATGTGAAGATGAAGTGTTCAAGCTGACACCTTAGAAGCAGGGAGGGGGGGCCTCACCAGATGCCAACCCTGACAGAGCCTTCATCTTGGACTTTCCAGCATCCAGAACTGTGAAAAATAAATGTCTATTATTTATGAATTACTCCATCTCAGGTATTTTGTTGTAGCAGTACAAACAGTCTGAGATAGTCTATTATGCTGTTTATACAATGCACTTAGGAAAGTCAGGTATTATTTCCATTATATCGGTGAAAAAACTGAGGCCTGGAGAAGGTCAGGCTTCTTCAGATTCACTCAAGCTAAGAGCCAGTTCAGGCACTGAGCTAAATGCTTGAGACAGATATAAACAAGAAAAAATTCCTACCCTGTGGAGCTGAGAATTTCACCATTGCACTCACGGGTAGACATGTCGGTTAACCACATATGAGGTTTGTTATAACTTAGGGGCACAATTTAATTTATATATCTGATCATGTATATTAATGACCATTTTATTTTTTTCCAATTTTTATGTCAAATACACTGGGAAAAACAAGGCATATTTTATTTCCGATGCTGTTAAAGTATTTTCTTGACAATGCCAATTATTGGTTTGCATTTTTGACATTTTTGTTTATTGAGTCATAGTCTACCTTAGACCACACACTTTCACAGATCTTAAGTATGCTGATCTTAAGTGTTCCTTCAATGCATTTTTTACAAATGTATATACCCACTTTGCAATCACCCAAATCAAAATATAGAACACTTCCTTAGCCTCAAAATGTTTCCTCATGGTCTTATCCAGTCAGTCCTTCATTGTCCCCTCTCCAGAGACAACAACTGTCCTGATTTTTAGCTTTGAACTATAGATTCGTTTTGCCTGTTCCTGAACTTCATTTAGATGAAACCACAGAGTATGAATTTTTTTGCTCAACATATCTATGAGAATCAAACATGCTGTGGCTTGTGTCAGTAATTCCTTTTTATTGCTGAGTCATGTTCTAATATAAAATATTAGTCGTGTTCTAGTATAAAATTTTATGGTTCTTTATAGACATTCTCCTGTTGAGGGACACTTGAATTATTTCCATTTCGGGGCTATTAGGAATAGGGTGAGCATGAACATTCCCATAATAGGTCTTTTTGTAGAAATCTGTATCCATTTCTTGTGGACATATACTCTAGGAATAGAATTGCTGTGTCAAATGTGGTTTAAATAAAAGGAGTATTACTAATAATATCAACACAGCTAGTTCTCAATTAATTGTATTAATGTGCTTATACAGACCACAAGTAGATAGTCTAAAGCAGCCAAAAATTCCAGATGATTTTAGATTTCGATTTGGAACTTTCTCAGAGTGTTTGGGTTTGTTTTCTCTAACCCAAGCCTAGAAGTGATGAGTTAGAAATCATCTTGCATTTTATTTAGCATTAAAAAAAAGTTAGCCCACGATCAAAATTTGTCAAAGAAAATATGTATGGATGCATGAGAATTAACCACCATTTCTTATCACCAATAACAATAACTATTTGCCACTTAGGCTAAATTTAGTAAGTTTTGTGCATTGGAAGGAGTTATTAGGTGTGAATATAGCTAAAAAGAAAACTTTTTATTCCATTCAGAGCTTTAATGAGACAATACTCACATTCTCCCCCCCAAAGATAGAATACATTGTTGTTAGTTTGAAATATTTATCCATTTGTTCCTTTCCTTTTCCACATTTTGGTTGTAGACACCTTATGTTTTCTAACCAAAATGTCTTCTTACTCGTTTCATTCAACAAATAACTTTTTAGTATCCACTATGAGCAAGGCTCTGTAGCACATTCTGAAACTAAAGCATCAATGAAAGATGGAAAAAATGTCTTCCATCTCATGAAGATTTCAATTTAGTGGAAATAAACATTAAGCAACTAATTACACAATTATCAAAATAAAATTGTAATAAGCCCTATAAAGTATAATATGTTAAAGGAGCATTTAATAGGACTGTGAAATAAGACCAGAGAGGTGAGCAGGAGTCCATATGAGCAGCTCCATCTTCATTCTCAGAGCAATCAGAAGCCACCGAAGTAAACAGAGGAATGGCATAGTTGGAGCTGGACTTTTAAAGGTTTACTCTGGCTGCAGAGTAAAAACCTAAAAAACCTAGAAAATAAATGAAGAATTGTTCTGGTGACTTTCTGGGCATCACACTTCATTGCCACGTTCCACCATGCTCAAGGCCAGGAGTCCATTGTCTTCATGCTGCCCCAGCCCACCTAGTAGGGCTTGCCCTTCCAGAACTACGCTGATTCTTCTGCATCAGAGCCCATCCAGGTGAAGGGACCTAAAGTGACCTAAACAGCTTTAAGCTATGGCTTTAATGGCAGAGAGCAGACAAAGATGTTACCACTATCCCTCACCCCTTTTCCTTTGCCCCAAATAGAGTAGAAATCTTGCTTCAGTAAAAAGGAGTGAGAAAATGGGAACGTTTAGTCATCGAGGTCAGCCCAGCTGGAAAGATGTTTTGAATATAGGGCATCAGGATGTTCATCGTGCCATAAATTCTGTCAAAATAAACTGATGAGGTATTTAATATACAACTTATGGTCCTGGAATGTGTTTCTTTGTTAGTCATTCTAGGAGGATTTGAGTGGCAGGATCAGTTTCCATAGTGAATGTTCATCATACAACTTTCTACCTAGTCTTCACACCACACTTGAAGACAAGTGGCACATTTCAGGGCATGTACAAATTCCATTTGTGATGCTGCACAGGGCATCTGCTTTGCCTCATTATTATAAGTAAGGACAGCCCATGTATTAGTTCATTTTCATGCTGCTGATGAAGACATACCCGAAACTGGGAACAAAAAAAGGTTAATTGGACTTACAGTTCCACATGGCTGAGGAGGCCTCAGAATCATGGCGGGAGGTGAAAGGCTCTTCTTACATGGCAGCCGCAAGAGAAAATGAGGAAGAAGCAAAAGGGGAAACCCCTGGAAAACCCATCAGATCTCGTGAGACTTATTCAAGATCATGAGACTAGCACAGGAAAGACTGGCCCCCGTGATTCAATTACCTCCTCCTGGGTTCCTCCCACAACACATGGGAATTCTGGGAGATATAATTCAAGTTGAGATTTTGGTGGGGACACAGCCAAACCATATCATTCCACCCTTGACCCCTCCAAATCTCATGTCCTCACATTTCAAAACCAATCATGCCTTCCCAACAGTCCCCCAAAGTCTTAACTCATTTCAGCATTAACCCAAAAGTCCACAGTCCAAAGTAGCATCTGAAACAAGGCAAGTCCCTTCTGCCTATGAGCCTATAAAATCAAAAGCAAGCTAGTTACTTCCTAGATACAATTAGGGTACAGGTATTAGGTAAATACAGCCGTTCCAAATGGGATAAATTGGCCAAAACAAAGGGGTTACAGGGCCCATGCAAGTCTGAAATCCAGCAGGGCAGTCAAATCTTAAAGCTCCTTTAAAATGATCTCCTTTGACTCCAGGTCTCACATCCAGGTCATGCTGATGCGAAAGCGGGGTTCACATTGTCTTGGGCAGCTCCACCCCTGTGGCTTTACAGGGTACAGACTCACTCCTCACTGCTTTCACAGGCTGGTGTTGAGTATCTGTGGCTTTTCCAGATGCATAGTGCAAGCTGTCAGTGGATCTACCATTCTGGGATCTGGAGGGCAGTGGCCCTCTTCTCACAGCTCCACTAAGTGGTGCCCCAGTAGGGACCCTGTGTGAGGGCTCTGACCCCACATTTCCCTTCTGCACTGCCCTAGCAAAGTTTCTCCATGAGGGCCCTGCCCCTTCAGTAAACTTTTGCCTGGGCATCCAGGAATTTCCATACATCTTCTGAAACCTAGGCAGAGGTTCTCAAACCTCAATTCTTGACTTCTGTGCACCCACATGCTCAACAGCACACGGAAGCTGCCAAGGCTTGGGGCTTCCACCCTCTGAAGCCACAGCCTGAGCTATACATTGGCCCCTTTCAGCCATGGCTGGAGCAGCTGGGACAGAGGGCACCAAGTCCTTAGGCTGCACAAAGCACAGGGTCCTTGGGCCCAGCCCACTAAACCACTTTTTCCTCCTGGGTCTCTGAGCCTGTGATGGGAGGGGCTGCCGGGAAGTTCACTGACGTGGCCTGGAGATATTTCCCCTATGGTCTTGGGGATTAACATTAGGCTCCTTGCTACTTATGCAAATTTCTGCAGCTGGTTGGAATTTCTCCCCAGAAAATGGGTTTTTCTTTTCTATCACATTGTCAGGCTGCAAATTTTCAAAACTTTTATGCTGTTTCCTTTCTAAAACTAAATGCATTTAACAGCACCCAAGTTACCTCTTGAATGCTTTGCTGCTTAGAAATTTTTTCCACCAGATACCCTAAATCATCTCTCCCAAGTCCAAAGTTCCATAAATCTCTAGGGCAGGGGCAAAATGCTACCAGTCTCTTTGCTAAAACATAACAAGAGTCACCTTTGCTCCAGTTCCCAGTAAGTTTCTCATCTCTTTTTAAGACCACCTCAGCCTGAATTTTATTTTCCATATCACTATCAGCATTTTGGGCAAAGCCATTCAACAAGTCTCTAGGAAGTTGCAAACTTTCCCACATTTTCCTGTCTTTTTCTGAGCCCTTCAATCTGTTCCAACCTTTGCCTGTTACCCAGTTCCAAAGTCACTTCCACATTTTCAGGTATCTTTTCAGCAATGCCCCACTCTACCAGTAACAATTTACTGTATTAGTTCATTTTCACACTGCTGATGAAGACATACCTGAAACTGGGAACAAAAAAAAGGTTTAATTGGACTTACAATTCCACATGGCTGGGGAGGCCTCAGAATCATGGCGGGAGGTGAAAGGCTCTTCTTACATGGTGGTGGCAAGAGAAAATGAGGGAGAAGCAAAAGCAGAAACCCCGAATAAACCCATCAGATCTTGTGAGACTTACTCACTATCATGAGAATAGCACAGGAAAGACCAGCCCCATGATTCAATTACCTCCCCCTAGGTCCTTCCCACAGCACATGGGAATTCTAGGAGATACAATTCAAGTTGAGATTTTGGAGAGGACACAGCCAAACCATATCAGCCCATGATTGTATTTGTGATCTCAATCTCATTTTCTCTGCCTGGATCTTTTCCTTTTTTTCCCCATCCCCCTCAAGGTTTTGAAATGATTTATCTATGTTAAGCTAATCCTCAGTAACATTAGAAGATGGAAACAAGAATCAGAGAAGGAGATAGCCAGGAAGAAATTTACCCAAACTGTAATTATCCTCCTGCCTTTTAAAGGAGTGACTACAGCTGAGAATTTCAACCACTGAGGACAAGAAGGGGAGGGAGGAGATCATCTTTGCTAAGCAAGTCCTTGCTGTGTCCTTCAAAAGCTGCTGCTGCTGCCCCTACAGGAAAGCCATTGAAATGCACACCAATTAGGACCCTGTGATCTGGAAGGAAAGCTCTCCAGAGCACCCCTGGGCAAGGGAGGAGATTGCAGGCACAGCCATTTCAGCCAATGTAAAGCTGTAGCATTATTTCTTTCTAGGGTCTGGGAGAGTGATTCATTATAGAGAATAATAACAGAAACAAGTCTGAGCTACAGAATTAGCATCCACCCCCAGCAGCAGCTTTTGGTTTGTTAGAAACTCTATCCAAGGGAAGGCATAATTCACTTCTAAGCAGCTTGAACTAATATCATTGTTTCTGTCTAGCTTATATATCAACTTCACACTAGAATTAGAGGAGATTATATTTTCTTTTTTTCTCTAGCAAGCCAATCATGACAGGTCTCCCAGTGTCTGAGCATTCTCAGCATGATAAAATGTGTAAGAGTGGAGAAGGATGCACCTTGCATTCTGAGGGTGGTGAGGTTTCCAGATGGTGCTAGGGAGGAGGTGCAGATAATAGCAACACTGGGCTTCTAGCAGAAGACTGTTCACATGCAATGCATGGAAGCTCATCCAAGAAAAGGTAGGCATCCCCTAATTTGACTGGGCAACTCATTAGTGACCCACTCACTGGGAAATTAAAGGAAAACAAATGTATGGTTAATCTGTTACCAATAAAATCTAATAAATAGCCTCTCCACTTTGTCACCTTTGAATTAGAGGTGCAAGTCATGGAAGTGAAAATAGCACACTTGTCAAAACACTCAGTGCTATAGTGACAGGAACGAAATAAATGAGGCTGAGAAAGAGAGTTGCTGGGGCAGCAGTTCAGAAAATCACACTATTTTTTGCTCTTCTATCTCTGCTATGACATAATTTCTCAATGAGGGCTAGTAGAACAAATTTATCCTGAGGTCCTAGTAGAAAGATGTGCATTGAAATCAAATCATGTGCATTCAATTCTGCAAGAAAAAGTCATTCCTTCATTGTATCATTTATGTAATTTATTCATTTGTTGATTATGATTATTACTGATTATTCATTTGCTGATTCAAATATCTATTACACCTTCTAGGTCAAAGACACTGCAGAATATCTGGATACCAAAGAATAACCCTCAGGGACTTTATTCTAGACTAGCAGTTCTTAAATTTTAGCATTCCTCAGAATCACAAGGAGAGATTCTAATTCAAGGTGGCCTGAGGTGAGCCAGGGAATTTGCCTTTATAACACATTCACAGATGATGTCGATACTGTTGTTTGGGGACCACACTTTGAGAACCAATGGTCCACAGCAGTGGTTTTCAATCTTGTCTGCTCATTAAAATCACCCAAGGAGCTATTAAAATTCTTGATGACCAGTCTGCAACTCCAGAACACACAAATCAAAATATCTTGAGTATAACCTAGACACTCATATTTTAAAGGCTTTGAGAACCAGTGGCATTCTGGGAGAGACAGACAAACCAGAAAACCAGCTGGTAGTTATAGTGGAATCAAAGGGCAATGGTGGCACCTGGAAATGAGAGCCTAGGATGATTAGGAAAGACCATTCTGTTGACCTGAAGCAAAAGACAACAAAAATGTCATGAACCATGGAATGAATACTTCAGGTGGAAGAACCAGCAAGTGCAAAGGCCGTAAGACTGGAGAAATTTACATACTTAAGAGATTGAGAATGGGCTAGCATGGGGCTGGATCACCTTGAGTGAACTCCAGAGTTGCCAGGTTGTATCTGTAGAAGTAAGCAGTGATATGGAGACTTGTAGGCCATGACCAAAGTTTGAGGAAGAGTAGGAAGCCATTCACTAATCAGATTTACATTCCAAGAGTGCCCAGGGATGAGCATAAATTAAGAGGAAATGTGGACATCTCTAGGTCTAGAATTAAGTGTTTAAAACAACTTTTTCTAGATCTTCATCTCCTGATGCCTAGATAACATTTTCATCTCAAATGGAGGATGCAAGAAAAGATGAGTGAAGATCGTACTTGGGATAGAGGGAAGGGAGGTGAGTCTCCCATGCCTGGTCTTGAGAGTCCTTTCAATCTTTTCTCCTATACCTGAGCTCTGAACCTTACCATAGAGTGCCTCTCCTCTCTCCACCTTCAATGCTAATAAAATTTCTACCAAGTTCTGAAGGAAGCATTACCTGAAAACCTTAATTTTATTTTGTGGCACTCTGAACCTTTCAGTTTAGATTTCTTGGAGAGGCCTCAGAGAATAAAAATGATCATTATTAGGATGAGAGACTTACAAGGAGAAAGACAAGAAGCTTAAACTCTCAACTCCCAAAAAGGCATACTCAAATCAATGGTGTGAATGAGTTCCAACCCACATTGCCTTCTCAGTATCTAAGCAAAACCAGTGTACACATATACTAAGTGAAATAGGCACAATGAATTATTCAGTTTCTAAGTACTTGCCTATTTAGTGTCTTCAAGCCAATAGAGAAATTCTTTGGAAAGAGAGTAGAGAAGTTCCCCTTGAAGTACAAAGGGAACTTTCAATAATTCCTTGTCCTTTTCTGGCAATGCAGTATCCAACATTTTCAACTGCAATGAACTCTCTAATTTGTTTTTCCACTGGAGCTTTGTACTACTCTACTGGTATGATCAATATTCTTTTCAGATTTGGAATCAAGACCTGAACTTGAGGCTAGTTGTTTGTTGTAGTCAGTTGTTTGACTCCAAGGCATAAAGCTCCACAAATAACTCTATGATTCATGTAGCTGAGATATTAGAAGCTCATCCACATCCTGACACAGACCCCAAACTCCAGCAGTACTGAAACACTGGCTGTTTCCTAAACATTAAAGGGAGAGGGACAGAAACGGGATTCTGCCCCATCTCCCTATTCTGCCCCACCCTCCACAATCACTCTTATTTGTCCTTTAGATATGGTTCATGGTTTAGATTCCTCTAGATACCTTCCCTTGTCCCTTTACACCCCTTCAAGTCAGATAGTTTCCTTCTCAGATTCTCCCTTGTATTGCAAAAACATCCTGTGCCTATGCCTATGACAGAATTCATTTCACTGTAATGTAATTTCACTCTAATGATATTCTTGTCTGTCTCTGCTACTAGACCATGTGCTCATGGAAGACAAGTACTAGGTATTGTTCACTTTTTACATATCTACTGCCCAATATATTCTAGATATGCAAATATCACAATAAATAAATAAAAGAGGAGAACTGTGAATTAGTTAGGATAATAAATAATGGACATTAATTTATGTATTATTAGAAATGCTACATAAACTTTTTCAACAGTTTTATCACTGATGGCAAACTTTTTCATTATGTTCTTAGTCTAAAATTAAATGCTTAGATACTACAGTTGACCCTTGAACAAGTTCGAGGGTTAGAAGTACTGACCCTCACACAGTCAAAAATCCATACATAACTTTTGACTCCCCCCAAATTTAACTACCAATAACCTACTGTTGGCTGGAAGTTTTACTGATAACATAAAAAGTCAATTAACACATATTTTATGTGTTATATGTGTTATACACTGTGTTCTTACAATGAAGAAAGGTAGAGAAAAGCAAATGTTATTAAGAAAGTCATAAGGAAGAGAAAATATATTTATTATTCATTAAGTGGAAGTGAATCATTATAAAATTCTTTATCTTCACTGTCTTTCTATTGAGTAGGCTAACAAAGAAGAGGAAGGGTTGGTCCCACTCTCTCAGGGGTAGCAGAGGCAGAAATCCATGTATCCATGTATAAGTGGACCCATACAGTTCAAACTCATGTTGTTCAAGAGTCAACTGTATACGTTTATTATCAAAAGTTTAATTCAATACAAAAAAGATGAATTAAGTCCTTATGTGTCAGATATTTTGGTAGACACTGGGGAAACAAAGACTAATGACACATACCCCTGCACTCGGAACAAATAGGTGAATTAAAACATGCATAGACAATGCCAGGAACATCAGGAAGAATATGGTATTCTGAAAAAACTGCTTGTCCTTTGCTGCCAATGCAACATCTAACATTTGCACAAAGATAGGAGGGGTCAGAAGAATCTGGGCTTCAAAAACTTCCCAGAAGAGGTGACACCTGAGCAGGTGATGGCAAGAATGGGGAAAGGGCAGGGTATTGTGGATCAGGGACATACTTGCTGACAGAGGGCTTTCTGTCTTGCATCTTGGATTTGCCATAGAAAATCCATCAGTATCATAGTAACAATGCCCAGAAGCCCATTCAGATATTTTGGGAAATGTCTCATCTCTCCAATCTCTCCTTTTTACAATTACCTCTTTCCTCTCACGACCCAACCATGCTCAATTTTCTCCTATCCTTAAAAATGAAATAAGTATCAGTGAAATTGTTCCCTGGCTCTTAAAGTATAAGAAATGCCACATTATTTTTCTAAATCAAATTAATTTCAACTGGAGGCCTCACTATCAAAGTTGGGGAGAAGTCCAATACCGGTCATTAGGTGCAGCTCCCTCTCCCACCTCAGGTCTAGAGGACTGGGTGGTCCATTCACAAGCCAGTGCCTCCACTAATGGCAGCACTCTTTCCTTGCTCAGCTTAGCCGAGCTAAGCTGAAGACTCAGCTTCTCAAGGCCTCAGTTCTTAGTGCTCATCCCTTATGTTGGCTCCACCATCTTAGGATGTTGCAACTCCCTTTCTAACTTTCAAGAATCAATATCTCCTTGAAGTTAGAGTGCCTTCCTTCATGTAACCCTCAAAGAATAAAACTTTCAAATGTAGTTATTGACCCACCTGAATCAGAATTACCTGGAGTGGTTGTTAAGATGAAGATACCAACATCACCTCAGGCCTATGCCTGCAGAATCTCCCTGTGGAATCTGAGCAAACCTGCCCTCAGTGATTTCTCTGGGTGATTCTTCAGGATCCACTAACCTATATTCTGACCACCAAAGCCTGTTCTCCCTCCACCCTCTCCAACTATTATTTTATTATCATATACTCACATACACGTCTATTTCTTTTCTGTGGGCAAAAATCTTGAATCTGGGTCAGACAGACTGTCTTGAGATAGTTGATATCAGCAAGGGAAAAAGACATGATATTTCTCCTATGATGAGCATGTGGTAGAAAACAAACAAACAATAACTACAAAAACAAAACCAAGAACCCAAAGCGCCAATAGATTTCTTAGCAAGTCAATCCATAATAGGAAAGTATGTAAACCTCTCTTGACCTTCATCTCTCCTCCCCCAATCCCACACCATCTCCTTCTCTCCATACCCAAACTTTTAGAAAGAATAATTTATACTCACTCTCTTCACTTGAATTCACTCCTTAATTCATCTCAGTCTGTCTTCTGATCCATTACGGGGTCTCGGAGTGAAAGAAGAGGCTGTCCACCTTTGAAGGAGTCATATGAGCCATAAAAATGACCATCTCAATGGAAATCATAATGAACTAAAGACTAGAGCCCCTTCCATCAATTTTAGGACAAGATGTAAGCCTCAAAGAATTCACTAGGGAATATTCCGCATTCCTGAATTGACATTTTTAAACCACTCTGTCAATAAGAGGTTCTGAAGTAAATGTAATCATTTAATTCAATGTAGAAAAATAAAGCAATGTGATATTTTTATTTCCAAGCATTTATGAAGTAAGGCTCATATTCAAAACAGTGGTAGGTGCTATAATATGCATAATGCACATTTGAGAGTCAAAAGAAAGTTGTCACCTCTGTCTTCTTAATAGAGAAAAGGAAAGCTTCAAAAAAAAAGTCACTTGGGGCAGTCATTAAAATACACCTGTTCACTATTGAACTCCTGGTTGGAAAATTTATTGTTCTTTTTTTGTTGCTTATCATTCCTGTCTTCACTACAGCATTCGTTATATCTTATCCCACTTCTCATCTTTTCACTACCTGACATTCTTTCCTCTGTTCATTTTTATGACGCCAGTATCTCTTATAAGCACTTTCCTAAATTATATCAACCATCCTCTTCTCTTCTAAAGCTGTATTATTTCAAAATAATTTTGTCTAAAAGTATGGACTTCTCTAACACCTGTACAATGATTCTCAAATCTATATGCCTAGCTCAGCTGACTTCATTCATGACCCAAGTATTCACCCAGTCACCAAGCCAGAAACCCGGAACTCAGCCAAGACTCACTCCTTCCATCCAATCGGTCACCAAATCCTGGCATTCATCTTCGAACTATAGCTTGAATTTATTACTTCCTCTGTTGCCACTACCACTGACTTGCTTAATTTTTTTTTTTTTTTCTGAGACGGAAACCGTTCTCCCTCTGTTGCCTAGACTGGAGTGCAGTGACACAATCTTGGTTCACTGCAACCTCCACCTCCTGGGTAAGGAATTCTCCTGCTTCAGCCTCCTGAGTAGCTGGGACCACAGGTGCCTGCCACCACACCAGGCTAATTTTTTATTTTTAGTAGAGATGAGGTTTCACTATGTTGACCAGGCTGGTCTTGAACTTCTGACCTCATGATCCACCCACCTCAGCCTCCCAAAGTGCTGGGATTACAGGATTGAGCCATCACGCCTGGCCTTGCTTCATGTTTTCATCATTTCTCTCCTTATCTGCTGAAGTTCCTCCCTAATTCATCTTGCTAATTCCAGACTTGATTTGTTTCCAACACATTTCCATGCCAGTGCTAGTTATTCATTTATTAAGTAAAAATTGAATGTTGTAAGTCCCTTTTTTAAAAGGCTTACTTGCTGCTGTATTTCTCAAGACTCTTAGTTGCATCAAGAGAAATGCATTTCAAACTGGCTTCTACAAAAATGGGAATTTGCTGGCTCAGGTAACTGGAAAGTCCAGAGGTAGAAGCACACATCCAGCTGCAATGGACAACAGGATTCCCTCCCTCTGCACCCTTTACTTTGTTTTGTTTCTGTTGACTTTATTCCTAGGTAGGCGCTCCAAAGTGGTAGCAAAATGAGTAAGAGCAGCTCTAAAATTAACATTTCCACCATTTTAATTCTCTAGCAAAAAGAGAGTACCTCTTTCCCAATATTTCCAATTTAATATAGGGGTTGTCTTATTGGCCTATCTTAGGTCACATGAACATCCCTGTGGTAGAGAGAATAACGGCCCCCAAAGAAGCCAATGTTTAAGTCCCCAGAATATCTTACCTTACATGGCAAAAGGAACTTTGCAGATGTGATTAAGTCAAGGATCTTGAGATTCGAAGATTTTCCTGGATAATTCAGAAGGGCCCAATGTAATCACATAATCCTTGTAAGAGGAAGGCAGGGAGGTAACAGTCATAGTAGGAGACTTTATGACAGAAGCAGAGATCAGAGAAAGATCTGAAAGATACCCAGAGCCAGAAGGAATACAGCCCTGCTGACACCTTGATTTGGGGGCTTCGGACCTCCAGGACTATAAGATAATAAATTTATATTTATATTTAAGCTATTAAATTTGTGTTAATTGGTTACAGTTAACAATAGGGAAATAATACAACCCCTGAGCCAATTACTCTGGTTAGTATAATGCAATTTGACTGGCCAAGCCTAAGTCATACGTCCATGAAGTTAGAATTGTTCGATTCACGCAAACCTGATAGCCAATGTGGGGGATGTATGGTTCTCCAGGGAAAGTCAGAGTGTAGTTACCTTCAAAGAAAACAGATGCCTGACATGTAAAAATAACAAATGTCCTTTACAGACCTTCATTGTCTTCCAGGTAAAGATTCTCGGCTGGGTGTGGTGGCTCACACCTGTAATCCCAACACTTTGGGAGGCCGAGGTGAGTGGATCACCTGAGGTCGGGAGTTTGAGACCAGCCTGACCAACATGGGGAAACCCCATCTCGATTAAAAATACAAAATTAGCCAGGTGTGGTGGTGTGGTGCATGCCTGTAATCCCAGCTACTTGGGAGGCTGAGGCAGGAGAATTGCCTGAACATGGGAGGCAGAAGTTGCGGAGAGCCAAGAGCACACCATTGCACTCCAGCCTGGGCAACAAGAGCGGAAACTCCATCTCAAAAAAAAAAAAAAAAGAAAGAAAGAAAGAAAGATTCTCAGTGAGACAGAGATAAGCAATGGCACTTAAAATCTGATCTTCTTTTTTTTTAATTTTTTTTATTTATTTTATTTTATTATTATTGTACTTTAAGTTTTAGGGTACATGTGCACAATGTGCAGGTTAGTTACATATGTATACATGTGCCATGCTGGTGTGCTGCACCCATTAACTTGTCATTTAGCATTAGGTATATCTCCTAATGCTATCCCTCCCCCCTCCCCGCAACCCCACAACAGTCCCCAGAGTGTGTTGTTCCCCTTCCTGTGTCCATGTGTTCTCATTGTTCAATTCCCACCTATGAGTGAGAACATGCAGTGTTTGGTTTTTTGTCCTTGCAACAGTTTACTGAGAATGATGATTTCCAGTTTCATCCATGTCCCTACGAAGGACATGAACTCATCATTTTTTATGGCTGCATAGTATTCCATGGTGTATATGTGCCACATTTTCTTAATCCAGTCTATCATTGTTGGACATTTGGGTTGGTTCCAAGTCTTTGCTCTTGTGAATAGTGCCGCAATAAACATACATGTGCATGTGTCTTTATAGCAGCATGATTTATAATCCTTTGGGTATATACCCAATAATGGGATGGCTGGGTCAAATGGTATTTCTAGTTCTAGATCCCTGAGGAATCGCCACACTGACTTCCACAATGGTTGAACTAGTTTACAGTCCCACCAACAGTGTAAAAGTGTTCCTATTTCTCCACATCCTCTCCAGCACCTGTTGTTTCCTGACATTTTAAAGATTGCCATTCTAATTGGTGTGAGATGGTATCTCATAGTGGTTTTGATTTGCATTTCTCTGATGGCCAGTGATGGTGAGCATTTTTTCATGTGTTTTTTGGCTGCATAAATGTCTTCTTTTGAGAAGTGTCTGTTCATGTCCTTCACCCACTTTTTGATGGGGTTGTTTGTTTTTTTCTTGTAAATTTATTTGATTTCATTTTCCCTATTTAATAAATGCTGCTGGGAAAACTGGCTAGCCATATGTAGAAAGCTGAAACTGGATCCCTTCCTTACACCTTATACAAAAATTAATTCAAGATGGATTAAAGACTTAAATGTTAGACCTAAAACCATAAAAACCGTAGAAGAAAACCTAGGCATTACCATTCAGGACATAGGCATGGGCAAGGACTTCATGTCTAAAACACTAAAAGCAATGGCAACAAAAGCCAAAATTGACAAATGAGATCTAATTAAACTGAAGAGCTTCTGCACAGCAAAAGAAACTACCATCAGAGTGAACAGGCAACCTACAAAATGGGAGAAAATTTTCGCAACCTACTCATCTGACAAAGCGCTAATATCCAGAATCTGATTCTTCTTTCTCTACTATTTTCTTGTTCCTCTTTTATTTCCTCCACCTGGATATCCCTTCCTTCATTCTTCACCTAACTCTTTCTTGTCCTTGAAGGCAACTCAGGCATCACCTCTTCCAAGAAGCCTTCCTGGATAGTCTGAGCTACGTGATCCTCCTCTGTGCTCTCGGCATACCCCTACCATAGTATTTATCACACTTGCTTAGAAGTGATATTAAGTCCAATGCTAATTCTCATAACTAATCATAGTAATTGTGCGGGAAGAAATGTGTAAACTTGATTTCCCAAGCAAAACAAAATATTAACTATTTTTTGTAAGCAATGTTTCCATGGAAACAAACATCAATATGGCAGGAGGGATTAATTGTCATTATATTTGAAATAATTCAATGTCCTGGTGTTTCTCTCCCATTTATTCCTCTAAAACAGATTCAAGATTCACTTAGAAATCTACTCTTTATATGATGATTGATAAAATTATTACTTGAGCTTGATGGAACTGGAAATGTGCTGCCCATGGATAAAATATCTTTCATTTTCTGCCGTGACTCCTAGACACAATTGCTCCATGCTTTAGAATGAAATTTAAGAAAAAATAATTCTAATGCTAATATTAAGGGTTCTAATTAGATATTACTTCAATCCTCTCTGCTTAGAACAGAATATAGTAGGTCGCAAAAAGGATGTTTTAGTTTTTGTTCCTATTTTCTAATACGAATTGATCTGATTCACGCCAATAAATCCTCCTGACATTTTATAGTCATGGCACTAAATCACTAAAGCATCATGTCAAATGAAAAAGCTGCTGAATGTAATGGTATTAAATGATGATTTTTAGGTCTTGTCACCAACTTTAAAATGTGTTATTGATAAGGCATTGGATTTATATGTTAATGGCTATATTTCACCAGTCCTGCCTAATATGTCTCTGCTGCAGTCTATAGCAAAAAATGTTATTAAACCTCCAGGGTCGCTTTGACTGAGAGAAGTTTTGAAATAAATCAATAAAAATGAGCACGGCCTATTTTCTGAGCATGGCACATCATACTCAGAACAGCATGGCTGTTTGACAGAATGGGCACGGTGTTTGCTTGTTTTTAATCCAGTAATATCCCTTAATTTTTGCAAACTGTGGAAAGCAGTGTGACCGACCCTAGGAAATATATTCAGTTTTTTCATGCACAGAATGAGGCATGCATGAAGGGCTAAAAGGAAGAAAAATGCATCTTGAAGAGTCAGTTGTCCTCCTTTTTGAAAAACGAGGCTTTTTTCTTTTTTTATTTTAACATCAAACCGAGAGTTCTCTAAGGAGTTTTATATAACAGCAGTGCCAATCAGTCAGATGTGGCTGTTACTGGACATAATTGTTTTATATTATTATGATTTAATTTGTAAACC
The DNA here is from genome assembly GCF_000001405.40 of Homo sapiens. Taxonomy (NCBI): domain Eukaryota; kingdom Metazoa; phylum Chordata; class Mammalia; order Primates; family Hominidae; genus Homo; species Homo sapiens. Next base: position 117,982,901 of record NC_000007.14, on the reverse strand, counting down.
TCAAAAAGTTTAAAGTTTAAGGAAGTGAATGAGTAACAGCTATATTGCATCACGTTAGCTCTGAAGGACTTCTAAAGAACATAAAGTAGTTCTTCATAAAGTTACTCATTGCTGGTACCTAAAGATGGCATGAGATAATTGACCTCCCATTACAGTGTCCTACCTTTTCTCCCATCCCTAAGCCTGGCCCACTTGCCCTAATCAGCCGCCGTGCACATTCTGCTCTGTACCTCTGCTTCGGGAGAGAACAGCTTGACCTGAGCTGTGACACGGCTTCCTCAGCCTCCTGGTAATTATTTTGATGTTTAAATGCTGTGTAAAGTCAAACAGGAAGGGTTTTATGATGTTTTGCTGGGAGGATTTAGTGCAACTGCAGTGCGCTTTGCAGATTAGCCTGGGACTGTCTGTGTGGTTCTCTGCCTAAGGAAGGAAGAATCTAAGTACACAGACAGATCTTTTAAATGCAATTTCCAGAAACTTCTAGTGATACACTGGTAAACACTTTGTAACATTTGTTTATTCAGCCGGTGGGAAATCCTGCTAGAAACCCACACTCTGATTGTCATAGAGAAACATTACATTTGATATCAGGAATAAGCTCTTCCCACAGGAGCGGAATTTCTTAGATGCAGGGTCAGCATATTCTCACAAATAGCAGCTTGATCAAACCCATTATTCTTAGTCCTCATAACATGAAAATATGCTTAATTGTTGATTGAGAGTTTAATTGATGTGCCCTATTTCAATTTCACACATACAGAGACTTTTATATCAAAAGTTGTTTATCCAAGTGTCACATTTCCCGATGTTACAACATAGACATTATTTTAAAATGAGGGAAACCAGTTTAACAAAAGCATCCACACCATTTGAGATATAATTTGGGAAGGCTGCTTTGCTGGAGAGCTCTAGTGTGGGTAGAAGCAGGACCCCAGTCAACACAAGGCAGGAGCTTCTCTGATGATCCACATGAACCTGGCAGGGTTCACAGTGGCGATGGCCAGTCCAGAAAGGGAGCTGTGCAGCCTAGGGAAGGACAGTGAGCCTTGAGCTGGGGGCCCCGAGTCAAGGCTGTACTTATAAAGCTGTAAGGAAGGTTATTTCAGGAGCAAGTGAGACTCTGTTATTTTGAAACAGGGAGAGCACCTTCAGACTGAAAAGACCAGGCCTGAAACATTGATTCCTACTCCCCAACAGCATAGCCGCAACCCCTTCACCCAGAACCCTTTGCCCCACTGGCAGAAGCGGGGGCTTCCAGAAGAAATGGCAGAATACACCTTACTGGATGTCCTCCATTTGGAGTTCCACAGTCCTCAAGGTCCAGATTTAAGTAAAAGAACTTTAGTTCAGGCAGAGAGCACAATGTGAGTAAAGTGCTGGTGGCAGTTAACATACGAAATGCGGGAGGGTCCCAGGAACTGGGGCAGATGGAGATGGCTGGAATGTTGGGCACCGGGGTGGAGCGGGGGTGAGGGGATGGTGCAAGAAGAGCCTAGGGTGGAAGATAAGGATGGACTGTCTATCTAGTGTTGCCAGATAAAATAGAGGGTGCCCAGTTAACTTTGAATTTCAGATAGACATTACTTTTTTAGCATAAGTATGTCCTAAATATTTCACAGGACATACTTATACATTTAAAAATCCAATGTTTAAAATTCAAATTAGCTAGATATCCTGTATTTTTTATTTGCCAACCTGGCAACCCTACACACATGCCATACCAAGAGCATGGACCTCTCTGCATGTGGAGAGTGCATTGGTAGGTTTTAAACAATGCAACCTCTTGATCAAATCTGAGCACTCTGTCAGCAGCAAGGAGTGGAAGAGTGAAGGTAAATCAGAGAGTCTGAGACTAATATTAGTGTGGAGGATCTTGAGGAAATTTTTTTAAAAGTGAAAGAATTCATCAAAAAGAAATAAACCAAAAAATATGCCATTGTAGATCAGAGTAGTTATCTATTCAGTCCAATATTCTGTCTCCCAGTAGTGACAAGTAACGCTTTGTAAAAAAGAATGACATGGTCAGAAAAACATCAGTCTCAAGTCTGGAGACCTGGCTTTCAGCCCTTTTGGGCCATTTGAACTCATACAAATCAAACATAAGTCATCGAAGGAGCTGAGCATCCTCAGTATACACAGGCTTCTATATACAAGTTTCTATTTTATTCTCACATATTAGGGACATTTTTCCCAAAATCCCCTAACACATTAAGAAGGTTTTCTAGTCTCAAAGCACGAAAGAGATAAGGTTAAAAGAAAGCGATTTATTCCCACCCTCAGAATCCTCTCTTCGTCTTCCGCATCAAATCTCTTCCTAACTCATTCAGGACTCTGCACTAGGCTGCTGTTTCTACTTCTCTTCCCTCTCTGCTTCACAACTGACCTGCTCTTGTGTCCTCCTGCCTGGTAAATCCATTTGCTCTTTATTTTCTGGAACTTTAAGCCTCTGTGTGTGCTTTTTGCCTACCTAGAAATATCATTTTACCCCACCTTCCCCACTAAAGCTGCTTGGTCTCTTTCTTCTGCTTAAAGCTCACTTCTTTCATGAAGTGGTTCTTAGTCAGTCTCACCTGTTTGTAGTATCGGTCCATTCACGTGACTCATCTCAGGTTATAATGTGCTTATACAAAATTTAAGCCTAAATTCCTCTATGTGACTGCCTTTTCTTCTAGGGTTATTAGTCATATCATTCTGTACCTTCATCCCTTGAAAACCAAATGGTCCACCCCTCCCTCTCTACCAGGTAGGGTGTGTGAGCTCCTTCATGTTTCTGTTCCCATAATATGTATTACAGAGCTATAGAAGGTAGGCGTCAAATAGATTTTGCTGATCTCCTAATAGTAATGGTTCATTTATTAAGTCAAAAGTGTGCCCTGGCTTGAATAAGTTAAACAAAGCCTAACGTAGTCCAAAAAGCCATTTTTCTTTGAGATTGGCTTACAAGAAGATGAGATGACTCATTAACAAAATGAGCAAGAGAAGCTTGGCCCAAAGATGAAATGGCCATGACAATAGCTTAAAATGTATGAAAAATACAATGCCAAGAGTTTTTATTGCAGAGTAATGAAAACATCTGGTGTAAAATTTTAATGTGTGGTCATACTCTTAAGAGAGAGCGATATCAGAAACATTAAACAGTAGATGAAAAAATGGAAAATTTTTGAGGTAATTTTAATTTCAAATTCAATAGATTAAACAAGCAAATGATGGCATTTTTAAAAAATGGTACATAGTTTATTTTTCCTCTATTCCTAAAAGCGTACGGCATTATCTGGGTTTTTCTGAATAGGTAGGATGTGTCTGTTATGATCCAGCCATGAAGCAGAAACCATTTTGAATATCAAAAACAGATGAAATGAAATCTAGGGAACTTGTTCCACAGGGAATAAGACCTAGAAGGACCAGCAAGGCAACCCAGGAAGCAACTTTCAGGAAGCCACTCTCTTCTCTAAAGGGACAGAGGGAAGCCATAGTGTTACCAAAGCCCCATGGGAGAGGACACCCAGAGGACCCTGGGACTATAGTGGCCTGTATGGTGGAAACTGGAGCCATGAAAGGAAAGTGCGATGGTTAATATTAAGTGTCAACTTGGTTGGATTGAAGGATGCAAAGTATTGATCCTGCGTGTGTCTGTGAGGGTGTTGCCAAAGAGAATAACATTTGAGTAAGTGGACTGGGAGAGGCAGACCCACCCTCAATCTGGGTGGGCACAATCTAATCAGCTGCCAGCATGGCTGGGATGAAAGCAGGCAGAGGAACGTGGAAAGACTGGACTGGCTCAGTCTTCTGGCCTCCATTTTTCTCCAGTACTGGATGCTTCTTGAACATCAGACTCCAAGTCCTTCAGCTTTGGGTCACTTGGACCTTCAACTACAGACCGAAGGCTGCACAGTTGGCTTCCCTACTTTTGAGGTTTTGGGACTTGGACTGGCTTCCTTGCTCCTCAGCTTGCAGATGGCCTATTGTGGGACCTCACCTTATGATCCAGTGAGTCAATACTCTTTAATAAACTCCCCTTTATATATACATCTGTCCTATTAGTTCTGTCCCTCTAGAGAACGCTGACTAAAGAAAGTGACCTCTGTCCACCTGCATTCAAAGCAGAATGGGTAGAGAAGAGAAATACTCTGGCTTCTTCCTTCCTTCTGTCCTCTAGCCTCCTGCGAGTGCCTCCCATTGGCCAGATCCATCCATAATCCAGTAGAGACAGGAACCTAGCAAATATTCCAATCTGTATGACAGAGGTAAGAAGAAAAGGATTGGGGAATGAATCTCAACATGAAGGGCCTACAACTGACATACAGAGTTTCTAGCATAGGTAATAATCTCTTAATTAATAACTACTTATTTGTTTACTTCATTTCTCATTTCTCTGGGGATTAGAGGTAGAATCAATACTTTTTTTCTATTTTCATATGGGCATTACAGAGACATACTTTAAAATCGTAAGAGGAAAAAACAAACAAATGCAGTCATGCATAGATAAAGCACAAATACTTTGAAAGAAGTCCTTGCTTGCACAAAGGAAGTATCGGTGTGCGTTAGGTTTAATTTATACAGTTACTTAAATTTGAAAATATATCTTTAGCTCTTTAAAATCTGACCACTTCTATACAGAGATCGTGTTTTGAATGTTTCCTTTCTCTAAGTTTGTGTGTGTGGATGTGTGAGGGGGAGAGATGGAGGGATGGTAGTAATACTACTGGCTTTCAAAAGCAAACGAAATATAAAATTCCGCGGAGATGTAAGCAGTTCGATATAAGTGTTTCTTTGTCAATGATAAGATTATTTTTTACTCTGTTTTCATGAAGCATCAATAATACATGAAACCCTGAAAAGAAAAACTTCTGGTTGATTACATTTCCATTTGACATTGGAGAGGAGAGAGCCAATCAAATGTAAGACTTCAGACACACATGACAGGGCCCATGTAATTAGGGCATACAAAGTTCCACTCATATCATGTGTTGTGGTTTATAATGGTGCCTTTAACTGTTAGGCAAAAGTTATTAGAAAAAGTTACACTTCCAAGTGATGACCAGATGTTGAGCAGGAAGGTTTCTGCAAGTGCCACAGAAGTTGATTCTCAGTGGACAGAGCAACATAAGGTGGGGAGGAGAAAGAACAGGGCAGAAGCAAAGAGAATTTCCCATTTAAAAGAACCACTTATTTCTAAGATGGTTAAAGTTAACACTATTGGGGAAAAATAGTCTGCAAATTTTTATTAAGCTTGAACACTTTTTTTAGCACACAGCAGCTGCTCAATAAGTGGTGGCTATTGGTATTATTGCAGAGATAAATTAGGAATAATGATAACTGAAAAAGAGTCACCAAATTGATTGATTCAGATGAATATTTCAGCAGTTTGGGTAGGAAAGAGGAGCAGGCCACAATCTAAGATGTAAAGAGCAGAATACATGGTAAGAAATGATAGGACATTTATTCTAAAAGTTTATTAAGCTTAGGAAGGAGAAAACAGAACAATAGTCAAGCACTAGCAGCAAGATCAAGAGATGTTGTTCTTTTATCTCAAGCCTAGGAAAACAAGTGCATGTTTGAAGGCAGAGTTGAAAGGTCCCACAGAAAAAGTAAGAACGAGAAAGCGAATAACAGACCAAAACCCTAGATAAACGAAAAGACATAGGATGGGAGGGGATTAAGGGCACTGGTCAAGTATTCTAGGAGCTGGCCTTGGAATGATGTGAAATCACTTTTTCTTCTATACATAATGAAAAGTGGGGGCAGGGGACGGGAATGAGCTTATAGCATCTAAGCTTTCAGAACAGAGCTTATCACCTTGATGAGATTTGGCCTGTTGAAGAGATTGGAGACTGAACATGATGACTGGGGTAGGGAAGGACTGTGCAACAGAGCCGCGTACAGATAGAGGAAGGAAGTCTACACAGGACAGTAGGGCATGGTACCCAACTTATGATGACAAGATTGTCCAGTACATGGCCACTATCAGGGCAACATAGGGAAGGCGACTGGAGTTCAAGTATACAAAGAACTCGTGAAAAGTCTGGGGACAGGTGTTAGATGGCAAGATACTCTGCAGCATCAGGGCATCTAGAAGCAAATGACAAGGTTCTAGCAATAGGATGATGATTTAGACACAACCTTAGTAATTGAGACTGGTAGGGAGAAGTGAATTGCTGAGTAAGGCAGTGTCCACTATAAGTCAAAATAACAAAGCAGAAGCTCAATTATTAAAACTAGCCATAATATCAGAGGAGGATTAACAGCACATTTATCCTGTTGAGCAGTTTACGCTACTTCCTTTGATAGGGATCGGGATCTAGCTCAGAGCCTCAGGTTGAGCTGAGCTGGGATCACATGACCCTTCATGAGGGTAGAAAGGGGTTGACAGGTGAAGTCAGATGATGCAGGAGTGAAAGACTTCAGAACCTACAGCTTTCATCTGGTCAGAAAAGTAAGAGGAAATGCCAATTATTAAAATCTGGGTAAGTAGGTGGGATTCAGGTTTGAGACCAGAGAAAATCTGGAATAGCTCTTATGGCTAGAGTGGACAAGCAGTCTACAAAAGAGGCCTGAAGGGATTGCCAGATAGCGGAGACCATCCAGTTAGAAGCTGCATGAATTCCTAGTGGGCCAAATTCCTCATCCTTTCACTGATGTGAAAAAAGTCATTTTACCCTCAGACAGCCTCTACTCATGACCTCTTTGAGGAATTTTTCAGCTTTAGTTTAAATCCTTTAGTAAGATTTACATGTACTTTATTCAGATTTTTAAACATTTAAAATCCTTAAATGGTTCTGATATTCTCAGTACAACGCTTCATATCACTTAACAATAATACCAAAACCTTTCAGATTTTCATTTTGTTAATAAATGCAATGCATTTTTATCTTATTTCCTAACAGGTAGTCAACCTAAATTACATTTTTTTCTTTCAAAAACTAGATTCTGTTTGTGAGAGGGCAGAGGGCAAGGGCATGATGCTTGTAAACAAAGGATAAAGAATAATGTGCTAACATGGAAATAGAGTGGAAAGAAAAAGAAATCAGAAGTTAAATAAGAGAAGAATGCCAAGAGCTCACAGCCTTACAGTTTAAGAAACACTTGGCTAGATCCTATCTTCTAACTGATTGGTTTGAATATAATAGAAACTGGAATTAAATTACTTTCAGGCTCAATGGCTCATCACTGAGAAATAGCAAGAAATAAATTTGATTGGGTATGAATTCTTCTTTACAAAGTTGTGCCAATTTTTACTATAGGACATGACCCAGTTATCATTTCCTTTCCAGCAAATGATGGAATTCTGCCCAGCCACTTTGGTCCTCATGGAAATTGAGCAATGTAATTTGATGTTATTATTTTAGTTAAGCAATGGCAAAAACTATCAAGGCTGTGGTAGCACCCTGTCACTAATTGCCTATATTTATTAAACGTAAAAACAAACAGAAAAATAGTTAACTCAGTCATGTTGAATGTAATATACATCCAACCTACATCTTGATCTTTTTATCATTAAATAAGCAAAGTGGCACTTTATCAAAACATCAGTAGTAAAGTCTTTTTAAATCATTTTACACATAGTCTGTGTAAAAATGCCAAAAATTATTTTTATGAGAAACTCACAATTTTGACTGTCCTTCAACGTTTTCAATAACAACACTTTGTACTTAGGTCAAAATGTCCTTCTGGGGAATTGGTAAGCTAATGAATAACAATTTGCCTATTTCACAGAGAGGAAAGTGCATATAAAATTACTCCTAATTTCTCGTGTCAACTCAGTTAACTAAATCTCTCATTTGAGAAATGACCCAAGGGAATATTAAGGACAAAGATGAGTATTAAATTGAATTTAAGCTATCATTCTGTGGTAAATGCCAGGAAATTCCTTTTAAGAGACACCAACAGACAGAAAATAGAGGGTAATATGTCACAAAGGCCTTTTTGTCTCATACACTAAATGCTCTAAAAATATACACATTTTCTGGAATGAAAGTTTCAGTAATTAATATAAATTTATATTAAAAGTGGGCCTATTTTGATGCAGAGATGATTTATTTTATATATCATATAAAGATGAGTGTGTGATTATGAAACATTTTGAACATAATTCTGAAAATATCGAATTGTTCTTGGTATTGCTTCTATGTCTGGCTTCTCTGAAATGTGTTTGAACTTTATTTTCTTCACATGATATGAATATTCTGTTCCATTGTTTAAACACCTCTGTGGTTTCCTTTCACCTATCAGATAAAGGCTAACATATTTAGCTTTGGATTCTTCATGGTCGGTCCAAGACCTACATGTCAAGCATGGCCTCACACCACTATCCTCCACACATACTGAGTTCTCCCAATATCCATTCTCCCCTTCTCTGTAGTAATAGAACCTGGATTTCTATCTGGCACATGGACTCTCAGCAGTCTTCCAATCATAGCAACTAAACCTGTCGTGATATTTAACTAACTGTTTTTAAGACAGAAACAGAAGTGTACATGGAGAAAAAAGCTCTGGGATTTTAACCCAAAACTTACCTACAACATCCTTACTACATTGCCCCAGGATCAGATCATGGCCTTGTTTCTCCTCCAACAAAACCCAAAAATACTATCATAATTCTTTTCATTATAACAATACATGGAAAGTATTTTGAGTAAATGGAATCATTAGGGTGAGGCAGCTGCAAGTTTATACCCTTTGAGCACATGCACAATATGTGAAGAAACAAGAGCAGCAGAACAGCCAGAACTTTGGCCGACAATCAATGGAGACCAAAATCAGATCCTGTACAGACATAAAGACTGCCAGTTCTCAGCAACTGAAATCTCTTTTAATAAATCGAGTCCACTTGTATCGACCAGCATTATTAAAAGAGAAAGCTCAATGGGGACTATAGGATCAGGATGACGACTAAAGAATCTTTTAGCCACTTCCGGCTAAGAGTTCCCTGTGGGATTGATTATTTTGTAGCTTTATCTGTACATTTTGTAATTGTTTGTACATATGCTTATATTTAAGCTAAACATTTAGAAAACACTTTATAGTTAATCAATCTTCCTATATTTGTCAAGCCCAGAGTTGAAAACTTCCCCATAAGGTACCATTAAGAAAATGTACCTGACACATGGACATCAAGATGAGAATGACAGACACTGGGGACTACTAGAGTAGGGAGAGAGGGAGGGGCAAAAGTGGAGAGATGACTTACTGGGTACCACTCCCAATAGGGTCATTCATACCCCAAACCTCAGCATCACACAATATACCCAGGTAGCAAACCTGCACATGTACCTACCCCTGAATTTAAAATGAAACCTGAAGTCTAAACATTTTAAAAAATAATTTTCGTTTGAGACAGAGATTTGCTCATGTTGCCCAGGCCAGGGTGCAATTATGCGATCTCAGCTCACTGCAACCTCCACCTCCCGGGTCTGGGTTCAAGTGATTCTCCTGCCTCAGCCTCCCGAATAGCTGGGATTACAGGTGCCCGCCACCACACCTGGCAAATTTTTTATAATTTTAGTAGAGACGGGGTTTCACCATGTTGGCCAGGCTGGTCTTGAACTCCTGACCTCAGGTGATCCACCTGCCTCAACCTCCCAAAGTGCTGGGAATAGAGGCGTGAGACACCATGCCACAAAAAAAAAAAAAAAAAAAGATAAATTTTTTAAAAAGAAAATGTACCTGGGCTTCTATTTTCAACAGTAGGATGGATTAGAGATCTTGAAATCCTGCCAGTACAAAACACTGAAATGCTGTTTAAAATATTTTCTAAACATCCTTTAAAAGTCATGTGTGAATTTCCAAGAAAGTAAGAAAACACCTCTGAGGCAGGAATGTGAAGCAAAGGCATACAAGGGAAGTAAGGGAGCACTGAGTCCACGCAGCCCTCGGGAGGAGGACGGCTGCCTCTTGGGATTAGTAGTTAGGCACAGGGCCCAGAGGCGAGGGGGTTCATGGTGGAGGTCTACCCTTTACAGCAGAGACTCAGGAAGGACTCTGTCCTCCAGGAAAGGGTGAGTTAGGAAGCAGAAACCACAAACAAAATCAGCCCTTTGAAACTTGTCTGCCTTGGCAACTTGTCTGCCTTGGCTTTGGAGAAAGGGAAAACATCTCCCTTGAGAATTCATAGCTAAGGGCCAGAACGTAGAGCGCTTGGGGCCTGATATTGCACTATGTGTCTTCTACAATCTGAAGTCATTAGTTGTAACAAAGTATACCAGAGTTTGCAGGGCCTCCACGTGCCCAGTAGATATAAAGGCAAATCCTTTCTGGGAGAATGCCTCCTAGATCCAGACCTCAAAATATTCCCATATGTAAATTACAATGAATTAAAGTCATAATTAAAAAATTCCAAACCATACCAGGTAATAGCACCATACTAAGAATCAGAAAAAAAAATAAAGAACAAACATCAGAACTAGACATTTATGGAAGCTAATACACAAAGCACATAAAATACGCATGTTTAATATGCTTAAGACATATAACAGAGAATTTAAACCATGAGTAATAAGCAAAAGATTTTTTTTAGGAAACAGCCGTTTTTAAAAAAAAGTCAAATAGAACTTTTTGAAATGAAAAATAAAATCATAGAAATTTTAAAACTTGGACAATTAAGCAGCAAATCAGACTTAGTAGAAAATGAAAAACGGCCAGGCGCTCGGTGGCTCACGCCTGTAATCCCAGCACTTTCGGAGGCCGACGCAGGCGAATCACGTGAGGTCAGGACTTCGACACCAGCCCGGCCAACATGGTAAAACCCCATCTCTACCAAAAATACAAAAATTAGCCTCATGTGATGGTGCACACGTGTAATCCAGCTACTTAGGAGGCTGAGGCAGGAGAACCACTTGAACCTGGAAGGCAGAGGTTGCAGAGAGCCGAGATTGAACAATTGCATGCCAGCCTGGGTGAGAGAGAGAGACCTTGGCAGAAAGAAGAAAGAGAGAAAGAGAGAAGGGAGGGAGGAAGGAAGGAAGGAAGGAAGGAAGGAAGGAAGGAAGGAAGGAAGGAAGGAAGGAAGGAAGGAAGGGAGAAAGAATGTGAATTACAAATTGGAAAATAGATTCCAAAAATTTTTCCAGAATGCAGCACAGACAGAAAAAGAGATAAAAGCTATGAAGGAGAACTTGAGACACAGAGAATACATGCCTAAAATATGTCCCATCGGAGATCCAGAAGGAGAGAATTAAAAGAAAGGGGAAGAGATGTTATTTTAAAAGATAATTACTGAGCCCTTTCCAGAATTGAAAATACATCTATCTTTAGATTGAGTAAACCTAACGAATTCAAAACAGAATAAATTTTTTAAATTCAATATTAAAACATTGCAGTGAAATCCAAAGAGAAAATAAAAGATCCTAAAAGCAGCCAGAGAGAAAAGATAGGCTAGCTAAAAATAAACTATATTTAGTCTAATGGTTGCTTTCTCAAGAGCAAAAATGAAAGGCAGAAAACAGGGGAATTAGTAGCACCAATCTGCTGAGAGAAAATAACTGTCAATTTACATTTGTATACTCAAAACAAACACTCAAAAAGGAGAGTAAAAAAAGAAATTTTCAGATGAACAAAAACTGAGTTTAGTACCAACAGATTCTCAGTAAAAGAAAATCTAAAGGATGAATTTTAGAAAGATATATTTTTTTCCCAGAAAAAGATCTGAGTTGCAAAAAGAATTAGTGAATCAAGAAAGCATTGAGGATGAGAATAAATCTAAATAAACATTGAACACAGCAATAATAACTATTGATTTGGAGAATAAAACAATTAAGCATTGCAAAGAACTATAAAATAATGAACAAAATAGCATGAAACCTAAAAGGTAGTGTATGTGGTGGATAGCGTTAAATAGGTCCTGGAGCTATTCAAGAGGAAGATAAATGTAATTATTAACTTAAGTCTTGTGAAGTAAGCGCAGTAAAATTTCAAGGATTTGACCAAGAACAAATAGAGCATGAGGAACATCCAAATCAGCAGAGGGAAAAAACTGATGCTGCATGTAAGAGTAATATGTAAAACAAAAAGGCACAGAAAAGTTGGAAAGAATGGAAGAAAGATATATCTGAAAAGTGCTCATTAAAAGAAAATTGATGCCATTAATTTATAATACAGAAATATAATTTAAGACAAAAAGCATTACTAGAAATAAAGATGTCTACTACAATATGATCAAAGTTTTTGTTTGTTTGTTTGTTTGTTTTTTTGAGATGGAGTCTCACTCTGTCGCCCAGGCTGGAGTCCAGTGGCGCGATCTCGGCTCACTGCAAGCTCCGCCTCCCGGGTTCCCGCCATTCTCCTGCCTCAGCCTCCCTAGTAGCTGGGACTACAGGCGCCCGCCACCACGCCCAGCTAATTTTTTGTATATTTAGTAGAGACGGGGTTTCACCACGTTAGCCAGGATGGTCTCGATCTCCTGACCTCGTGATCCACCCGCCTCGGCCTCCCAAAGTGCTGGGATTACAGGCGTGAGCCACTGCGCCCGGCCTTCGAAGTTTTAATTCACCAGAAAAATATAACAATTCTATGCTTTTAACAATAACTTGAATTATATTGTACCACTAATAAAATACATTATATCATTAATAAACTAATTATACTATTAAGAAAATAAAATAAGTAAACGTAACTTGGTTGTCAAAAAGTCAGTGTATCAATATTCATAAGTAAGACTGACACCTAACTGCCTTTTCATATCGTGCCTGTTTCTGATTTGGTCATCAAAGTCATTTAGCTTCATAAGATGAGTTGTACAATGTTCTCACTTCTTCTATGCCAAATTTAGAATTATGTCTGGAAGAATTTATCTCTAAAAACACATATGCATGATATCTTCCTTCTGGAAACATTTTTAAAAACACTTATTTAATGACTTTGATAGTTACAAAGATACATTTTCTATTTCATCTTGAGTCAATTTTGATAAATTTTGTTACCCTATGAAAATATCCATTTCTTGAAAGTTTTCAAAATTTTTGGCATCAGAGCATGTTTTTTTCTTTTATTTATGTGGTATCTGTAATTTTTCATTGTTTTAAGGATTCCTGTGAATCTTATCTCTTGTTTTATTGATTAAACTTCCCAGAGAGTTGTCTGTTTTTTTATCTCTTCAAAAACAAGCTTATTAATTTTCACTTTCTTCTTTTATGATAAAGCATTTAAATCATAAAAGTCCTCATACATACCACTGACCTACCTCTCTAAGTTTTTATTTTATTTTATTATTATACTTTAAGTTCTAGGGTACATGTTCACATCGTGCAGGTTTGTTACATATGTATACATGTGCCATGTTGGTGTGCTGCACCCATTAACTCATCATTTAGCGTTAGGTATATCTTCTAATGCTATCCCTGCCCCCTTCCCCAACCCCACAACAGGCCCCGGTGTGTGATGTTCCCCTTCCTGTGTCCATGTGTTCTCATTATTCAATTCCCACCTATGAGTGAGAACATGCGGTGTTTGGTTTTTTGTCCTTGCGATAGTTTGCTGAGAATGATGGTTTCCAGCTTCATCCATGTCCTTACAAAAGACATGAACTCATCATTTTTTATGGCTGCATAGTATTCCATGGTGTATATGTGCCACATTTTCTTAATCCAGTCCATCATTGTTGGACATTTGGGTTGGTTCCAAGTCTTTGCTATTGTGAATAGTGCCGCAATAAACATATGTGTGCATGTGTCTTTATAGCAGCATGATTTATAATCCTTTGGGTATATACCCCGTAATGGGATGGCTGGGTCAAATGGTATTTCTAGTTCTAGATCCCTGAGGAATCACCACAACGACTTCCACAATGGTTGAACTAGTTTACAGTCCCACCAACAGTGTCAAAGTGTTCCTATTTCTCCACATCCTCTCCAGCACCTGTTGTTTCCCGACTTTTTAATGATGGCCATTCTAACTGGTGTGAGATGGTATCTCATTGTGGTTTTGATTTGCATTTCTCTGATGGCCAGTGATGATGAGCATTTTTTCATGTGTCTTTTGGCTCCATAAATGTCTTCTTTTGAGAAGTGTCTGTTCATATCTTTCACCCACTTTTTGATGGGGTTGTTAGTTTTTTTCTTGTAAATTTGTTTGAGTTATTTGTAGATTCTGGATATTAGCCCTTTGTCAGATGAGTAGATTGCAAAAATTTTCTCCCATTCTGTAGGTTGCCTATTCACTCTGACAGTAGTTTCTTTTGCTGTGCAGAAGCTCTTTAGTTTAATTAGATCCCATTTGTCAATTTTGACTTTTGTTGCCATTGTTTTTGGTGTTTTAGACATGAAGTCCTTGCCCATGCCTGTGTCCTGAATGGTAATGCCTAGGTTTTCTTCTAGGGTTTTTATGGTTTTAGGTCCAACATTTAAGTCTTTAATCCATCTTGAATTAATTTTTGTATAAGGTGTAAGGAAGGGATCCAGTTTCAGCTTTCTACATATGGCTAGCCAGTTTTCCCAACACCATTTATTAAATAGGGAATCCTTTCCCCATTGCTTGTTTTTCTCAGATTTGTCAAAGATCAGATAGTTGTAGATATGCAGCGTTATTTCTGAGGGCTCTGTTCTGTTCCATTGATCTATATCTCTGTTTTGGTACCAGTACCATGCTGTTTTGGTTACTGTAGCCTTGTTGTATAGTTTGAAGTCAGGTAGTGTGATGCCTCTAGCTTTGTTCTTTTGGCTTAGGATTGCCTTGGCAATGCGGGCTCTTTTTTGGTTCCATATGAACTTTAAAGTAGTTTTTTCCAATTCTGTGAAGAAAGCCATTGGTAGCTTGATGGGGATGGCATTGAATCTGTAAATTACCTTGGGCAGTATGGCCATTTTCACGATATTGATTCTTCCTACCCATGAGCATGGAATGTTCTTCCATTTGTTTGTATCCTCTTTTATTTCCTTGAGCAGTGGTTTGTAGTTCTCCTTGAAGAGGTCCTTCATGTCCCTTGTAAGTTGGATTCCTAGGTATTTTATTCTCTTTGAGGCAATTGTGAATGGGAGTTCACTCATGATTTGGCTCTCTGTCTGTTATTGGTGTATAAGAATGCTTGTGACTTTTGCACATTGATTTTGTATCCTGAGACTTTGCTGAAGTTGCTTATCAGCTTAAGGAGATTTTGGTCTGAGATGTTGAGGTTTTCTAAATATACAATCATGTCATCTGCAAACAGGGACAATTTGACTTCATCTTTTCCTAATTGAATACCCTTTATTTCTTTCTCCTGCCTGATTGCCCTGGCCAGAACTTCCAGCACTATGTTGAATAGGAGTGGTGAGAGAGGGCATCCCTGTCTTGTGCCAGTTTTCAAAGGGAATGCTTCCAGTTTTTGCCCATTCGGTATGATATTGGCTGTGGGTTTGTCATAGATAGATCTTATTCTTTTGAGATATGTCCCATCAATGCCTAATTTATGGAGAGTTTTTAGCATGAAGGGCTGTTGAATTTTGTCAAAGACCTTTTCTGCATCTGTTGAGATAACCATGTGGTTTTTGTCTTTGGTTCTGTTTATATGCTGGATTACGTTTATTGATTTGCATATGTTGAACCAGCCTTGCATCCCAGGGATGAAGCCCACTTGATCGTGGTGGATAAGCTTTTTGATGTGCTGCTGGATTCAGTTTGCCAGTATTTTGTTGAGGATACTTGCATCAATGTTCATTGGGGATATTGGTCTAAAATTCTCTTTTTTTGTTGTGTCTCTGCCAGGCTTTGGTATCAGGATGTTGCTGGCCTCATAAAATGAGTTAGGGAGGATTCCCTCTTTTTCTGTTGATTGGAATAGTTTCAGAAGGAATGGTACCAGCTCCTCCTTGTACCTCTGATAGAATTCGGCTGTGAATCCTTCTGGTCCTGGACTTTTTTTGGTTGGTAAGCTATTGATTATTGCCTCAATTTCAGAGCCTGTTATTGGTCTATTCAGAGATTCAACTTCTTCCTGGTTTAGTCTTGGGAGGGTGTGTGTGTCGAGGAATTTATCCATTTCTTCTAGATTTTCTAGTTTATTTGCCTAGAGGTGTTTATAGTATTCTCTGACGGTAGTTTGTATTTCTATGGGATCGGTGGTGATAACCCCTTTATCATTTTTTATTGCATCTATTTGATTCTTCTCTCTTTTCTTAACAATCCAGGAATTGAACTCAGCTCTGCACCAAGCGGACCTAATAGACATCTACAGAACTCTCCACCCCAAATCAACAGAATGTACATTCTTCTCAGCACCACATCGCACTTTTTCCAAAACTAACCACATAGTTGGAAGTAAAGCACTCCTCAGCAAACGTAAAAGAACAAAAATTATAACAAACTGTCTCTCAGACCACAGTGCAATCAAACTAGAACTCAGGATTAAGAAACACACTCAAAACCGCTCAACTACATGGAAACTGAACAACCTGCTCCTGAATGACTACTGGGTACATAATGAAATGAAGGCAGAAATAAAGATGTTCTTTGAAACCAATGAGAACAAAGACACAATGTACCAGAATCTCTGGGACACATTTAAAGCAGTGTGTAGAGGGAAATTTATAGCACTAAATGCGCACAAGAGAAAGCAGGAAAGATCTAAAATTGACATCCTAACATCACAATTAAGAGAACTAGAGAAGCAAGAGCAAACACATTCAAAAGCTAGCAGAAGGCAAGAAATAACTAAGATCAGAGAAGAACTTAAGGGAGATAGAGACACAAAAAACCCTTCAAAAAATCAATGAATCCAGGAGCTGGTTTTTTGAAAAGATCAACAAAATTGATAGACCACTAGCAAGACTAATAAAGAAGAAAAGAGAGAAGTACCTCTCTAAACTTCTAAGTTACAGTATTTTCTTCATTGTTAAATTTTTCCCTTTTTAATGTTTTCTTAAACCAGGAGTTAGTAAAATATATATTTTTTTAATTTCCATTTTTTGTCCTGCACATGTATGCATGAATGTAAAATTTAAATTTATTTCCTAACTTAATCTAGTTTGGGTCAGAGATGGAATTCTGTGCAAAATGAACTCTTTGGAGTTTACTCTGACTTGCTATATGGCCTAAAGCATTGTTATGTTTTGGTAAATGTTTCGAAGTTTTGGTAAATGTTCCTTGTAACTTGAACTGGGTCCAGAGTTTTTTATGTTTTCATTAGATTAGTGTTTACTAAACCTCCTCTATGATAATCACCTGAGGAATACAGCTTTCTGGGTCTCTTTCCTGGAGAGTCTCACTCAGTAGGTCTGGTATTAGGCCATCAGAGAAGTTTGGGAAATTTGCAGTAGACTGAGCAATTTGATTGTTCCATTCAAATTTTCTTTATTTGTACTGATTTGTGTCTGTTTGATCTATCATTTATTGGGAGAAATGTGTTCAAATCTTTCAGTTCAATTGGTGGATTTTTTACTTTTTATTTTAATGTTTTCATACATATATATATATTTATACACATCTATGACAGGTATATTAAATTCTCAGTTCTGTGTCCTCATTTTATAAAATACAGAAGAGAAAAGTAAAGATAATTATTTTAAAGTCTTAGGACAAATAAATGGAATGATGTATGTAAATAAAATGCCTGGTCCAGAGTAACTGCTCAGTAGGTCGTCACTAATGTTTTCTGTAAGATCACTTTCAAAACTAGAATTATCTACACATATGTGCATGCAGTCCATATATTTACATACAGGCATAGTGTGTTTTATCCTTACATCAAGCTGCCCATCAGAACTCTTCCCCATGAACGTGTGAAGAACTGTTTCTCCTGGATTGAAATGAGAGATAATGCTCTTGCCTTTCCTCAGAACACACTGCTAGATGTGTATTTGTTGTGGTGATGTTCCCGAGGACATTGTCCTTTTTTTATTTATTTTTATTCTTTGTCAAGACGAGGTCTCCTTATGTTGCCAGGCTGTTCTTAAACTTCTGGACTCAACCGATCCTCCCGCCATGCCCTCTCAAAATGCTGGGATTATAGGTGTGAACCACCACACCTGGCCAGGACATTGTCCTCTACAGTCACTAGTGTCCCCAATACAAAGACCTGTGAGAGAATAGGAGCTAACTGTTAAATAGAAGCTGTGATTCTCCTAAGGATTTTCTATGCCTTTTTTGTGACATTCATATATAATGAAAACAATTTAATGCTCTGTTTTTATTGTTACTTTGTCAGTGGTAAAGTTCAGAACTAAGTGCGTTGCTCAGCTCTGGGAACTAAATAGAAATTTACAACTTTCTTAGGCATAATATATTCTCTCTGACACTTTTCCCTAGCCCATTTACATCTCCTATGCTAATTTAGATTTTCCCTGTCCTATTGTTTTGTTGTGTGTGTTTGCTTTGCAAATTTATTACATGTATTTACTGTTAGCACCTAAAGTCTTTATGCAATAAACCAAGATATAAGCACATGCATAGAAACATAAATAATAAATACTTGTATAGATAGAAGCATGACTTTCTACATATGTATGAAGGTAATTTAGAGACCAAATGGAGAAAATAGCTGAATCTAAGGCCTTCATGTCAGTATCAAAGACCCTCTTCTAGAAAAGACAAATCAGAGAGATATTACATAAAATATTTATATTATTCAGAGAGAGAGAAAAGAAATGCCTTCCTTAATTCAGTGCTATACTAATATGATTATAGTTTATAGAGCAAGGTTTAAAAAGCACAGGATTTATGGATTTTCTACTTCTGTCAGTCTTGCTTCTAGAGTCTTAGGAAGATTATATCACCTTTTGTATTGAAGGCTTCCTTATGGCTCTGTGTTTAGTCAAAATGTCATTTTAAGAAGAAATGGCTTGTTTTCAAAGCAATATCTTGCTTGCATAAATTCGCCTGCTGGGAAAAAGAAGAAAAGCTGTGTGCATTGGTAGAGTCAGCATTATTCTGGCAATTTCTCTAAATACAGTTTTAGAGGACTGTGGAGCTTGCTTCTCTTGTTCCAAGTCTAAGATACTCTCCTCCAGAATGTCCTGGTGCTGCTTATAGAGGCCCAGCTGTTCAGGGTGGTTTACTGGAAACATTTGTAAAACAATTAAAACTTTCTTCATGCCTGCTAACCTCCTGTCTTCTTAACATTAAAACTACCCTTTGTAATTTCCTTGTTTTTCTCACATTGACTGGATCTGAAGGGAACATTTATTTATGCCATAGCAAACACAGCTTAACTGGTATTTTGTCTGACAGAACACCTTTGTTTATGTGCTTGTATAACCTCCTCTTCTGACAGCAGAACTTGGGGAGTTAGCCTTCTTAACAAACTGCCTATGCAATGCCAGCAGAAGACGTAGCAATCCTGTTATTACAGGAACACAAAATTGGTTGAGGTTACTTCATTTTTCATTTATTGACTTAAGCAAAAATAACACAGTGTTAAAACCTGAGTATTATTTCAGAAATCAAGAGAGATCACACTCTAGCTAGCTTTCAAAATTAAAGACAATTCTTTCATTTGGTAGTAGTACCTCTAGGGCACTATAAATTTTCTTCAGTTTCTTCATATGGTCCACAAAGACTGAGAAGGGTAATGATGCATGTCAGTCCTGGGGGAGGCTAGCTAAACATAGTTTAAGATTAAATTGTTTCCTAGCAAAACAAGAATCATTAGATTACAGCTTGCAGAATCAACCAATTATGCAGATATATGAATGGAACAGATAAAGCAGTGGGCATTCTTCCCCAACTGGAAACAACTGTGATTTTCAATTTCTGCTGAAAAGGGTCTTGATTTTAAAAGGAATAAAAAATAAAAACCCTAATAACCAAATGAAAATTATGAAAGCAGGCATTGCTCTTCTTCAGGGACATAATGCTGTTTCAGATATTTCTGGAATATTTCTGGGGAACAATATTCTCTTTTGAAAGTGCATTGTTAAGCTACTCATCTTGTTTATAACTGCCCTCCCCCCTCCCAGGGAGTTCAGATGACTGTCCTAAGAACAAAAGAGAAGATATACAGCTCTTTTAAAATACCATATCCTTACTTCCCTGTTATGCCCTAAAATATATATTATACTCTCTTTTCTATATTTTGAGCAGAAAATTATTTAGGAGTCAATGGACTTTGAGCCCCTCAGTGAATTAAGATTTAAAGTTTCACTGAGAGCCCCTTTGGTAGCCTTCCTCATGGCAAGCTGACAAAAGGTTGGGGAAGGGAGGAGGAGGCCTCTAGGTTCTTCCAAAGAGTACATGAGCTGACCTTGCAGGCAGAGAGCAGAGCCATGGGTTCATTTAGTCCCTGTTTTCCCCATAAATCTACTGCAAACTTGCTATCACATTTGTCATGTGGTCGATGAGTGTCTGTATTTATACCAAAGGTACTTAATAAAATTCTATAGAAAGATGACTCCGGAGACAGATTATATTAACTTAGGAGTCTGCAAGCTTGGCCGAGTTCTGACTGCTCCTGCGCAATCTTGAGCCTCAAATTCTCCAAACGTAGGGAAACTAATCCTTACCAGCTGCTTACAAGGAAGGGAAAATCAAATTCATGAAGTAATTTGAACTTCTTGTTAACAAAAATCATCTATCAATGTATATTACTTATTATGGAAAAAATAACCTGTCCACAATTTGCTTTCATTTTGCTTTTGATTAATTGTATGTACCATGCATTGTCAACCAGGACTCCACAAGGAAGTACAATTAGCATTACCTTTGTTAATCAAAACTAATGGTTAACAAGAAGACAGATTCTATGCAGAATTCAGAAAAAAACTTGCTGACTCTACTAGTATGATCTAATTTAAAGAAAGCAACAATTGCTCAATTTCCCTTAAATTTTTAACTTCAAAGAGCTAGCGTATAAAGCAAACAAAAATGAGAAGTAAAGATGATACAGGAGCAAAAAATATATGTATAAGGAAAAGTGAAAGAAATTAAATGTTTGCCAGGGGACATGCAGAATTGAGACTGACCTAATAAAAATGGTTTGCAGACTTCTAATGATTCCATTCTTTAGGCCAAAGTTAAGTCACTCTGGGCTACTTTTTTGTTGTTGTTATTTTCATCCCATGTCCATTCTTTTGATTAGACCCAAACCACCACCTTCTTATGCACTCATTTCATATTATCTACTGTAAAAACTATGTTAGGTGTTATGCAGGATAGAAAAATATACAAGACAGCCACCTGTTCTCAAAGAATCCAGATTAAGACATAGATACAAATCACTCCTATTTAAGGAATTGTGATTAAAAAAACAAAACAAAACAAAAAAACTAATACAAGAGCACAGAGAAAGGAAAAAGATTTATATCCAGCAAGTGTGATCAGGGGAGCTTTTTGAAGAGTGTTGTTTCTATCTGACTCATGATATTTCCCATTATTGCTAAAAAAAAAAAAAAAAGAAAAAAGGAAAACAAAAAACACTCATTACCTCTTCTACAGATAAATTGAGTAATGTGGAAATTAAGATAAATTGGTATGACAGCATCCAGGCTCGGACTATTTCTACTTCTTCCAAGCAGCAAAAAAACATTCTGTCCTCTTGGCTGGTTTCTATTTTGTGAAGTCAGTCTTCAGGTCCACTAGAAATGTCTCAGTAAACAAGTGCTGCTTCTGGCACAGGGGGTTGGATTGCTTCCCTTTTAGATCTGAATGTTGAATGACTTCTTGCTTCCTACTGGATCTT